>NC_000002.12:113853254-114156284 GCF_000001405.40 Homo sapiens
TGAACAGAAACTCTGGGGAAGAGGCTTAGGGATACAGCCCCCGAGGGATCTGATGGACTCAAGTTTGAGACCCTCTGCATTAGAAAGCAAAGCTTCTTCTAGACCACTGGTCTGGATACTTTTAGCCTGGCCTGGAGTTTCGGATCACAATGAGGCTACATGTGTTGTTGGCTCAATCCCCAAAAGACCCTTTAGTTTTCCAATGCAGTTTATCTCTTGGTCTAAGGGCATAATATTGATTGTAGCCTTTGGAGGGGGTGGAAACAAGTGAAGCTTTCAGTTCTGTGTTTCTGACCATGTTTAGGCTTTCCTGGGGACAAAATATTCCTTAGGCTTTTTCACACCATTGACCAGGCACACAAAGCAGTCAATATATTTCCAGCATAAACACAGAATACTAGTTTTTGATACACAGTGTGTCTTGTATATATTTAACAGATAGATGGTTTGGAATACCTGGGAGCTATGAGGGTCAGTTTTGGTCAACATCAGGGGTGGTTAATCACAAGGACTTCATGAGGGCTGTGAGAATTATGGTGAACTTTGATAGATGGAAGTAATGCAATTAAGTTATTAATTAGTTATGCTGGAGTTAATCAAAAGAGAGATAACCCTAGGTGAGCCTAACTTTTAGAAGATAACGTTTGGCCAGGCACGGTGGCTCACACCTGTAATCCCAGCACTTTAGGAGGCCAGGGCAGGAGGATTGCTTGAGCCCAGGAGCTCAAGACCAGCATGGGCAAAATAGAGAGACTCCATCTCTACAAAAAAATATTTAAAAATTAGCAGGGTGTGGCAGTGTGTGCCTCTAGTCCCAGCTACTAAGAGGCTGAGGTGGGAGGATTTCTTGAGCCTGGTAGGTCAAGGCAGCAGTGAGCTGTGATTGTACTACTGCACTCCAGCCTGGACAACAGAGTGAGACTCTGTCTCAAAAAAATAAAAATAAAAAAGAAGAAGGTAACTTTCTTGAAGGTGAAGACTCAGAGAGACTCTGCTGGCATAGAAGAAATCAAACCGTCCTTAAGAAGAGGTATGGGGAGCTGCAGGAGCCACTTTGTAAGAAGCTGAGGGTGACCTCTTAGAGTTGAAAGCAGTCCCTGACTGAGAGTTAGCAAGTGTTAGCAATGACCTTGGTCACTGTCTTAGTCTGAATGTGCTGCTATGACAAAATACCTTAGTCTGGGCAATCTATAAACAACAGAAATTTATTTCTCACAGTTCTGGAGGTTGTGACAGTGAAGATCAAGGTGCCTGCTGACTCAGTGTCTGGTGAGAGCCCACTCTTCATAGATGGCCCCTTCTCTTTGCAAAAGGGCAAAAAGGGCAAACAAGCTCTCTGTGGACTCTTTTATAAGGGCACTAATTCCTCCCTCATGACCTACTCACATCCGAAAGGCCCCGCCTTTTAATAACATGACTTTAGGAGTTAGAGTTTCAACATGTACATTTGGGAGGGGGGACACATAAATTTAGACAATAGCAATCAATGTACTGCAAGGAAATGAACTGTGCCAACTACCCGCGCACCTGGAGGAGGACCCTGAGCCTCAGATGAGGTCATGGCCCCAGCTTGCAACTCCTTGTCTGAGCTGGTGAGACCCACAGCAGAGGGCCCAGGTAACCCACACCTGCACTCCTGACCCACAGAAACTGTGAGAGAACACATTTGTTTTAAGCCACTATGTTTGTAATAATCTGTCATGCAGCAGTAGAAAAGCAATGTACTACACTTCAGCAAATTGTTGCAGTCAGAGAGAAAAGTTTCCAAAGTTAGTTACCACTGTGCCCCCAAAACAGTGAATGTTGAATAAGCCTTGACAGTAGGTGGAAGTTTGGATGACCATGTTTGAGAAAGGAGGGTGATGAGGGGCAAGCGTCCTGTTGAGAAAGAGGAAGTTATGTGCTGCTTTGTGAGAGGGCATGGTTACTGATGTGCACGTGGCTACGTGAGAAAGGCCTCAAGCCCTGTGTTCTTTTAGGACCATTTAGGAATATTGGAGAGATGTTTCAAGACCCAGTGGTAGGAGATTGAGGCACCAGTGGTGGAAGCAGTCTCTGGTGAAGTGAAAACTGAGGACCTCTGCAAGGCCACACTCATTGGGTCAGGAGGGTTTTTCTCCACTAAGGAAGATAAAATCTTGTCCACAGATCAACCATGGATCCTGACAATGCAGCAGTCAGTAAAAAGGGCTCCTGCACCCACTGAGTAATGAGGCAGTGTTTCTCTCTCAGACTCACCCGGGGCACTGTCCTCTGAGCGGATGCATCCTCCCTCAGACTCACCCAGGGTGCTGTCCTCTGAGCGGATGCTTCTTCCTCTGCCACAGACTTGAGTAGCATCTGCAGTGTCCCTCTGCCTGACTTGCAGCTCGGGGATGTCCTGTGCTCAAAATTCCTCTTGCCAACTGAATGGACTCCCTCACCTTCCCTCTGACTGTTATCTTATTAAAAACCTCTTCCTGAACTGACCCCATCGAAGCCTTACCACTAATTTCTGCTGGTTTTGATCTAAATAGGGTCAGCCTCAAACACTATCCACAACTGCTCTGATTTCACCAAACTGAATTCTTATTAATGTGACTGAATAGGACCCTTTTTGAAAGAACACGTTTTTTAGGAATTGACTGAAAACAATTAATGGGTGGACAGCTTTCATGTGGTTTGAACTTAGGAGAATCTGAAGTGGTAGAACATTGACTAAATTATTAAAATTACATACTGAGGACATACAACAAGCAAAGTGCTATATCACATACTATGAAGATTCAGAAAGTGGAAGGTGTGGTTCATCTTCATCTCATCTTATTTGGTAGATAAAATAGAACATAAGAAATTAACAACACAAAACACACATAATAATTTAATATGGCAAAACAGCAGGCTGATTACCAATGAATGATAAGAATAAAAACTTCGATACAAGTTCTACGAGGACCAAATCACTGTGAGCTCTTTGGATCAGGAAACTTCCTGGATGAGAAGAAAAGAAATTCAAATAAAATTTTTTTTTAAAGAGACACAGTCTCACTGTGTTGCTCAGGCTGAAGGTGAACTCCTAGGCTCAAGCAGTCCTCCTGCCTCAGCCTCCTAAGTAGCCTGGGGTGGTAGGTGTGTGCCTTTGTGCCTGGTAAGAAGTAAATTTTTGATCTGGATTTTAAAGGCAATGCTATGGGCTGAATATTGCCCCCACCCCCAAATTTAGATGTTGAAGTCCTAACCCCTAGTATGCCAAATGTGACTGACTGTATTTTGTATATTTTAAGATAAAATCTGCTATGGTTTGAATTTGTCTCTTCAAAAATTTAAGTGTTGCCAATGTTATCGTATTAAGATGTGGGGCTTTTAAGAGGTGTTTAGGCCATGAGGGCTCCTTCCTCATGAATGGAATGAGGTGCCCTCATAAAAGGGCTTGATGAAGGAAGTTTGTCCCTTTTTGTCCTGCTGCCTTCTGCCTGATGAAGGGAGTTTGTCCCTTTTTGTCCTTCTGCCTTCTGCCTGATGAAGGAAGTTTGTCCCTTTTTGTCCTTCTGCCTTCTGCCATGTGAGGACACAGCATTCCTCCCCTCTGGAGGTCATGGCATTCAAGGCACCATCTTGGAAGCAGAGATAGGACCCTTACCAGAAAATGAACCTGCCTGTGCCTTGATCTTGGCCCAGTCTCCAGACTGCTAAAAATAAGTTTCTGGTTTTTTTTGTTTTGTTTTTTTTTAACAAATTATCCAGTCTGTGGTATTCTGTTATAGCAGCACAAACAAAGACAGGTTCTATAAAGGGATAATTAGGTTAAAATGAAGTCATTAGGGCGGGCCCTATCTAATATGACTGGTGTCCTCATGAAAAGCATAAATTAAGACAGACACACAGAGAGGAAAGACCCTATGAGGATACAGGGTGAAGATGGCCATGTACAAGCCAAAGAGAGGCCTCAAAAGAGATGAACCTTGTGGACACATTGGCCTTGGATTATAGCCTTCAGAATTGTGAGAACAACTTCTGTTGTGCAAGCCACCCAGTCTGTGGTATACTCCATTATAGCAGCCCTAGCAAAGCAATATGGGAAATACCTGGTAACATTTACTCTTTTGAATATAGAGAATTAACTGATTCTATAAGGGAAAGAGGAGATAAAGAGAGCAATAGAAGAGACTGGATAAAAACAAGAAGATGAATTTCAGGAAATAGTGAAGATAGCAATAAGAGGATAAGAAAAAGTGCACCAGGGATCCCCAACATGAACTTTTGCTGAGGAAAGAAAATCAAGATTACTTACTCCAACAGGGATACCTTTGTCTTGAGACAGTGGAGAGAACTTCATGGGCTCAATGAGAAAAAGGCAAGGAAGAAGCAGGAGAGAACTTTAGGGAAGTGAATGGAATGAAACTAAAAGGAAGTGAGAAGCACTATGGAGATACCTCAGCTACTTAAGACAGAATACAGGAAGGGGAAGTAACATGAATCCCAAGACTAAAGAAAGTAAAACATGAAGAATGTGAGGGAGTAAAAGGAGTTTGAAGGAAAACTGGAGGAGCTAAAAACGAACCATACACATATGGGCCAAGTGTTATATAAGCGAGAAACAGGTCACTGAGATAGCATTAGATCATTCGAGCTTGGAGTCACTGTTTACAGGGATCAGAAAAAAAAGGAAATAGGGTTTAATTTTAAGATAAGAAACAGGCTGGGCACGGTGGCTCACGCCTGTAATCCCAGCACTTTGGGAGGCTGAGGCGGGCAGATCATGAGGTCGGGAGTTCGAGACCAGCCTGACCGACATGGTAAAACCCCATCTCTACTAAAAATACAAAAATTAGCTGGGCGTGGTGGCATGTGCCTGTAATCCCAGCTACTCATAAGGCTGAGAATCATTTGAACCCGGGAGGCGGAGGTTGCAGTGAGCCGAGATCATGCCACTGCACTCCAGCCTGGGCGACAGAGCAAGACTCCATCTCAAAAAATAAAAATAAAAATAAAATAAGAAACAAAGTTATATGGGAAGACTGGACTTGGACATCAACTTTTTAAACCTTTCCTGGATCCTGTGAGCCAATAAATTCCTCTTTGTGTCTAAGTTAGTTCAAGTTAGGTTACTGCCCTTTAAAATCAACCAACCAAAGTAATAAAAACTGTCAATGGAGGAGGAGTGAGACATTTCTTTTTGGCTATGTTGAATAGATGAGATATAATTTACCCAAAGTGTAGTTTACAGACAAGCCAGTCACCACACAGCCCACTTCTGGGGGTAACTGCAGAGCCTACAGGTCCTACTAAGAAGGTGGCCATGTTCTATGCCACGTTCTCTGCCCCGCTTCCAGAACCCCTCAGCCCCCAGTTCTCCCAGCTCAGCTGACTAGAATCAGGAATGTGCTCATGATCCAAAGGCCATCAGTTTTTCTATGGGTTTATGGCCCACGAGGAGGTTTAGCATATAGAACCTCTGCTTCAATAGGGATACTACTGAGTCAAACAGACATTATTGCCTAGAAATTTCATGTGGAACTGACAAATTGTGAATAAGTTGAAGTTTTGAGTTATCAGAAAGGAGGAGTGAGCAGTTATGAACAAGCAGAAGCTATAGGTAAGCCAAAATCAAACGGTATTTATAGGAGAGTTGAAAAATTAGTAGAAATGGGAATGGTAGCAGTACAGTTGGAGGGATGCTGAGTCACTGCATTTATGGGATCCCTGAACTTGCCAAGGCAGCAAGAAGATGACTCAGATTGGTGACTCTTCCACTGGATGCTTCTAGTTCCTGAGTGACTTCCAGAGTCCAAGAGGCCCAGCTCGACAGCTTTTCTTGATATGCCAGAAGGTCCTTAAAGTCCTTATTTCCATAAATACCGTCACGATACCCCTGCTCCCATCACCCAGATGAACCGCTGTTCTTTGTAGTGAAATGGTCTTAACAAACATCTCAATAATAACATTGGCTAACACTTATTTAACATGGATTATGTGCCAAGCACTGAGATATTAATTTTACACATTGTACCTCACTTAATTTTCTCAACAATCCTATGAGGCAGGTACATATTATTCTTACCAATTTATGGATGGAGAAACCTAACTTAGAGAGGTTACCTTGCTTGTCCAAGTCACATCTTCTGTAGGGGAGCTAAGTCTGAAGCAGATCTGTATAACTCTAGAGTCCAAACATGTAATTATATTTAACTTCTCTCAAGTTACTCAGTTCCCTTGGGATCATTTCGGGTGTAGAGAGTGTAAGTAATTTAACTTTAAGTCATAAAATAAGAAATGTAGCAACCAGAACTAAAAGGGGAAAAAAGACTCATCATGAATATCACGTGTTATAAAATAATCATGTGTCTTGCTGAAACTTCATAAAAGAGAAGTTCTAGAAAGTTATCCCAAAGCAAGAAGTGGTGAATGGGAATTTATTACTAATTTTAGATACATAATATGTGCCAGATGTATTGTCCTATTTGAACAAATGGCTAAGGAAAATATGTATTCTTTGTAGTTTAATAGTGGCCTCAATTTTCCTAATTTGCTTCATAAAGTCTTACGCTCTTGACAGGGAATTCTCCTGCAAAGGGGTTTTTAGAAATCAACCATGGATGTAGAGAAGAGACTACTTTGCATAAAAAAAAGAGAAGTGAAACTGTAGAGTTTAAAAAAAAAAATGTGGCCAGGGACGGTGGCTCATGCCTATAATCCCAGCACTTTGGGAGGCTGAGACAGGTGGATCACCTGAGGTCAAGAGTTCAAGACTAGCCTGGCCAACATGGTGAAACCCTTTCTCTACGAAACGTACAAAAATTAGCTGTGTGTGGTGGCGTGCGCCTGTAGTCCCAGCTACTCAGGAGGCTGAGGCAGGAGAATTGTTTGAACCCAGGAGGTGGAGTTTTCAGTGAGCTGAGATTGTACCACTGCACTCCAGCCTGAGCAACAGAGCGAGACTCATCTCAAAATAAATAAATAAAATAAAAAATATATGTGTAAGAAAAATAAACTGTGAGATATGAAGTGTAAAATTTCAACTCTTCTAATTATGCTGAATTAATAACTAAAATTTATTTTTCAAAAACTGGAAAATTTAGCAGAGATGTAGCTATTTAAAAATGAATAATAATGTTGAATATGTGTTTGCTCCATGAGGGCATAGATTTTTGTATTTCCTTCACTACTGGATCCTTAGAAGCTGGAACAGACTCTGTTATATAGTAGATGTTCAATAAAAATCTGTTAAATAGAACAAATAAATGACTGAACTCAGAAAACTGAGATTATTCTCTGAATTGTATCTCTAAATGATATACGAGCAAGTCATTTAGCATATTTGGATGCAAGTTTTATTTATTTATTTGTGAGATTTTTGTGTTATAAAAGATACTGCAAGGAGAGGGAATTTGTTCTACTAGACATAAAACCGAACAGCATGGCACTGGTTTAGGAACAGGCAATAAGTCAAAGGAACAGACTAGAAAATGTAGAGATAGACTTTGTATACACACATACACACACACTCACACTCACACTCACACTTATTTAAACAACATCAGTATATAATATAAAATGAATTGTTTATGACATCAGGCCATTGATTAAGATAAATAATATTAATTCCCTTTCAAGCCATATACAAAGCTAAATTCCAGATAGATCAAGGACTTGAACATGTTTTAATAAAAAAGCAAAGTATAGTCGGGCACGGTGGCTCATGTATGTAATCCCAGCACCTTGGGAGGCCAAGGTGGGTGGATTTCTTGAGGCCAGGAGTTCGAGACCAGCCTGGCAAACAAGGCAAAACCCCATCTCTACTAAACATACAAAAATTAGCCGGGCATGGTGGCACACACCTGTAATCCCAGCTACTACTCAGGAGGCTGAGGAATGAGAATCACTTGAACTTGGGAGGTGGAGGTTGCAGTGAGCTGAGATTGCACCACTGCACTGCAGCCTGGGTGACAGAGCGAGACTCTGTCTCAAAAAAAGAAGCAAAGTATAAAACTACTAGGAACAAAATTCACAAATTCATAGAAATGTTTTTTATAACCTTACCGTGGTGTATCCTTTGTAAGAGTAATGCCAGGCTAGGCCCAGTGGCACATGCCTGTAATCCCAGCACTTTGGGAGGTTGAGGCAGGTAGATCGCTTGAGCCTAGGAGTTGGAGACCAGCCTGGGCAACATAGTGAGATCCTGTCTCTGTGAAAAAAAATAATAATAATAACTGGGTGTGGTGGTACATACCTGTGGTCCTAGCTACTTGGGAGGCTGAGGTAGGAGGATTCTTTGAGTCCAGGAGGCAGACGCTGCAGTGAGCCATGACTGCACCACTGCACTCTTATCTGGGTGACAAAAAGAGAACATGTCTCAAAACAATATTTTAAAAAAGAGTAACACCAAAGCCAAAACTATAAATAAAACAGATTACAGTATGAACAATTATGTGCATTAGAGTGCAGGAGAAAATAAAAAGTGTTATGGAACTAAGAGGAAAACTTGGACGATTGAAGATGGTACCATACATCCAGGCTAATGATGTTACTTTAAAATATTTCTTATGCCTGTCACAGCGGCTCACGCCTGTAATCCCAGCATTTTGGGAGGCTGAGGTGGGACAATTGCTTGAGCCCAGGTGTTCAAGACCAGCCTGAGCAACACAGTGAGAACCTGTCTCTATGAAAAATAAAAAATTAACCAGGCGTGGTGCCATGCACCTGTGGTCCCAGCTGCTCAGGAGGTTGAAGTGGGAGAGTCACTCGAACCCAGGAGGTTGAGGCTGCAGTGATCGCACCACTGTACTCCAGCATGGGCAACCGAGGGAGACCCTGTCTCAAAAATAAAATAAATAGAATATTTCTTAAATTATGAAACTTTTATCGCATTACCAAAACTTTAGGGAAATAGAAAATAGAAAAAACATCCCCTGAGTACAACACAGTGACTATCATTTTTGCTTATTCCCTTGCAATATTTTTCATAGGCATTTTTTTGCTAAGATATTTCACATGCCATAAAATTCACTCCTTTAGAGTGTACACTTTAGTGGATTTTAGTATATTCACAAAGATGTGTAAGCATCACCACTCTTTTAATTCCAAAACGTTTTCATCCCCCACCCCAGAAAACATGACGGCAACCCATTAGCAGTTACTGTTCACCCCCACTCCCTCAGCCAAAATCTACTTTCTGTCTCTGTTTGTCATAGGCATGTTTTAAACCCATTTGAATTATAGAAGCCTTCTTTGTTTCATTTAAGTGTCTATCAGAAACAAGCTTTCCATAAGTGAACAGTCTTCAACCTTTTGTACAGAAAATCAACTCTAAAATGTTTGCAGAGGGCAAAATATAAAAGGAAGAAAAACAGAAAGAAAAAGGGTCATTCCAGGATACCAATTAAAAGATGAAAATGTACACAATTTATAAGCAAGTATACAACACAGGTCAAGAAGTGAATAGGGATTCTTTGATGCTTTCACTTTCTTAGTAAAAAAAAAAAAAAAAAGAAGAAAAAGTAAATAGGGCCAGGAGCGGTGGTTCACGCCTGTAATCCTAGCACTTTGGGAGCCAAGGCAGGTGGATCACCTGAGGTCAGGAGTTCGAGACCAGCCTGGCCAATATGGTGAAACCTCATCTCTACTAAAAATACAAAAAATTAGCCAGGCATGGTGGTGGGCGCCTGTAATCCCAGCTACTCGGGAGGCTGTGGCAGGAGAATCCCTTGAACCCAGGAGGTGGAGGTTGCAGTGAGCCAAGATCGTGCCATTGCACTCCAGCCTGGGCAACAAGAGCGAAACTCCATCTCCAAGAAAAAAAAAAAAGTGAAACAGCACTAGGTCAGATTATTGAAGAAAGGAACATTTTCTGGGGTCTGATGGTTTTACTATTGTGTTATCCTCAAAAAAATTTTTTGACCAAGGCAGTACACGCACATATTTACAAAAAAGTCAACAATGCTGAAGAGCTTATTGTAAGAGGTAAGAAAGCTTTGCCAGTCCTTCCCACCCCCAACCCACCCCGTTACCTTCCACTCAAGCCCTAGAACAAGTCTGACTTCTTAACGGCTACAGTTTCAAAAATTCTTCTGGGTGGTTACTTCCCTATCTCTAAATAATACAGTTATATCACCACTTCTTTATTTATCAGACAGACAGGCTTTATCTGTGGACTTCCTTCCTATTCTGATAGATGAGAACTTAGTTCACTTACACCCTCCTCCCTCCCAATATGGATGTCTCATTATTTTTAGTTCCTCTATTGTAATTTTAGGTAACTTATTTACTTGAATTCCTCTTTGTAATTTTCTTAATATATGAATATTTGCTTCCTGTTCTGCTAACTGTAACTTGTATCTCTCAAGTCCCCACTTTGTGTGGATCTTCTTCCCTTCTACTTCCAAAATTCTGTCTGCATGTTGTTTTCTAGATTTCAATAGACTAAGTGAAAAAGTTCAAAGGACCAGCACAATGGAATATGAAGTTTTAACAAATGACATTCAAAAAACTGTGAAGTGGTTCACGCACATAAGCAAGAAACTAATATAGGAACACACATCCATCCATCATTCAGCTTTTTCAAATCTTAACATTATCACATATTTGCTTCCCTTTAAAAAGAGAAAGCATTGTCAGTCCACTGAGACCCCATGTACTATTGATTGTATTTCTCTTCTACCTCAATATTCATCATTATATCAAAATCGCTCTTATTAACTCAGCATTTACCATTCTACCACTTGATTTTATACTTTTGACACATACTTTGGCATCCATAAACATTGTATATTAGGCTGGGCATGATGGCTCACTCCTGTAATTATAGCATTTTGGGAAGCTGAGGCGGGTGGATAGCTTGTGCTCAGGAGTTTGAGACCAGCCTGGGCAACATGGTGAGACCCTATCTCTACCAAAAATACAAAAATTAGCTGGACATGGTGGTGCACACCTGTAATCCCAGCTACTCGGGAGGCTGAGGCAGGAAAATCACTTGAACTCGGGAAGTGGAAGTTGCAGTGAGCCGAGATCGTGCCACTGCACTCCAGCCTGGGTGACAGAGCGAGACTCTGTCTCAAAAAAAAAAAAAAAAAAAAAAAAAATATATATATATATATATATAATATACAATTTTGTATGTCACACTTAAAATTTAACATTTTTATTGACACAATTTCATTCATTAGACTTACCATTCCAAATATCATTTGATAGTGTGCCTATCATCCTAATTGCTTACTATTATAAATGATGCTGGTATAAGTACATTGGGTATTCTTAGCATAAATGGGGGAAGGGAACGCTAAGAAAAATTAGCAAATAAATTTTTAAAAGAAAAAAGATAAATGTGGGATATTTAGAATTTACCTTTGGATTCAATGGAACTGGGTTCTGTCTCTTATGCATTAATTATGTTTTAGCCTAACCTAATAGCTATGAAGTTCTGCTCACAGAATTTAAAAAGATCTGGAGACATTTATAAATGAGAAAAAGCATAGATGATAATAAAAAATATATGTGTACCTACAATTAATCAATGTTCATCACAGTTTTTTTTTTTTTTTTTTTTTAGAGGCAGGGTCTTGCTCTGTCACCCAGGCTGGAGTGCAGTGCTGTGATCATGGTTCACTGCAGCCTTGAACTCCTGGGCTCTGGCAATCCTCCTGCCTGAGCCTTCTGAGTAGCTGAGACTATAGATATGGGCCACCACACCTGGCTAATTTTTAATTTTTTTTAGTAGAGATGAAGTCTTGCTATGTTGACCAGGCTTGTGGGAGTTCAGTCAGGCTGGTGGAAAAAATTTTAAAGATAGTTATAAGAAATAGACACAAACCTTCTTGTAAGGCTGGAGAGGGTTTACATTGCTTCAGTAACAGATTTGGCTGAAAGCAGCCTAATCCTCTCTACCTTTAGCTGATAGCAAAAATGAAAATAACAAGGGAATGTGAGGAAGTTTATCTAAATAGCTTGCTTACTCATGTGGTCCTAAAACCAAACTTTGATCAACCTCAGGTGCATAATTGCTCTCTACTCAGGGGGTGAGCAATGTTAATTACCCTCTAGTGGTGTTTACTCGAGACCTTTGTCATTTAATCTGTATTAAATAAATGTGAACTTTGCTAGCTTATTGAGGTGATGCTCCAGATGCAGAGCAGAGCCCCTTAGCCAGACTGACAGGCAAAATATCTGTGTCAGTGTATGTCTCTCATCCATCACTGGTTCAGGGTCTGCGGGCTGGATTCCTGCACAGGCTGGTCTTGAACTCCTGGGCTCAAGCAATCCTCCCGCCTGAGCCTTCTGAGTAGCTGAGACTACAGATATGGGCCACCACACCTGGCTATTTTTAACATTTTTTAGTAGAGATGAAGTCTTGCTGTGTTGCCCAGGCTGGTCTTAAACTCCTGGGCTCAAGAGCTCCTCCTGCCTTGGCCTCCCAAAGTGCTGGGAGTACAGGCATGAGTCATGGTGCCCAGACGGACATTTTTTTAAAAATAAAGGAATACTCCTGAAACGCTGAAGTCTTCTTTGTACCCCTCTGTGATAACATGAATAGCCTCTTAATGACACCAAGGAGCAAGACAAGTTAGTCCCAAAGTAGCTCACATAGATGATGATAAAGGAATGAGGGGTGGGTGTGATCTATGCAAAAAACCCTTACTCTTTAATGGGTTGCTGTTTCTAACATAATTGCAACAGTACCCTACATTGCTATAATGCATTATAGTTTTCAAAGTGCTTTTGTGGCCTCCATAATAGAGAGGTTGTGAGGTAAGCTTCAACCACGGCTGCCCTACTACCCAAGAGTGGACACACAATGATGAATAGGTCAATTTCTGCCTCTTAGTTTCTTAGCTAGGGAGGGGCACTTACTGGAACAGCACAGAAAACAGAGTCTTTGGCCCAGTTGGAGAATCTTTATCAGGTTATGCTACTTCAAGCTTTCCTCCTGTTAAATGTGAGAGGAATAAATCCCTGTTCCTTGGATCAGTGTGACTCTGAAACAGCTGGAGGAGAGACAGCTTTAGGCAGGTTGAAACAGAGAGCTCCAGCATATGTACTTTTTTTTTTTTTTTGAGATGGAGTCTCGCTCTGTCTCCCAGGCTGGAGTGCAGTGGCTCGATCTTGGCTCACTGCAAGCTCTGCCTCCCAGGTTCATGCCATTCTCCCGCCTCAGCCTCCCTAGTAGCTGGGACTACAGGCTCCCGCCACCACGCCCGGCTAATTTTTTTGTATTTTTAGTAGAGACAGGGTTTCACCATGTTGGCCAGGCCAGTCTTGAACTCCTGACCTGAGGTGATCCACCTGCCTCAGTCTCCCAAAGTGCTGGGATTACAGGCGTGAGCCACTGAACTTGGCCAAGTGCACTACTTTTAAAAGTTAAAGTATTATGCAGCCATGAGGGAATATTGTGCAAGAAGAAAGCTTTTACAAGAAAAACTTGAAACATTGGTATTTTTGCCTCCTTTTTAACAACTAGAGTCGTTTTGGGAGTTGTTTCTTGTCGAAGAAACAACCCATGTTTATTTTCCCAGTATGGCAGGACCATGTAGGAAAGCAAAATTACCCCTCAGGAGAGGAAATTCTCTGACACTCTATAAGGCTCCATAACCCTCCTCTGAACTGTGGCCAACAAGATTGGGTAGCACTTTTTAAGGTAGTTTAAGAAAAATAGGCTGTGCATGGTGGTTTATGCCTGTAATCCCAGCACTTTGGGAGGCCGAGGTGAGTGGATCACCTGAGGTCAGGAGTTTGAGACCAGCCTGACCAATATGGTGAAACCCCATCTCTACTGAAAATACAAAAATTAGCCGGGTGTGGTGGCGGGCACCTGTAGTCCCAGCTACTCGGGAGGCTGAGGCAGGAGAATTGCTTGAACCTGGGAGGCGGAGGTTGCAGTGAGCCGAGACTGTGCCACTGCACTCCAGCCTGGGTGACAGAGCAGGACTCCATCTCAAAAAAAAAAAAAAAAAAAAGAAAGAAAGAAAAATATATAGTGAGCCCAATAAAGCTGTATAATCTAAATCAAACATGACTTGCATGCCTGGAGACTTTGCACTAGAAAAATATTTCTACCTAAAAAATCAAATTTTATTTTCTTTCTCACAAATATTCAATCTGCTTTCATCTCAGTTCTTCCTACCTTGTCAAACCTCTCCCCACATTTCCTATTCTTTTTCTCTCCAGCCTGATATCTCTCATTATACTGCTTAAGAGAAATGTTATGTTACTATTCTTTTCTCCCAGAACTGTTTCTCTGGTTCTTTAAGGTGTCTGAGTACACACTGTGCCTTCTTCCTTTTAGCCCTCTCTTCTCCTTGTTCCCTGAGCCTTACCTTTATGACCTTAGAACTTCAAGTTCCCACTACAATTTTAAATATAGACTATTTTGCTTTTCCTCCTACTAGGGAGCTTAAATTGCCTCTAATTACACTGTTTTCCCGAGTCCTTCCTCTCCTTTGCAATTTAGATATAGCACAGAAGCACATTTTGCTTGACTGTCCTCTGAACTGTCATGCTGTTTTGATGTGGTTCTATTGTCCAAGAGTCTTGGTTAAATAATAGCCCAGCATCCCACCTGTGTTTAAAAGAACTGCTTCACAGGCAAATCAAAAAGCCCATGGATCCGAAGTCACAATGGGCGTTGCTATTCAAACAGCACCAGATTGCTATTCAACGCTTGGTTGAAAAATAAATTTCAGTTTCATTCACCTAATATATTTCCTTCTATTTTGTAGGATGGTATGCTCTTACTTCAATTTGGACTTGTTCACAATTGAACGTTAACATAGCCTTATAGATTAGCCTGTTTTCATTGGTCCAGAGTATTCTCCAAATAAAGCAGGGTCTGTGCATTTTAAGCAACTCCCCTGAACAATTTCATGGGCATTCTCAAATTTGAGAACTACCTGAAAAGCTGTGTTGGAGAAAAGAACAACCAATGAATGTGGCAGGACAGAATATTGAACATTAACTTCCCTTTTCCTCTTCTCCCATCTGTTCTCTTCCATTATCCCTACCCGTCCGCTCAGTCTCGTTATTCAGGCAACAGTTATTTTGCCATTATTTCCTCAAGAAAGGAACAAAAGTAAACACAATTGCTTTCTGATTTTTTTTTTTTTTTTGCATTTTAAAATGGACTTTGAAACCATAAGCAAAGAGGTGTTTAAGAGTCTTTCCAAAGCCAAAAATGAAGGTTTTGAAATTTCAAAGTCACTGCCTTGAAGAGACTCGAGGTTTGGAGTGTGTACAGTATGTCGGAGCTGGACTTTTCTCCTTCCTGAGACTAGATAACGGTCTGAATCCAAGACAGTTTTCATGATTTCAGAGGAAGTGGTCAAGTGGTCTGTGAGGTAGACCTTCTGCTTAAGAGCAGTCAGGAGGCCGGGTGCCGTGGCTCACGCCTGTAATCCCAGCACTTTGGGAGACCGAGGTGGGCGGATCACCTGAGGTCAGGAGTTCAAGACAAGCCTGACCAACATGCAGAAACCCTGTCTCTACTAAAAATACAAAAAATTGGCCGGGCACGGTGGCACATGCACTCCAGCCTGGGCAACAATAGTGAAACTCCATCTCAAAAAAAAAACAAAAAAAAGAGAAGAAAAGAAAAGAAAAGGAGCAGTCAGGATGTGTGCCTCCAAAGCTGAGGTAGACAAAAAGATACCAGAGTTCTAGAGGCCTGCCAGGCACAGCAGCAGCAGCAGAAGGAAGGTGTGGGCGAGAACAGGGCAGCCAGGCGTGTGCCACCTCCCAGACACAATTATTGGGAATGGAGGGCAAGTGGTGATGGGAGAAAATCTTGACTTAATTGATGTCAAGATTAAAGAAATGCCACCTGGTGGCATTTAAGTTCACACATAGGTAAAGAAAGTTATGCATTTACTGTGAAAGTCATCCCACTATTTAGTAGAAACAGGAGATCTGGATTCTGGTCAAGAGTCTCTTTTGCCAACTGTGGCACCACTGAGCAGCGGCACAGCTTTTGTGAATCCTGGGTTCTTCATTATTAAAATGGGGACATTAGCGTTGGGTTGAGTATAAGAAATGGACATTTTTGCAGGTCAAAAATGGTTGAATATTTGCATTTTCATATGATTCAACCGAATACTTACTTCACAGGCATAAGGAAAAAAATAGAATAACATACTAACAACTGTCCCTGGAGTAAGTACTTAACAAATACATGATTTATAAAGAAGATATGTGAAAGATATTTGTAAGTACATGATTTATAGAAAGATATGAAAGTATGTAAACCCTTGTGGTCTAATGGTCACAGAATAATCTGAGCTTAATATCCCTGCTCCCTACCATACAGAAGGCAAAATGCCTATTAGGGGTTTTCTTTCTTCACCCTCTCCTTCTTTTTCCTCCTCCTCTTGACTCCTCCTCATCCTCCTCTTTCTTCTTCCCCTTATTAATGTCTAAAAAGGGGCTGAGCATGGTGGCTCATGCCTGTAATCCTAGCACTCTGGGAAGCTGCGGCAGGTGGATCACCTGAGGCCAGGAGTTTGAAACCAGCCTGGTCAACATGGCAAAACCCCATCCCTACTAAAAATACAAAAATTACCCAGGTGTGGTGGCAGGCACCTGTAATTCCAACTACCCGGGAGGCTGAGGCAGGAGAATCGCTTAAACCCGGGAGGCAGAGGTTGCAGTGAGCCAAGATTGTGCCACTGTTGTCCATCCTGGGTGACAGAGGGAGACTCTGTCTCAAGATAAATAATAATAATAATAATAATTTCTAAAAAGGTAATACATTTTCATAGTTCAAAAACCAAAAGGTATAAAAGGAAATACAGTAAAAAATTTCCTATCATATCACTGTCTAGAGTACTATTCCTTATATATTTTCCTGATTTTTGAGTATTTTAAAATGTGAGTGTTGGATATGAGTGTTGGATTTAAAAAGTTTTATGATAATTTGTGTATATTTGTGTGTGTGTGTGTGTGTGTGTGTGTGTATAGTAGTCCAAGACTATCAGTTTATGAATAATAAGAGGAGACCCATGGAAAACCAGTCCCTTTGACCAAGTTCACTCAGATAATCAGCAGCAGGGCTTGGACATTAATTACAGTTATCCAACATCCTTTGAGGTCTCACATGACAAATTACAAATATGGAGTGTAAATGTAACCCACTTTGCTAGGCAAAAAAAGCCCTGTTTTTTTAAAAAATATATATTTTTGGCTTATGGGCAACAGAAGCCAGGGAGACGTACAGTCAAACCTCATTTCTCATGGCTTTCATATCTGCAAATTCTCCTACTCATTAAAAGTTATTTATAACTCCCGAATCAATACCCACAGCACTTTTGTGATCATTGGCAGACATGTGCAGAAAAGAAAAAAAAATTGAGTTGTTGATTGCACACATTCCCAGCTGAATTTCAACAAAGCAACACTCTGCCTTCCCACTTCAGCTTTCTTACTATATGTGTGTCCTTTTTCTGTTTATTTAGTACCATGTTTTTCACACTTTCGTTCTTTTTGGTGGTGATTTTGCTGTTTAAAATGGCCAACAAGTGTAGTGCTAAGTGCTGCGTAGGGTTCTTAAGCACAAGAAGGCTATGATGTGCCTTATGGAGAAAATACGTGTGTTGGATCAGTTTCACTCAAGCATGAGTTATGGCGCTATTAGCTGTGAGTTCAATGTTAACAAATCAACAATATATGCTAAAGTGTCTTTAAACAGAAACACACATAAAACAAGGTTATATGTTTGGTTGGCAAAAATGTTATAACCAGAAGCTTGCAGAAACCTAACCCTGTATTTCCCTTAAGAGCAATGGTTCATTATTCACTAATTCAATGTTTACAGCAACTTTATAAACTATAACTACCATGAATAATGAGAATTGACTATGTTTTAGATCATAATACCTGAAGTGAAGTTTTCCATCATGGTTTTTAGTTCTTAGAGTCCATTTAAGTTTTTTAAAAATATGATAGCTATCCTATCACATCCCACATTCTTGAGATTAAAAAATTAATCTTTTATTTGGTACAGAAAAGGCTCCTGCGTGCATTTTTGGAGGGGCTGGACCGCTGAGGAAGTCATGGTTGGCTCAAGTGGTTTAAATGCATTGCTAATTTCATAGCCTCTGAACCACTTATGAAACAATACTGATGATATGTCAGTAGCTATGTTTGCAGCTCCTTCAGGAATGCTTATATCTTTTACTGCTGGTAAAGAAGAAATTTATAGTAATAGATTTTTTTTTTTTTTAGATAGAGTCTCACTCTGTCGCCTAGGCTGGATTACAGCGGCTTGATCACGGTTTACTGCAGCCTGGATCTCCCAGGCTCTCCTACTGTAGCCTCCCCAGTAACTAGGGCCCCCACACAGGCATCACCACACCCAGCTCATTTTTTTATGTTTTATAGAGACAGGGTCTTACTATGTTTTCCAGGCTGGTCTCAAACTTCTGGGCTCAAGCAATCCTCCTACTTTGGCCTCCCAAAGTGCTGAAATTACAGGCATGAACCACTGCACCTGGTTTATGGTCATCTTAAGTAGAGACTTATGAGTGCGTATCATTGTATCACCAATCTGAGACTCAATTTTATCTTTCTGTTAATAGACAATGCAGTTTTTCTGTTAATTACAATGAAAATCAAGGGTTGCTTAGCAAGTTTTTACTCATAACTCCAAGTTTTGTGACTTATAGTGAGAAATGGGTATAATTCTTTGTGATTTGTTAAAATGCAGTATTTCGAGGAGGGATAACATATAAAATTTAACAGTTTCCTATCATTATTTTTATCCTTTTGAACCACTGTATACTACAGATAGACAAAGGCAGCTTTGGCCACTTACTCCTCAGTGTGACTAAGTTGACCAGATGTTTTCCAGACCACAGGTTCTGTCAAGAGACAGTGTGGAGAGAAATGGGTAGGCAGGTATGGAAAGAAGAGTCAGAAACAGATAGTGAGCTAATCTCTACAAATGGCTCGTTATGGCCTGAGCTGTGTTCTCCTCCCCGCAAAAAGATATGTTGGAGTCGTAATCCCCAGTACCTCAGAATGTGGCCTTATTTGGAGATTCGATATTTACAGAGGTAAGCAAGTTAAAATGAGATCACTATAGTGGGTCCTAATTCAATACGACTGGTATCCTTACAAAAAAGGGGAAATTTAACCACAGATACAGACACACACATAGGGAGAGTGCTAGTGAAGGTGAAGTCAGAGATTGGAATGATGTAGCAGAAGCCTAGGAATGCCAAAGATTGCCAGCAAACCACCAGAAGCTGGGAGAGCCACATGGAACAGATTCTCCTTCACAGTCCCCTGAAAGAACCAACTCTCCTGACACCTCGATTTCAGACTTCTAGCCTCCAGAGCTGGGGTCAATGAGCTTCTCTCATTAAGCCATCATCCAGTGTATGGTACTTTGTTACAGCAGTCTTAGCAAATGCATGGTTCCTCACTGGAACCATGAATTTCCATGCATTTATTTCATTTAAATAATAAAACGGATCCCCTTTGTGGCTTGTAGTTCTGTTCCATTTCAAAAATCCAGAAAAAAGATTTGTTCAGAAGCTAGAAATGATGAACTGGATCTTGCCCAAGGTCATAAAACCACAAAACCCTTTACAGAGCACAAAAGTCTGATTTTTCAAAGCTTCTCTCAAAAGATGGGTCACTCCTTAGTCATTTAGGCCACTGACAACTGCCCTGGACTCTTTATTTATTTATTTATTTATTTATTTATTTAATTTTTTTGAGACAGAGTCTTGCTTTGTCGCCCAGGCTGGAGTGCAGTGGCGTGATCTGAGCTCACTGCAAGCCCTGCCTCCCGGGTTGACGCCATTCTCCTGCCTCAGCCTCCCAAGTAGCTGGGACTACAGGCACCCGCCACCACGCCCGGCTAATTTTTTGTATTTTGTTTAGTAGAGACAGGGTTTCACCATGTTAGCCAGGATGGTCTCGAGGTCCTGACCTTGTGATCCACCCGCCTTGGCCTCCCAAAGTGCTGGGATTACAGGCGTGAGCCACTGCGCCTGGCCTGGACTCTTACATATAATAAGCTTGACTTATCGTACAACTTATAATTGATGCTTTCACGTCATGGGAAGATCAAATTAATGCAGAGAGCGACTACGTTTCTGGTGGGAGAGCAGCAGGGGTCTTGAGAGGAACAGCAGTGTTGACTGTTTCGCTACCTACTCTGGGTGCTGATTACATCTTTCTTTCGTGCAGGCAAATCCACTTGGAGCTATTTTGGGCTCACTGTGGGCATCATTCTTTGTATACTCTGCTCCTTTCCCCCATAGTTTCTCTATTGATGGGGGATTACTAAAGAATGAAGAAAAGAACAAAATGAAAGTGGCTTTTGAAAAATTTTAAATGACTGTCACTATGTAACATATTCATTATTTCATGTCTCCACTGGACATTTTGGAGATGTGAGCCTTGCAATACCTACATGAATGCTTCTATGATTATGATTATTGTTTTGCTCTTCGCCTAACAACTTGCCAAGTATTGTCAACCTCAGTGTGTGAGATGGGGTCCACTCAAACATCAGGGCCGAAGTCAGGTAGTTCAGTTAAGTGAATTTGATACCAGGAACTAGTTACAAAGGAGTTGGAAGGGCTGGAAAGCCAAACTGGAGAAGAAGGGGAACCCCAGAGTAACAATAGCAGGAAGCCTCTACCGTCTACCTCTAGAACTGGGGAGGAGCTGAGTTAACAGAGTCCTGGAGCCATTGCTGGGGAAGAAGAACCCCAACTGCAGAGGAAAAGTGGCCATTGTGAAGAAGGTGATGGTGGAGAAGTCGTCTGAATCAAAGGGGAGAGGATATGTTGGCTCCTTTATCTTTTTATCTTTCATTGTCCTAATTCCTTCTGGGCATGGTTAAATGAGCCCAGGAAATGCAGTTGGCAGGAATCAGCTTCCTGTGACATAGACAGAGTAAGAGAAGGACAAAAATAATGAATCTGAGAGCAAGCAGGCAAATGACCAGCACATTAAGCCTAGCACACAGTATGTTATACGGGATTTGGGGTAGCAAAAGATGAAGGCAGGTCAGAGAAGCCACAACTAGGGGATGGGCAAGGTCAATGAGGTATGACGGGTATTGTATACAGGAAGAGGGTCATAAACAGGAGTGGAGTCAATACAGGAGACTAACATATACACATCATAAATATTAGTAGAGAAGCATAAAATAGTCTCCTGGAGATCAGGGAAACAGGAAATTATAGGTTTTCAGGATAATTCAGCCATATCCAGGAAACACACACAGTGAAGTAACAAAGAGTCAATAGGCTTAGAGTGGTACAATTCATTATGCACATGTAGGAATTCATTCCAAATAATAGGCTGAAATGTAGACATGAGAATCCAAAAAAGATGTTTTCTTAGTTTTTGCCAATATCTTAGCTACGTTTTTTTTGGTTCAACAAAGTAAGTTAACAGTCATATCTGCTTGGAAATTGTATTTAGGCCAGGTGCAGTGTCTCACGCCTGTAATCCCAGCACTTGGGGTGGCTGAGGCAGGAGGATCCCTTGAGCCCAGGAGTTAGAGGCTGCAGTGAGCGACAACTACACCACTGCATTCCAGTCTGGGTGACAGAACAAAAACTTATTAAAAAAAGAAAAAAAAAAGGTCGGGCGCGGTGGCTCACGCCTGTAATCCCAGCACTTTGGGAGGTCGAGGTGGGCGGATCACGAGTCAAGAGATGGAGACCATCTTGGTCAACATGGTGAAACCCCATCTCTACTAAAAATACAAAAATTAGCTGGGCATGGTGGCATGCACCTGTAGTCCCACCTATTCAGGAGGCTGAGGCAGGAGAATCGCTTGAACCCGGGAAGCGGAGGTTGCAGTGAGCTGAGATTGCACCACTGCACTCCATCCTGTCGAGACTCTGTCTCAAAAAGAAAAAAAAGGAAAAGAAACTATTGAAATAGCTGATATTAGTTTGCTTACTTGTCGTTACTCTTTTTCATGATGGATTATAAAGAAAAGTTATAACTATTTGAATTTTCTGCTGATTTGAAGTCTCTATAAACAGTACATTCCTTTTTGGTACACAGAGGGCACTTATCTGCAAGAAAGGCAAAGAAAATGGAAAAGTTAATGAAAGAGGAATCATCCAATCCACGAACAGAATGAAACCACATACACAGTGAAGAAACTTGTCTTACATTTTCTTCCTTATATTACTTATCATTCATGGTAGTGACTACTTTGGGGCTTGAGTAAAGCTTCTCTAATTTATTCCATGTAGCATCATATGTGAAAAAGACAAATAGATACTTTAGACATGATAATAACACTTTATTTTTTATTTATTTGTTTATTTTGAGACAGAGTTTTGCTCTTGTTGCCCAGGCTGGAGTGCAATGGTGCAATCTCAGCTCACTGCAACCTCTGCCTCCTGGGTTCAAGCGACTCTCCTGACTCAGCCTCCCAAGTAGCTGGGATTACAGGCACGCATCACCACGCCCAGCTAATTTTTTGTAATTTTAGTAGAGACAGGGTTTCTCCGTGTTGGCCGGGCTGGCCTCAAACTCCTGACCTCAGGTGATCCACCCACCTTGGTCTCCCGAAGTGCTGGGATTATAGGTGTGAGCCACCATGCCTGGCCCATAACACCTTATTTAAAAATAATCTGTCTGGATCCATACAACTTGTCTGGATAACTAAATTGGAAATTATTCCTTGTTTTAAAGTAATTCAATTGAAAATTTTTAAATTTTTTTGTTAATCAAGCACTTTTTGGTGGAATCTAAATTAACACATGTAGGAGATGCCTGTTTCACTAATTACACAGGCATCTTGCAGTAATTAATGTCTGGGAGGAAGGAATGTCTTTTGCTTACTCTCTTCTTCTTCACAAAAATGTGAATTTTGGAAAGCAATAATGGAAGCATGTAGAATTATAGAAATACAAATGTATATAACTATCACAAAAAAATGAGGCCAAAGGACTATTCAGATATAATTAGGCTATGGTAGCTGTAATTATCTAGGAAATTAATAAAATTCATTCACCTAGAAATTATTAGTGAGCATCAAATATGTGTCAGCACTAGGCTAGGGTCTCAGAACGTACAGATAAATCATAGTTCTGGCTTCAGGGAGTTATATAGATTAGAGATAAAACCTAACTACAGGGGCTGGGCACGGTAGCTCATACCTGTAATCCCACCACTTTGGGAGGCCGAGGCGGGTGGATCGCCTGAGGTCAAGGAGTTTGAGACCAGCCTGGCCAACATGATAAAATCCTGTCACTACTAAAAATACAAAAGTTAGCCGGGAGGTAGTATGTGCACCTGTAATCCCAGCTACTCGGGAGGCTGAGGCAGGAGAATCTCTTGAGCCTGCGGTGGAGGTTGTGGTGAGCTGAGATCACGACACTGCACTCCAATCTGGGCGAGAGAGTGAGACCCTATCTCAAAACCCCAAACAAAACAAACAAAAAAACCAAACCTAACTACAGGGCTATGAGAGATGACTACTGGCAAGGAGCCACAGGTAGAACAAAGGGGATGTGTCCCCAGGCAAAGGGTAGTCAGCAAGCCTGCAACCTCAGGGTTCCCGGATCTGAGCCTCTGGCTCTTGGCTAGGCAGGCCCCAAGCGTTGGCCTCCTGCCATGGCAAGCTCCAGCCTGGTCTCCCACCTTGAGCTAACATTCATATGTTGTAGACACAGCCACGCTTCCTGCTTACCTGTCACTTCCAGTTCTCGAAGGCACCCTTTTCAAATGAAAATCCGCCCCTTTTCACATCAAACAGCTCATCTGGTCCTGTGGATTACATTTCTCAGAAATGCCTCTGAACATTCGCCTCCTCTCCACCCCCACTGCCTCTGCTACAGTGCAGGTGCTCGCCATTTCTGATTTGTTCTGTCACACACTCGTTTATCAGGTCTCTCCATCTCCTGTTTTGACATGCTGTAAAGCAATTTGCCACTGGAAAAAAGGGCTCTCTTTTTTTTTTTGAGACGGAGTCTCGCTCTGCTGCCCAGGCTGGAGTGCAATGGCATGATCTCGGCTCACTGCAACCTCTGCCTCCCAAGTTCAAGTGATTCTCCTGCCTCAGCCTCCCTAAAGTCTGGGATTACAGGTGCACGCCACCAAGCCCGGCTAATTTTTGTATTTTTAGTAGACGTGGGGTTTCACCATATTGGCCAAGCTGGTCTCGAACTCCTGACCTCAGGTGATCCACCCGCCTCGGCCTCCCAAAGTGCTGGGATTTCAGGTGTGAGGCATCGTGCCCGGCCTCTCTTTCCAAAGTATGTTATTATTTTTCCCAAGACCCTTTGACGGATCCTCATTTCCTACACACAGTGGTTCTCAAACTTGGATGTACTCCAGAATTACATAGGAAATTCTTCATTTTTTTAGACGAGGTCTTGCTATGTTTCTCAGGTTGGTCTCAAACTCTTGACCTCGTGTGATCCTCCGGCCGCAGTCTCCCAAGTAGCTGAGATTATAGGCGTGCCACTGAGCCCAGCTGGAAATTTTTTTAAAACACAGATTCCTCTGAATCAAAATTTCTAGAAGTGAGGTCTGAGCAATCTGTATTTTTAACAAGTTATCCAGATGGCTCTTTACTGTCAGTCTGGTTCCAGCTGAGGGAGTTTTAGAATTACAAGGCAAAGTCCAAACTTAGCACACAAAGTCATTCACATCAACTCTTCCCCTGTACACACCCTATGTCATAGCCAGAGTTGTAACCCATTTCTTAAACACCCAGGGTTCTTTTAAGTCTCTGTGTCATTGTATGTTATTTTCTCTAGAATTGCCTTTAACCTCCTTTCCACCCTGGAAAGCATTCCCTAAGCCATCTTTGAAGCTTTCTTTGATCTCTAACTTAGAGTCCTCCTCTCCTTCTAAAGCCCTGTGTTAATCACTTGTCATGGTGTACTTTAATTTTTACTTGCCTGTTTCTCTTTACGGTACTTTGACTTCAAAGGGTGGGGCTGCAAATTAGTCATCTCCTTAGAGTCCAGCCTTGTTCCTAGTTCCTAACTGGCACTTAATATAAACGAATGAATGAATGGACAAATGAAGAGAATGCTAGTTATGATAAAGAATTGGCCGTGTATGAGACTACTTCTCTTTATGAACTAAATAATTATATGCCTTTCAATAAAATACTAGTACACGTAGCTAGCACAAGCTCATCAGCATTTGAGATGATATGGAAACCAAAATAAACAAATGCTACCACAAAAACATAATGACTGCTTTCCCCAGTGCAGGACTGATGGAATCATCAAACATTGAGATTAATGTAATGTTTGGCAGATGTCCAGTGTTTTTATTTTTCATTTGCCTTTGTGTTCATTTATGGACTAACAATATAATAAACACACACATACTCACAGTACATCTTTTTTTTTTTTTTTTTTGCAAAGCCCAGTTTTCTTCATCGCATATCTTTGTTTTCTTCAAGTATCCCCTTACTTAATGTTGGTAGTATTTTTTTTAATGAAATATAAATCCCTAACCACCAAGCAAGAAATGAGACTCTTAATTGCATCAGTTTACAGTGCAATGTGAGTGTAAATAGTGTAAATTGAATTTTTAATGGACTTTTTTTTTTCCCGTTTTTGCTTGCCTTACATTCATTATCCCTCCCTGGGTAATAAACATTTATTTTTCCCTTTGTAACCACTCCTCCCCTTCTGTCCATGTGGTTCTTTTTAGTGGAGCTGGTGGTAGGGATGTGGCATGAGATTCAAGCTTGGCCACCTGGAGTCACTGTGTTGTGCTCCAGAAGGACACCTGATCCAAGTCAGCCAGTAAGAGTGAGCCCCAGGATTTTTGCTTGGACCACTGAGGAAAAGTGTACTCTGCCCTGTGGCTGATCAACCATTAGGATATAAGCCATTGTTGTAGCTGTGTGAGTCAAGCTACCTGAGAATGAGGACAACACAGTGGCAAGCAACACCAAGAGAGAAAAAGAGGCAGATTCTGATGACATTTTTGAGCCTTTGCATCCAGCTATGCCTGAATCCAATTTATCCCCTGGAATTTACACTTACTTGAGCTCCACCCACTTGAAAGAAAACATTTCTTTTTATTCTTAGCCTGATTTGAATTTGGCCTCTCTCATTTACTACCCAAAGTGTCTTGACCACTAGAATATTATGCCAGACTTTACAGCATCATTGAATTTGCCACTTTCCAGAAGAGTTGTGTGAATTTTCAATGTAGCTTTTACCTTCTATGAGTATCTAGAGATATATTTAAGTAGAAGTACTCCACTAGTTTGTTGTGAGATCTTAAGTCACTTAATTTCTCTGTACCCTAGTTCCCTCATTTGCTAGACCTAGGGAGCTATAATGTTCCTTCTGCAAAATTCTTATTTTGTGAAATATTCTAGAATGTCTAACTGATACACTGCTAGAACAACTGACTGCTATTTAAGAAGAGTTGACTGCTATTTAAGGATCATAATTCTCTAGGCATAAGTGCTGTGACGGCACAGCGTGTGCATCGGGGCTGAGGGGTGGGGTGGAGCAGAAAGTAGGAGGAGAAAGTTTGATAAACTTCCTTTTGGATAAATTGAAAACAGTCAAATAATTTATAATTTCTTATATTATCATTATTAGCTTCTTCTATAATTAGGAGACTTGTTCCAAAATGTGAGAATTGTCACAAGTTGTCAAATTCATCAAAGGAAGAAAATGGATGTCTCACAAAAAAGTATGCTCAGTCCAATTTCTTCTCGTCACACTGGAACAAACTGAACAGTTTTACACAGAGATGAGAAGCCTGGACATTTTTCAAATATGTTTTGAAGAGAATGGCAATGCCTGAGACAGAAGTAGGAAAAAGCAATGAATATTTAAAAATCTGAGCTGGTGTAAAACTAGAAATAGTTTTAGTAAGAACAATGTGATGTGCTACACTAAGTGAAATGTATACATTGGGCCACATTATAATCAAAAATAAGAATGTACTTTTATTCATCTTTTATTTAAACAATAATCAAGGTGGCGGGCGCGGTGGCTCATGCCTGTAATCCCAGCACTTTGGGAGGCCAAGGTGGGTGGATCATGAGGTCAGGAGTTCAAGACCAGCCTGGACAACGTGGTGAAACCCCGTCTCTACTAAAAATACAAAAATTAGCTGGGTGGGGTGGCATATGCCTGTAATACCAGCTGCTCGGGGGGCTGAGGCAGGAGAATCGCTTGAACTTGGGAAGTGGAGGTTGCAGTCAGCCAAGATTGTGCCATTGCGCTCCAGCCTGGGTGACAGAGCAAGAGACTCTGTCTCAAAAGGAAAAAAGAAAAAAAAAAAATCAAGGTACCATTTGTACCATTTCCTGGAATTTCTCCAAAGTGGCAAGGTCACATGTTTATACATTAGACTCCCAGTTTAACACACAGCAGACAATAACTTTTTTTTTTTTTTTTTGAGATGGAGTCTCGCTCTGTCACCCAGGCTGGAGTGCAGTGGCACAATCTTGGCTGACTGCAACCTCCGCTTCCCGAGTTCAAGCGATTCTCCTGCCTCAGCCTCCCGAGTAGCTGGGATTACAGGCATATGCCACCATGCCCAGCTAATTTTTGTATTTTTAGTGGAGATGGGGTTTCACCACATTGTCCAGGCTGGTCTCAAACTCCTGACCTCATAATCCAGCCACCTCAGCCTCCCGAAGTGCTGGTCCACCCTTCCTTCTTTTCTCCCTTCCATCCTTCTCCCTTTTATTCCATTTTTCTAAATATTAGACCATAGTACAAATCAAAAGTCACAAACTGATAGGCTGCAATGTAGATACAGCTGGGAAAATGTTTTGTTTGCAGAACACTGGGGAAATTTAACATGAAAAACTGGAAGATCTCAATCCACATGGCCACATGGTAATATTATTAATGTTGCAGGGGCTTTCCAATTCAACATGTCCTCTGCATCCCTACTATTTATACTGCCACTCATCCACCTTTCTGTATTACTGGCCTATCACCTATACACGTTTGAGTTTATATTCTTCTGGCTTTACTTAGCAACTTACCTTTTATATTTAACATTACAACATGGTATTATCAATTAGTATTCGATTCAGTTGCATATAACCAAAAATGCCAAATTATACTGGCTTAAACACTAAGGATTTATTTTTCTGTCATATAAAACAAGTCTGGAGGTGGGTAGTCCAGGGCTAATATGACACTCCAGTGTCACAAGGTACCTGGGCTCCTTCTATTTATCTTTTTTTTTTTTTTTTTTGAGACGGAGTCTTGCTCTGTAGCCCAGGCTGGAGTGCAGTGGTGCGATCTGGGCTCACTGCAAGCTTCGCCTCCCGGGTTCACACCATTCTCCTGCCTCAGCCTCCGGAGTAGCTGGGACTACAGGCGCCCGCCACCACGCCCGGCTAATTTTTTTGTTATTTTTAATAGAGACGAGGTTTACACCGTGTTAGCCAGGATGGTCTCGATCTCCTGACCTCGTGATCCACTCATCTCGGCCTCCCAAAGTGCTGGGATTAGAGGCGTGAGCCACCGCGCCTGGCCCTATTTATCTTTTATAGGACATGGCTTCCAGTCTCAAGTTCAGTTTGTCACCCATAATGGCCAAAGAGCAGTAGTCACCTTACCTGTTTCAGGCAGGAAGGGCAGAGGGCAAGAAACAAAATGGTGCTCCTCCTGATTGAGTCAGCGTTCTTTAAAGATGTTTTCCAGATGTTCCACCCAGCCGCGTTTTTTTTTTTTTGAGAGACAGGGTCTTGCTCTTGTCACCCAGGCTGGAGTACAGTGGCATGATCATGGCTCACTGAGGCCTCAATCTCCCAGGCTCAAGCGATCCTTCCATTTTAGCCTCCCAAGTAGCTGGAAGTAGCTGGGACCACAGGCACATGCCACCATACCCTGCTAACTTTTTCATTTTGTGTAGAGACAAGGTGTCACTGTGTTCTCCAGGCTGGTCTGCAGTTTCCAACTCCTGAGTGCAAGTGATCCTCCTGCTTTGGCCTCCCAAAGGGCTGGGATTACAGGTGTGAGCCACTGTGTCTGGCCAAGCTACTTCTACTTATATCTCATTGGTCATAACTTGATCACACAGCCACATCCAGCTACAATGGAGATTGAGAAATGTAGTCTTTTGGCTGGGTACACAGCATCTGAATAAAATCCAGGCATTGTTACTAAGGAAGAAGGAGTAAGTGTCAATCTCTGCTCCATAACTCTCTAGGTTAATACACACAGATGGAGGAGATTGCTAGTTGCCCCTCAAGATCCAGCCTTGCCTTCTGGGCTAAGAAAGCCCCTGAGATTTACCTGGCCATAGTGGCACTGGGAACAAACAATGTATTTCTAAATCTTCTGATTTTAAAATCTTTCAGAATCACGATTTCTCCGACATCAGTATTTTTATGTCTTTAGAATTCAACAAAATGAAATTCCTAAGTCTAATATATGTGAATATTAAGTTTTAGCAGATACTGCTACATAACTTTCCAGAAGGGTGTGGCAATTCACATCTCCACCAGTGATCAGCATGTTCATTTTCCATACAGCTCTGGATATTTTGTCTATTTTAAAATATCTTCTTCTAATCTATAATTTAAAAATGTAACTTAGTAGGAATTTAATTGTTCATGTAACCAAATCTTCCCATTAATGGCTATGGGTTTCTTCTTTTACTTCAGAAAGTCCTCCCCACCTTCAGAGTATATAAACATTTTTTTCTAAATTCCCTTCTAATTTCTTATAATTTATAGTTTTATTTTTGTTATTTGATTCATTTATTCTCTCAACAGATATTTATTGAGCACTTATTATACGTCAGGCTCTCTTCAAACTCTGGTGAGAGTATTTTCTAACTGGGAGAGACAACCCTAGTTGATAAGAAACAAACAAACCAATAAGTAAATAAGACATTTCCCCCAGATAATTAATACTTGGTGACGGGGGAAGACAGTGAGACAGGCTACTTTACACTGGCAGGTCAGGAAAGGCTTCTCTGAGGAGGCAAGTGATTCAGGATTAATTGATGACTGGTGGAGAAGTCCGGGGAGTGGACACAGGTGGGAACAGCCTGGTGGGTGTGAACAGCAACAAGAAGGTTAATGTGGCTTCATGGAACAGGGTGAAGATGAGACAAGCTGAACACTGAGGTGGGCACCAGAACATGGAGGGCTTTGTAGGTCCCAATAAGGAGTATGGATTTTATTGTATACTGGAGATTTGTCATCCATCTAGAATCTGTTTTTATATATAAGAAAAGGTGTATATGTTTGCGCAAGTGTGTGTGTGTGTGTTTGGGGGGGCGGGGTGGGGGCAGACAGGGCGTAACTTTTCTTTAAATTAGAGTCAAAATTTAATTAAACTATTCATTCTTTACAGGCAGTGAGGGGATTAGGATCTTATCCCACAGAATCTCACCTCATTTCAAATGTTGTACAGATATTATCTGAGATATATTTTCAGGCCGGGTGCGGTGGCTCACGCCTGTAATCTCAGCACTTTGGGAAGCCGAGGCGGGTGGATCATTTGAGGTCAGGAGTTCAAGACCATCCTGGCCAACATGGTGAAACCCCATCTCTACTAAAAATACAAAAATTAGCCGGGTGTGGTGGTACACGTCTATAATCCCAGCTACTTGAGAGGCTGAGGCAGGAGAATCGCTTGAATCCAGGAGGTGGAGCTTGCAGTGAGCCGAGAAAACGCCACTGCACTCCAGCCTGGGCGACAGGGCAAGACTCTGTCTCAAAAAAAAAAACGAAAAAAGAAATATATTTTCAATGAAATCAAGCATATAATGACTATTTTTATCCCAGCATCTTGGCTTCTTCAGGCTGCTATAACAAAGCATCCCTAGTGGAGCATCCCTAATCTGAAAATCCAAAATCCAAAACGTTCCAAAATCTGAAACCTTCTGAACACTGACATGACACCACAAATGGAAAATTCTACATGTAAATACACGTAAATACAAACTTTGTTTCATGCACAAATTAAAAATATTGTATAAAATTACCTTCAGGCTATGCATATAAGGCATATATGAAATATAAATGAATTTTGTGTTTACCCATGGGTCTCATCCCCAAGATGTTTCATTTTGTATATGTGCATACTCCCAAATCTGAAAAAATCCAAAATCTTAAATATCTGTAGTCCTAAGCATTTTAGATAAGGGATATTCAATCCCTTATCCATAAACAATTTATTTATAAACAACACAAATTTAGGCTTTGTAAAAAATAGAAATTTGGCCGGGTGTGGTGGCTCACGCTTGTAATCCCAGCACTTTGGGAGGCCGAGGCAGGCACATCACTTGAGCTCAGGAGTTTGAGACCAGCCTGGTCAACATGGTGAAACCTTGTCTCTACCAAAAATACAAAAATTAGCAGGGCTTCGTGGCATGCGCCTGTTGTCCCAGCTACTCGGGAGGCTGAGGCAGGAGAATTGCTTGAACCCGGAAGGCAGAGGTTGCAGTGAGCCAAGATTGAGCCACTGCACTCCAGCCTGGGGGACAAGTGAGACTCCACCTCAAAAAACAAACAATCAAACACAATATAAATTTATTTCTCATAGTTCTGCAAGCTGAGAAGTCCAAGATCAAGATGTGAGCAGATCCACCTTTGGTGAAGGGCTGCTTTCCATTTGATAGATGGCTGTCTTCTTGTGTCCTCACATGGTGGAAAGGGTGAGGCAGTTTTTTGAGGTCTCTTTTAAAAGAGAACTAATCCCATTCATGTGGGGGTCTGCCCTCATGACCTAATCACTTTCCAAAGGCCCCACTTCCTAATACCATCACCCTGGGGGTTAAATTTTCAACACACAAATTGGTTGGAGAGTGAGCGAACATAGACATTCAGTCTATAGCCCCCAGGGATGTAGCCACTGAATAAAATAATCTAGAACTTCATCTAGAGGCAGTTTATAAGTCACATAAGAAAACCAGTTTTACTTATAGTCACATAAAACTTTTGATAAAAAACAACCCTAGTTGATAAGCCATTTGTTTACTGGACTTGGCTCTGAAGAAATGACTTTTGGCTAATCCTCAAAATGAAATCTACTCACAGAGGGCAAGATCTGCCACCAGTGAAGATGTTTAAAACAATGTGCTGTAGGCTTTGAAGGCAAGTCTAAAGAAGAGCTTCTAAAAATATTTTGCACAATGGTAGCATTAAAAGAGTAGGCACATGGGCCCCAAGATAACATCTGTGAAGAGGAGGACCAGTGTGTGTTTCCTTTTGTATGTTTAAGTACTAAGTCAGTGATTACTTTATAATTAAACCATATTCCTCTTGATCTGTCCATAATAAGGTCACTCTGTAATTTATAATAGGCTTCTTACCAAATTCAAGCTTTACAACAACCCTATAGGTTAAATATTCCTGTGAATTTTATAGATGAAGAAACAGAGTAAGTGAAAGAGTTCATACTCAATTCAAGTCTCTTGAGTCTAAAATCAGTGCTCTCTCTACATAAGAAGTTAGTTGCTAAGATCACACAACTTGAGAAGAGAGAAGACAGTTTTCACAGTCCCTCCCCTCTGACCACTAGGCTGCTTGGGGTACTTTTACAACTTACCTGCTCTGAATTAAGGCTCTCTGTGAATCTGATTCATCTGCCAATTTGCAAACAGTCAGCCCTGTAGTACGTACCTAAGTTGATTTTTAAAATACTATTTCTCATCTTAAAATAATGGAAATTGAGTGACATAAATTTCCTGGACACTTTTTAAGATCCAAAGACAATTTGCTAATTTGTCGTTACAATTAAAGAGCCCCCCAAAAGGCGTAAGAACTGGATTTTGACTTGGACTTCTGTTCCTTAGTTTCTTTAACATATTGGGGGCCGGGAGTGGTGGCTCACACCTGTAATCCCAGCACTTTGGGAGGCCGAGGCGGGCAGATCACGAGGTCAGGAGATTGAGACCATCCTGGCTAACACAGTGAAACCCCGTCTCTACAAAAAATACAAAAAAAAAAAAAAAAAATTAGCCGGGTATGGTGGCGGGCGCCTGTAGTCCCAGCTACTCAGGAGGCTGAGGTAGGAGAATGGCATGAACCCAGGAGGCAGAGCTTGCAGTGAGCCGAGATCGCACTACACTGCACTCCAGCCTGGGCGACAGAGCAAGATTCCATCTCAAAAAAAAAAAGAAAAAGATATTGGGAAAACTCACTTAAACTCTATGGGCTTCTGTACCACTAAGGCTTCTCAAATTTGATGCAAGTAATGGGAACTTGCTGTGGCTAACTTGAGCCACAGGAGAAGGATACTGCAAGACTCACAAATGCTTGAAAGTTTCGGAACAGGTTTGGAAATGGGTAAGAACCAAGGACCGGGTTGACCTGAACTGAAAGGAAATTGAGGTGCTATTAGGGACAAATATGAAATGAAGGATGAACTGTCTCTGACATCCTTTGCTTCTGTGTTTGGAGATGAGTAAGCAGGGAGTGGGTGCATATGCAAACAGGGTGGTCAGAAATGCTTTGGCCGGATGTGTGACTGAAGGCTATGTGCAGCTGAGGAAGGCTGGGCCACCACAGTAGCAGAGAGGCTGACCAATTTGGCATGCAGCAAGCAGGAAGTAGAAGGGATCTTAAGCAAGCAAAGTGTTTGGGTAGACAAGATTATGAGGAATGAGCACCAATGACATTTCCAACAAGCACTGAAAGCTTCCAAATGCTTCTAACAGTTACTGCCTGTACAAACACAGGACAGTCTTGACTATGTGAGACTGTGACAGTTTCCTCATGCCTATGAAATGAGAGACAGTACTTAGCACTGACATGAGCTTCATATTTGAAGGCAGCAAACTACTGAACCACATGTAGCTTCCGAAATCAAAAGATGCAAACTGGCAGACCACAGGTCAGATATGACATGCAGAAAAAAATTAGTTACTATCTTAGCCTAGTTTGTGCTGCTTACAGAATATCAGAGACTGGGTACTTTATAGAGAACACAAATTATTTTTCATAGTTTTAGAGGCTGGGAAGTCCAAGATCAAAGGGCCATCATCTCGTGAAGGCGTCCCTGCTGTGTCAAAACATGGTGGAAGGCATCACATGGGCAAAAGAGAGAGAGGGAAGCGGGGGCAAACTCCTTTTTATCAGGCACCCAGTCCTGTGATTCATTCATGAAGACAGTGTCCTCCTGGCCTAATCACCTCTTAAAGCTCCCACCTCTCAGCACTGTTGCACTGGAAATTATATTTCTCACACATGAACTTTGGGGAACACATTCAAACCATTACAGTTACCAAAGATAAAAATGCAGATTTCAGATTTCTCTTGGGGAAGAAAAAAGGCTCTGGCAATACCAGGGCTGTATTTCCACATGGCAACAGTTGTCTGTTGCCTTCTGTTGGGTTGTGGGCTCTCACATTGCCATACCCTCCTCATGGCCCCCTTCACTCATAACAGTACCTGCCTAGACCTCGAAGCACTAGTTTCCAACCCTGCTTGAGTTAACTACTTCCATGACAACTGTGCAAGGCCAGAGTGTGGGCAGCTACCTTGAGGGCCACCGGCATGGGCTGCCCAAGTGACCGAGGGCACTAACCTCTGCTCTCGAAACTTCTTTGGTAGGATCTCTTCACTCCTGACTTACTACTTGTAACTGCTGGAAACAACCATTTATTCTACCCCTACTAAACCACATCTGTCTTTTCTGTCAGAGCCAATCTTCAAGCATATGCTTCCTCAAAAGACTTTAATTACCAGGTAGTAGAAGCGGCAGCAAAGAGTCCCCATCTAGCATCTTCTAAAATGTAGTGGAGAAACCAACGACAACGAATCTGAGACAACCAGTTGTTTGACTTCTCTGAAAACAACCTCTAAAAAAAGCCTTCTCTCGTGAATAGCTGCAGACATGCTGGGCACTAATTGATGATGATGCCCTTTAGTGAGTCTCCTCTGCACATACCTGATTCCATTTGGATGCTGGCCCTCACATACTTCTATCTGCGAACTCCGGAACACAGAATATCATACAATGTATGATTCAATCTGGACTCTGCTGGAGCCATTCTCTACAAAGCAGACACAACTTTTTCTTGCCTAAATCCTTTCAAGTTGCTTTATTTTTATTTTTAAACTAATTACCATAAATCTAATTTATCAAGCTGCTTTTAAGATAAACTTTAAAATGCTTAGAGCAGTCTACAAATTCTTGCACTGTTTCACTCTTCCTTATCTCTCAGTCTTCATCTCCCATTGCATCTTCTCTGACTCTTTCATATGGATCTTCTTTCAATTTGTGGAAGAAGCCAAGCTTGTTCCTGCCTCAGGTCCTTGACACTTGCTGTTCACTCTCCTGGGAGACTCTTCCCCCCATCTTAGCTTTTAAATACCAGCTGGTCAGACTCCTTACCTGCCTTCCACCTTCCTCTCATTCTCCCACTCCTCGCCTTCATTTCTCAGAGTCCTCCGCTCTCTTCTTTCTATTGCTCTTAACACAATTTGTCTGTTTTCCGCTAATCTGTAAACTCTACAAGAGCACTTAACTATTTTGCATCCCACCGAATATTCGGAGTCAGCACAGACCCCGTCATAATAGAGTAGGTAAGCAATGCTTACCTGTCAAATGAATGAATGAAACACCCGATTCATCCCCCAAGCCAGCTTAATACATTAGATGATCTTATGGACTGAATAAGACATCCCTCCTTTTAAAGAATATTTTTGTTTTAGCTTCACATCAGCAAACCCCGAACGGTTCATCCTAAGATAAGCCTGGTAGAGAGGAAAGATACTAACCTTCTAGGGTCCTAAAGTGGAACTAGGAACTTATTAGATATGCACATTCTCAGGCATTATTTCCGATAGCCCAGTCAGAGAATTCTGGGGGTATGGCCCAGCAATCTGTTTTAACAAACCTTTCAGGTAATTCTGATACACACTAAAGTTTGAAAGGTTTCTTTAAGGCTTTCCAGTTTTCTTTTCTTTTTTGGAGGGATGGGGGGGGGTCTCCCCATGTTGCCCAGGCTGGTCTCGAACTCCTAGCCTCAAGCTATCCTATCCTCCCACCTCGGCCTTCCAAAGCATTGAAATTACAGGCATGACCCACTGCGGCTCGCCTCCGTTTCTAACTTAAAAAAATTTTCTTTGGAGGGGAGCCTTAATCCTTTCTATTATCCTGCTAGTAGAATCTTACTACTCCTGAGGGTAATCTTTGTCATAATCCAAAAGCCTTGAATAAAGGCCTATTTGTATAGTTATGCAGAATATATTCCTGGGAGGTTTGCCTTCCTAGGAGCACAGGTCGGCCCTGGGAGGTGGGGGTTGGGGGGCAGGGCTGCATTCTAAAGTCCTGTAACAACGCACAAGTACAACTGAATAGAACTCGGAACAAAGGCATCAGGGCCACGGTGCAAGTCTTTGTTCATCCGTTCCCCGACTGCTCACCCTGTCTGATACCGCTCTTTTCCACCCAGAAAAGCAGCCACTCAAGTTTTAAGAATGGATGTATGCCGCGGACGTTTTCGATTAGGCCGTTTTCTCTCAGGCACTGGAGGATATTCGTGGCTGCAGGAGGCGCTTCCACCCTTTCCTCAACCTAGCAAAGAAGTAACTGAAACTAACCCAAGGGTTACAACCGAAAAGCCCCTTCCAGCTTCAGAAGCAGAACTGGAAGCTCGGATAGACTTCTCCGCCTCTACACTCCTGGAAAACCCGCAGTGGATTTCACCAACTTCAGGATCGGAGCCCAGGCAGGCGAACGTACCTTATTGCGCATGCTCGCTAGCCCCTCCCGCTCGGAGCGGAAGGGGGAGCGCTGGGGGCCTGGGCCTGGCCTGGCCGGGGCGTCGGCACCGGCGGCCATCTTGGCTTCCCGGGGAAAGGCGGCGTGAGGGGAAGAAGTTGTAGGGTGGGGGCAGGAGTGAGGAGGAGGGAAGAGAGAGGGGGAGGAGGCCGCGGCGGGGCAGGGCGGGGACTGCCTGCCTGCCTGGGTTGCGGAAGTGATAGCCGCCGACCGAGCCTGCTGCTTTCTTGCTACTGCTTCGGCTTCCCGGCTACCCCCCGGACGGTGAAGGCGGCCCAGCTGTGGATGGTCAGATAGCCCTTGTCTCCCGCCGCCAATCTCTGGCCCCTAGCAGCACGGAGCAGACGGCGGCAGCAGCAGCAGCAGGCGAGGAGGAAGATGGCGGGACGGCTGCCGGCCTGTGTGGTGGACTGTGGCACGGGGTAAGGGGGCTTACGGGCGGGGGTGGGGAAACTGAGGCGGAGGAAGGAAGATGGCGGGGGAGGGAGGAGGCCGGGAAATGAATGGTGCGGCGAGGTGCCGCCGCCGGCTGTCAGTCCTAGACCCGCCGGCCAGCGAGGGGTGGGGCCCGCAGCCAGGGCCTCGCGGGTCCCCTCGTTTCTCCCTCCTGGGACTGGGGCGGGGGCGCGGGCCCGAGATTCAACCCCCAACCCTCCCAGCGGCTTTCTCCGCGCGACCCCTCCCGGCCCTTCCCCCACTACGGTGGGCAGCGCCGCCCAAAGGGCGCTGGGGACGGTCGTCTTGGGGGTGGTCCCCGGGCCCGACCCATCCGGCTTTCCTTTCCCTCCGCGCCCGTTTTTGCCAGTCGGTTTGGGGACCCAGGGGCCGAGCTCGGGGACTGGCCTGGCAGGGGAGCTAGAAAAGAGAAGCGCTCCTGGTAGGTTTGACAAGATCGCTGTGACAACATTCTGCCCAGGGTGTGGGTGGGGAAAGGGAAGAATCGGACTCTGAAAATGGGAACCTACAGTGGGGCTTTCATTTGACCACCCACCTTCTCCTTTCGACTCCTGGTCATTTCCATCTCCCTCTGCGTTTTAACCGGTGAACCAAGTCACATTTTAATTCGAGGGAGAAAGATGTCATGTGTTACTTCTGTAGCCTCAAAAAAGTCCCCCAGTGAGCAAGCGCGCTGCAACTTCCTTAGTTTTGTCAAAGCCGCTTCCTGCTTTCAGTCTTTTATACCCTTATAAGGTAGTTTTTAGTTTCCAACCTGAGCACATCTTACTAGAACTTTTAAGCAGGTTTTAAAGAGACTGAATTACCGGTGCTTGGTGTCCATTTATATGACTTAAAAAAATGTACTTATGTTTCATGGAGTGGGGGAAAGGAAGCACCCTGGAAAATAAACTAATTTAAGTTGTATTCGTTCATTCTGTGATGGTATCTTGAAGGAAGCAGGAAGGTATAGAGGTATATAGGAGGGTGTTTAAGTTGCAAATAGTTACTCGTAGATATGTAGGGTAGTTTGCGAAAATGTAGAGTGGCTTTAAAGTGTGGTCGTTCATTTTGTATTAATAGACGTTTTAGAGAGTTGTACCACACTCATAACTGCATAGAGAATAGACTACCCTTATTTTTATGTAGAATCACTGCTTCAGGATGACATATAGGAAAGTGGTTTTTTTTTCTGTGCTGATGACATCTCTCCAATTCCCAGAACACTCCCAGTTTTTTTTTTTTGAGGGGGAAGTCAGTAAGAGGTGGACTGTCAGGCTTTTTTTTTTATTATTAATTATAATTATTGATTTCATTATTGTTACTTAAAAGATTGTGTGTCCTTCACTCTTTATGTGAAATTTCTTTAATCTTCATTCTCATAACTAGCTAGTGTGGCAGTTTCTAAAATCCCAGTTAGGTAGAGAGAAACCACCAACTTCTTAATATTCTCCTAGGAAAACACTAGCCTTGGAACTTCTATGTATTTTTTTGATGAACACTTTATTTAAAAGTTTTTCCTTAATTCAGTCTCATTTCTCTGAACCAATAATTTTTTTTATTTCTCCCTTCTTAGTCTAATTGGTGAGTATTTTTATGTCTAGGTTCAGTTTTAAAATTAGATTTGGCCTGAGTCAGTAGGATAGGACTTTTCAAATGTGTTTTGTTAAAGTGACGAATATTGCTACATAATTAATGCTTTAGAAATTACTGCGTTTTCAAAAAAATAGTGTAAATAATTGTGGCCCTGAGAAATAATATGGTAACATCTCAAGTAGTATGTTACTTTTCTAATCTCCATTTTCCCCCTTTTGAAATAGTTTCGAATTAGTATACAAGATGTTTCATTGAGATAAACTGTCCTTAAGTGACCTCCTTTCCTAAAGGGCAACCTTGAATTTAAAACATGCTGAATGACCAGTAGGATCGGGAAGAGGGGTTCAATTTAACCTAGGCTATTTCTGTTTTAAAATTACGATTATCACAATAGTGTATTTTTAAGTTATTACATTGGTTTCTCCAATAAGGAGAGGTTATTAACTGCACATTGATGATTTGAATGGAACTGATTAGGAGTCCCCTTGCCACCTCACTCTCTTTTACCATTTGTCACAATCTGAAATTCCCCCTTTAGAGTTTCAGTTATTTTGGTTCTCAAAAGCCTTTTTGGTCTTACAAGTTTCCAGTGGTGCCTCCTGGGAAGTTACACCTTCAGCTTTATTTGCACATGGAGGATAAGTCCTTGAGGTTGAGGACCCTGAGATAAACATCTCTAAGTATGGCCTTAACAGGGAGCTTTTACATTTCAAAATTCTGTGGTCCCCGAATGCAAATTGTGCACCTGTAATTTGTCTAATTTTTTTTATGCTTTAGAGAATGCATTCAGCTCTGAGGTCTCTAAATTACAATTACTCACTTAGTTTAAGTAAAAAGTTATAACCTGAATCAGGTTGCTCATTTCATTCATTATATAAATTAGGGGAAAGGTGGCTGAAAAAAAGTGGCCATCTGTAAAACTTGATCGTCTTAGATAGGAAAGCTGTTAAGAGTTAGGAAACTTGAAACTTAAGCCCAAAACTTTTAGGGATCGTCCAGCAAAACTCAACATATGAATCACCTAGATTCAGGTCATAAAAGAGAATACTTATTTTGAAAAGAATTTGAAAAGAAATGCTTCATTCACATTGATACCCTTATCTACACACTTTTTTGGTCTGTATTGGAAAGCATTGTAAAATACAGTTGGGGCACATAGATTCCCATTGGTGGCTTGAAAACTAAATAACAGAACTCAAACCTGCTATTAGTGGTGAGAAAAGCATTTTCTTTAAAAGGCATTCACAAACATTTTTTAAAAAAACATTGTAACACTTGTATGATCATCCTAAGGTTTTTTTTTTTCTGGGCGGTGGAAGGGATCGTTTTTTAAATGTGTTTTTTGCTTTTTGTTTTTTTGTTTGTTTGTTTGTTTGTTTTGAGATGGAGTCTTGCCCTGTCGCTGGGCTGGAGTGCAGTGGCACGATCTCGGCTCACTGCAACCTCCACCTCCCAGGTTCAAGCTATTCTCCTGCCTCAGCCTCCCGAGTAGCTGGGACTACAGGCACATGCCACCACACCCAGTTAATTTTTCTCTTTTTAGTAGAGATGGGGTTTCACCATGTTGACCAGGATGGTCTCCATCTCCTGACCTCGTGATCCACCCGCCTCAACCTCCCAAAGTGCTGGGATTACAGGTGTGAGCCACCGCGCCCAGCCTTAAAGGTTTTTTTTAAATGCATGTTTTTACTCAAGTTTCTCCATCATTCAAGCCAAATGAGGGCGCTCCTTATTAACTCCTTGTTATATCGTAGCTTGGTTACAGAGCTGCATTGTGAATTTCCTTTTCCCTTTTATGTCTTTTTTTTTCCCCTGGTAAATAAAATATTGGTAAATTAGTTCCACTGATTATGATAGCAGAGGTTAATATAGCCCTATGGTCAAAGTCTTGGATATATTCATATCTGGAGCAGATTAAGGAATTTTGCTAACTGACTTCAACTTCTTAGCAATCTTAAAATGTAAGCTTAAATATCTTGTAGGTGTCAGTGAAAGAGGAGTATGTTCATCTTGTGGCCACAATTCAGCAATTAGTGCAGATAAGAATGATCTTGTTTGAAGAGCAGTGGGGAAAAGCTGGGTAAATGAAGGAAGGTATATGTGGGAAGTTCATGTTTCTTCCATGAATTCTGTGCGTATTGTTTAATAATAATGCTGTTTCTTTTTTTTTTTTTGAGATGGAGTTTTGCTCTCATCGCCCAGGCTGGAGTGCAGTGGCATGATCTTGGCTCACTGCAACCTCCTTCTGCCTCCTGGGTTCAGGTGATTTTCTGCCTCAGCCTCCCAAGTAGCTGGGATTATAGGCGCCCACTACCACGCCCAGCTAAATTTTGTATTTTTAGTAGAGACAGAGTTTCACCATGTTGGCCAGGCTGTTGTTGAACTCCTGACCTCAGGTGATCCACCCACCTCATCCTCCCAGAGTGCTGGGATTACAGACATGAGCCACTGCACCGGCTTAATAATGCTATTTCTTTAGCCATCTCCAAAGGCAGAAATATTCACAATAGCTTCTTAACCAAAAAGCACTCATTGAAATTCTTATTCCTTGATGAGTCATGCTTTGCATGCTGTTTGAAGTAAGTACAACAGACATGCTCCTAGTGAGAAGTCAGACTCTTACTTAGACTTAGCGAAAGACTCTCCCTCCTTTCCTGCCTGCCAATTTTGTGTTGAAATATTGACTTTGGATTGCAAATACTATATTGCGGTGAACGAACTTTCAGGCTTATTGTAAAACACAGTTCAGAATTTTAGGCACAGAACGGAAAGGTCCTGTGGAGGACCTGCTGGCCATGCTTTCTGTGACAGCTATTTTTTAACCTAATTTTATAAGTGAAAAAACAGAATGAGAGAATTTAAATTACCTTTTTGATGCCGTCTACCTGGCAGGTGGTTCGATCTGCTATTTGGACCTGAGTTCTGTATTTAAGTCCTGTGTTCTTTCTGTTAACACTCCGGGGACTCCTGACTGCCTTTTCAGAACTTTATGTGTTGCTTCATTGTTGTTAGTAAAGTTAACTGTATTTCTGTTTAAAGAACTCTTACAAAAAAAAATCTCAGCCTTATGAATTTGATTCACCTAATTAGAGAAAACCCTCTGTGTAATCTTTACTTGGTTTAGGTTCCCCCCCCCCACCCCCCTGCCGATATGTGAATGCCTAGACTATTTCCTTGTTACTTTGCTTAAATTTAATCTCTAGAAAAAAATTACTCTCTAGGTTGTGTTTCTCAGGAAATAATAATAGCTAGCATTTATCGAGAATTGTATGTCAGCCCCTGTGCTAAATGCTTTATATTATCTCATTAACTTTCACAACAACCTGGAAAGTATTATCTTTGTTTTATAGGCTAGAAAATTTAGTCTTAAGAGAGGTTAAGCTACTTACCCAAGATACTGTAGCAAGTAAGTATGGCAGAGCCACTACACTAGATCTTCCTTCCGTAGAAGATGAACGTTTGACATGGCTTGGTGCATAGTAGGAATTCAAATCTTTGTTGTATGAATGAATGAACAAGAATTAGGAGTATGGTTTTTAAAAAAACTGTGCATCAGAAACACCCCATACCCAGTGACTCAGAATCTCAAGGGTTGGACTATGAATATTCATTTACATAGGCTTCCTAGATGATTCTTCAGCAGCCCATTCAAGGGCTAACTTTGCAGAAATTCTGAAACCTGGTATTGGCGGTGGAGTTGGAGCAGAAGAGATAAGTTAGGAAAAGATTGGTTTTTTCCTTTCTTTTTACGTTTCTTCTGGCAGTTATATTTCGTGTTATTTTATTTACGGGTAGCAAAGGCTTTGTAGTTATCTGTTGTTGAGTTCAAGCTCTATCACTTAATAGCTATATGACTTTATACACTTCAACCTCTGCAGGTCTTATTTCTTCCCATCTGTAATTTGGAGATGATAGTGTATACCTTATAGGTTTTTTTTGTTTGTTTTTGAGACTGGGTCTCTGTTGCCCAAACTGGAGTTCAATGGCAAGATCATGGCTCACTGCATCCTCAAACTCCTATGTTCAAGCTGTCTTCCTGCCTCAGTCCCCCGAGTAGCTGGGACTACAGGCACATGCCACCATGTGTGGCTACTTTTAAAAATTTTTTGTAGAGATGGGGTCTCACTGTGTTGCCTCAGGCTGGTCTCAAACTTCTAGCACAAGTAATCCTCTTGCCCTGACCTCTTAAAGTGTTGAGATTACAGGAGTGAGCCACCATGCCCAGTTTTGTTTTGTTTTGTTCTGTTTTTTGATAATGTGTGAAAATGGTTCAGCACAGTGCCTGGCACACAGTAAGGGCACAATATATTTTAAATATAATAATTGGTTGGCTTTCTTTTTTTTTTGAGTTTCAGTTCTTAAAGAAAGGAATACAGTGTGTTATGCTTATTTTCTTATCTCCTGCAGGCCTTGGCCTGCCTACCACACACAGTTCTCTGCACAGTCAAAATGTTTTTGCTGATTTGAGAGATTGAAGGAGGTATAGCTAGGACTTGGCAGTTGATTCCAGTGGATTGTAAATAGGCATCAATGAATAGTTCAAGATTGTAAGCCTGAGTGATTGGGACAATAAGGGAGTTAGTTTTAAGAAACTGAGTAAAATTGGAATTTGTTGTTGAATTTGGAATGATGATTTATAATTGGAAACATTCTAGAGGAAATTAAAAATACAGGACCTTTGGGAATGAAGGTGGATATTTGGGAATCATAATTTGTTAACTGAAGCTAATAAGATGAGAGCATTCAGAGAGAAAAGAACGGAAAGATTGAATATCAGTTTCCCTTCTTTAAAAAAATTGTGGATATGTGATCTAGCTTCTTGAGCATCACAGTGACTGATTGGCTCGTGGTAATTGATCGCTATGCTGACAATCTTATCTCCACCTATGTCATTCAATTTTCTAAGAGGCAAAATCCTTAATCAGGAGGAGAGTTTAGCTCTAGCTAAATTTCCCTTGTCCAGCATGCTCCTGCTCCCCCAACTTGTGGAAACAGCTAAAGGATTGGACTAGGAGCAGAAGTTTGGAATGGTTAAAATGTAGCAACATGTGTTTCCTGAAACAAAATTCCACTATAATAAAAAAAGCATTTGAATGCTCCCTTGTAATTCTGTTGGAGCTTGTTGCCTTTTTTATGACACAACCATAATCAGTGATAGACAGTAGCATAAAGAAGCAAGAGCAAAGCAATTAAGTAATAATAGCACTACAAAAATGTGTGCTGTAGCTTACCAAACACGACATTTATGAATTATTAGATAGGAGATAAGGTGATGTTATTGGATTGTTTTAAATTTAGTTCTTTGAAATAGGATAGTGACTAATATTAGTTTGTGTGCTGATTTTATAACTTTATATGGGCCTTTATATCAGGAAACAACGTAACCTACATAATTGACTAATACCAGAGCAAAAAAAAGAAAAAAAATTCTAGTTTTTTTAAAGGACGATTTTGCAGAATTTTAATAATAATTTTGTTTCAGAATTTTCAAAATTCTTTCCAAACTGTCGATTTAAACTCAAGCCATTCTTACATACTCCTTGGAACCAGGAAAGGAATAGCTTGAATTTGTGTGGCCAGATGTTATTTTTTTTTTTTTTTTTTTTTTTTTTGAGGCAGAGTGTTGCTCTGTCACCCAGGCTAGAGTGCAGTGGCGTGATCTTGGCTTGCTGAAACCTCCGTCTCCAGGGTTCAAGCTATTCTTCTGCCTCAGCCTCCCGAGTAGCTGGAATTATAGGCACCCGCCACGATGCCTGGCTAATTTTTGTGTTTTTAGTAGAGACCGGGTTTCACCATATTGGCCAGGCTGATATTGAACTCCTGAACTCAAGTGATCCACCCGTCTCGGCCAGATGTATTCTTTCAGCTTTCCTTCTGCTCCCCAACCCTAATACATACCTGAGAAGAATATTCATCTGTTCGGATACTCAACATGCCATGTTTTCCTCCTGCCGAAGGACATTACCTAAACGTTTTATTTTTAAACATTTTGTCCTTGCTTTAAGACTTTGTGTCATTTGTGAAAATGCAATGCTCTTGGGAAGGGTTTCTGTGCTTTTCAGTATTTAGTGTAAAGGAGAGGTTACAATGAGGAGGATAAAAGTCCTAGAGAGAGAATTAGGGTGCAGAAGACCTTGTAGTTTAGGGTTGGCTTAATCTACTGTAAACATGTAAACCATGTTTTTAGTATTAGTGTATGACAGGACACAAGTGTTTGCCTAGTTATAGAGATTATTTTAGTTAAATCTAGTGTGCTTCTGCTATAAGCATTTTTAAAATTCAGTTACTCAAGGGTACAAATATAGCATTTAATGTGTATTTGTGAAACTTGCTTTAGTAAATTAAGGGAAATGCCTAATGACTCACACAGAATTATAGAGCTGAAAAGGGATTTTGAGAGATAATTTAATCCAGTCTTCATTTACAAATGAAACAGAGGCTCAGAGTTGAGAAATGTCTTTTGGGAGTGTTCCTAATTATTAATTGATAGTATTGTTGAGTTCTCTTAAATTTTCTTGTGAGTTCACATTTATGAGTTAATAGTTGAAATTAAGTAATTGGAATAACATAATGTATTTTATTTATAGTTAAAGTAGTTTTAGTTGAAGCCTACATCAGAATTCTTCAGTGTTTCGTTGTAATGCAGAGGCATACTGTATGGCACACATGAGAAACTAATTTTATGTTTCCCAATAATAATGTTTTAAACCAAGTTTAGAGATATTTTAAAAGTTGTGCTCTGTAGGTGCCAGGACAGATGACTTTCATAAAATGAATGCTCTCTTTAAAAAAATTTTTCTTTATGGTTTCAGAGATTTATATCTTTGGATTTTAATTATTAAAGATGTATTAAATGGGATGTGTACCAATCAGCCATTTCAAGGCCCTTTGCACGTTTTGTTTTGGATGTTATTACCTTTTCAGAAGCCCTGTGAGGTAGTTACTGTTATAAATAATCCCATTTCAAAGATAAGTAGTAGATTTAGAATTTTAGTCCTGGGGTAGTCTCATTCCAGAGCTCACTGCTCTACTGTTCCCTAATTGAGATACATCCAAGGAGAGTGGTCAAATTATTAGTCCAGTTTTTAAGAGTGTCCATTTTATACATACTTAAACCCAAAGCTACTAATTTTTAGTACAAATATGAAACATATAGGGAGGTCTTAGTGACCAGTTCACTGATTTGATTAACCTATAACACATTAAAGTGAAATATGGATTTGCTTACTGCTTATTTGAGTATTGCAAGGACTGATAATTGCTGATAAATTCAGGGCAGCTCAAGGAAATGATGCTAATTACATATATCTTCAAAAGGAAGGCATACATATTTCTGAAGCTGCAATTTGAAAATGAATAATCTCCACTGATGCATTACTTACTGTAATTATTTTACTCACTATGTATTATGTGCTCATTAATGACTGCACAAAACACATATGAAAGTAAAAAAATAGAAGAACTTAAAGTAATCAAGTATTTATTTCAGTCTCAGTTCTGTGCTGAACACTATGGTATATACAAGAAAACTAAGGCATGATTTTATACTTGAGGTTTACAGTTTAGTTTCAAAGATGAAACTAATATGTGTGAAATAATTATGGATGGCTTACTAGCATTTAATTGTTTGGGCAGATTAATAAGGGCTGTAGTATTTGGAGGATGATTTATGAAGAAGCTGAACTTGATCAGATCCTTGGAAAAGCATAAATAGGATGTGATAGATATATGGGAAGAAGGACTTCAAATCTAGGATGTGAGCTAAATTGAAAGCTCCATAGTGGCAGGGATTATTTCTTTTTTGTGCATTCTCTATTCAAGTGATAGCGTCCTGCATGATATTTAATAATGCCCAGCAAATATTTTACTGATAAAGGGAAGTCATGAAGGAGTTTCAAAGTATTTGGGGGATGGGTCAGTTAGGAAATTGCCCTGCCTGGAATTCAGATATTTCTGTTGGGAGCTGTGGGACAGCAAGTAGTTTATTTACTCATCTTGCCTTATTTCAGAAGGATTTTAAATGGGGCAGAATGGTTTGCGATTTATTTGATAGACAGTAGTGGATTGTGTAGATCATTAAGCAAAAGAGTGATAAAAGGTAAATTTATGCACTATTAGTCTGGGTCTAGTATTTTACTTTATACAGCTTTATTGAGTTATAATTCACATACTGTAAAGTTTACTCTTTTAAAGTGTGTAATTGAGTAGTTTTTAGTATAGTCACAAGGTTGTGCAACTATTTCCAGTCAATTTCATTTTTTTTTAATGCCTGGATGCCACTTATTGGAATCCAATCAATTTTAGAACATTTTCATGACCCCAAAAAACCCTACACCCAGTAGCAGTCACTCTCCGTTACCTCTACCCTCAACCCTTAGCAAACACTAATTTACTTTCTGTCTTTATGGATTTGCCTATTTTGGCCATTTCATGTAAATGGAATCATACAATTTGTGGCTTTTTGTGACTGATTTCTTTCATGGGGCAAGTGCTGACTGCTGTAGTCGTTGTCTTCAGTGGTGATGGACGTATAGCAAAGGGACTGGGAAAACGTTGAGAATCTTTGAAAGCAAAATTAAAGGAATGGGTAGAGGGATAAAGGAAGGCCTATGGATAAAGGAAAATCATCTTGGGAAGGAAATGTTTACCAAATACTTAGTGAGTTTTATTCACTGTTAGGTCCTTTAATCCTTATGACAACCTCATGAATTTAGTTTTATTCCCGATGCATTAGGGATAGTCTATGATCACAGGATCACAGGCTAGTAAATGGTGGAACAAGCATTCAGTCATGTCTTCTTTATTTCAAGGTTCATGTTCTCCCCACTAGTGAAAAGGAGTTAAGATTTTAAGGTTTAGGCTTGAAGGGACCAGGAGAATGTTTCTGTTGACACACAGAGTAGGCGTCCAGGTTCTTCACTCAACAGTCCATCAGTATTTTTGTGTCAGGTTAAACATTGACTTGCATGTCATGAGAAAAATGTTGGAGGGAATTGGAAAAGTTTTTTAAACCATTGCTGTTTATCTTTATAGCTAATATTGTCTTACTCTACTTGACAAATTTCCCTGTGAATCAGCCACTGCATTCTTGTTTTAAAAGTTTCTGGCTGGGCACGGTGGCTCATGCCTGTAATCCCAGCACTTTGGGAGGCCGAGGCCGCAGATCACCTGAGGTCGGGAGTTTGAGACCAGCCTGACCAACACGGAGAAACCCCATCTCTACTAAAAACACAAAATTAGCTGGGCGTGGTGGCGTGTGCCTGTAATCCCAGCTACTTGGGAGGCTGAGGCAGGAGAATTGCTTGAATCCAGCTACTCGGGAGGCTGAGTCAGGAGAATCGCTTGAACCTGGGAGGCAGAGGTTGTGGTGGGCCAAGATCGCGCTGTCGCACTTCAGCCTGGGCAATAAGAGCGAAACTCTGTTTCAGCAACAACAAAGTTTCTAACACCAAATTACCTTTTTGGGCTTTGGTATTGTATGACGAAAACTGGGTAAGCTGAGAATTAAGATATTATGGGAGTAGGCATTGGGATCAATTAGTAAACTCTGTTTTCATTTGGGATTTATTTGGTAATCATATCTTACATAAAATTATATAAGATGTACTTTATTTTTATGATATGGTAAGAGTATAAGCAAGTCATTCATATTAAGATAGAATTATTTGAACTTTAGTGGTTGTCAGTGTTAAGGTTTTGGAAAGAGTTGTGCTAGATCATTAAAGTCTCTTCTATCCTTAAGCTCTGGGGTCTTATATTTATTTTGTTATATCATTTCATTTGTTGAACTATTGAAAGTTAAAACTTGTTCCGTATGTAGAGGCACAGGCAGAGTAGATTTAGCATCATTCTTAAGGGCCCTATAATTTTCAGAATTGTAATGGAACATTGGCTTCAAAGTCACCACTATATTAGCCCCTAGCAAGAGAGTGTAATTGTACATGTTTTAATGTACAAGCATTTGCAATTTGTAAAATTAAAAATAATATCCAAGGCAAAGGATGTTAATGCTTTTACAATGCAGGCATAAGTTGTTTTACTACTGAAAAAGATTCTATTAATGGATTTCTTTTAGGTAGGTACAATCAATAATATAACAGATACCTGCATTTGTTAGAATTATGACCCGTGAACATTTAATTATACTTACTTTATCTTTCTTGTTTTAAGGAACAAAAGAGCATTATTGATGACTGTCCCCAAATCCACTTCCCCTTTCCTCAGAGGCAGTTACTGTTGTGACAGACTCGCCTTTTTTTTGGTATAAAACTCATCTTTCTTTTGCTGTTGATTTCTGCCAGTCCAGCCTCCTCTCTCACCTAGCCTTCTTATATTTCTACTATTATTCTTCTAGTCACCAAGGCTTTGATAGCTTCAAAAGTGCTTTTGAATTCTTTTCTCTATATTCCTTTCTCTAAGCAAGTTGTTTTTCTTTTTTTTTTTATGTAAAATGATGTATTATATATTTTATACAAGCAAATTGAGTACAGCTAAACCTCAGCTACAGGATTTTAGAGTACAATAGCAAGTTGTTTTTTAAGTCCCTTACCATCTCCCTTTCGCAGCCAAAATCAGCATTGTAGATTTTTTTCATTACTGCCATAGTAAGAGCTTTTCTATATATTTAACTTGTTTCTCTAGATCACAAAGAGACATTTTTGGTTTAGTTTTTTTTTTTCTTTTTGGAGACAGAGTCTCGCTCTGTCACTCAGGCTGGAGTGCAGTGACGTGATCTTGGCTCCCTGCAACCTCTTTCTCCCGGGTTCAAGTGATTCTCCTGCCTCAGCCTCCTGAGTAGCTGAAATTACAGGTGCCCGTCACCACGCCTGGCTAGTTTTTGTATTTTTAGTAGAGATGGGGTTTCGCCGTGTTGGCCAGGGTGGCCTCAAACTCCTGACCTCAGGTGATCGCCCGCCTGGGCCTCCCAAAGTGCTGGGATTACAGGGATGAGCCACTGCTTCTGGCCACAACATGGTGTTTTGATATAAGTAAACCTTGTGTCATGAGTCTTACAATCAAGCTAATTAATGTATTTGTTACCTGACATAGTTACCTTTTTTGTGTGATGACACTTAAGATCGCCTTTAGGCAAATTTCAACTGTAAAATACTGTATGTTATTAACTGTGGTTACTATGCTATAGCTTAGATCACTAGTACTTATTCATCTTATAACTGGAAACTTGTATACATTGATCAACAGCTCTCCAATTCCTCCATTTCCCAATACCTGGCAACTGCCGTGCTACTTATTTATCAGGTTCTATTTTAGATCCCCATATATGAGTACATTGTTTTCCTTATCTTTGATTTTCAGTGGTTTGTGCCTAAGTGTGGTTTTCTTTATATTTATTCTGCTTGGGTGTTCTTGAGCCTCTTAAATCTCTAAATTTCTGTCTTTCACTAAATTGGGAAAATTTTTAGCTACTATTCCTTTTTATTTGTTTGTTTCTGAGACTGAGTCTTGCTCTGTTGCCCAGGCTGGAGTGCAGTGGCGCAGCCTTGGCCCACTGCAACCTCTGTCTCCCAGGTTCAGCAATTCTTGTGCCTCAGCTTCCTGAGTAGCTGGGATTACAGGCTTACACCACCATGCTCTGCTAATTGTCTTTTTTTTTTTTTTTTTGAGACGGAGTCTCGCTCCGTTGCTGGGCTAGAGTGCAGTAGCGCGATCTCGGCTCACTGAAACCTCTGCCTCCTGGGTTAAAGCAATTCTCCTGCCTCAGCCTCCCATAATTTATTTTTAGTAGAGATGGAGTCTCGCCGTGTGGGCCATGCTGGTCTTGAACTCCTGGCCTCAAGTGATCTACCCACTTCGGCCTCCCTAAGTGCTGGGATTACAGGCGTGAGCCACCCCGTCTGGCCTGTCACTATTTCTTTTTAAAAATATTTTTACTACACTCTCTTCTCCTTCTGGGACCTAAGTGTGTCACTTTTTTTTTTTTTGAGACAGAGTCTTACTCTGTTGCCAAGGCTGGAGTGCAGTGGTTTGATCTCAGCTCACTGCAAGTTCTGCCTCCTGGGTTCATGCCATTCTCCCGCCTCAGCCTCCTGAGTAGCTGGGACCACAGGTGCCTGGCACTGCGCCCGGCTAATTTTATTATTGTGTTTTTAGTAGAGACGGGGTTTCTCCTTGTTAGCCAGGATGGTCTCGATCTCCTGACCTCGTGATCCGCCCACCTCGGCCTCCCAGAGTGCTGGGATTACAGGTGTGAGCCACTGCACCTGGCCACGTGTATCACCTTTTTGATATTGTCCTTGATGAGTCCCTGAAGCTCTTTCCTTTTTCCTTGTTTTCTTTCCCCCCAATTTCAGAATGAATAATTTCTACTGCTTGGCCTTTATTTTCATTTATCTGGTGATATTTCCTTTATTATCAATTACAGGTCTATGTTAATACTCATTGTTGATTGGAAGTCTTTATCTTATAATTCCAGCATTTGGGTCATGTTAGAATTGCCTTCTGTTGAGTGTCTTCTCCCAGGAGAATGGGTTATGTTTTCCTGGTTCTTCCTATGTGAAGTAATTTTGGTTTGTATGAATATAACACTCTTGTTTATTCGTTCTCTTGTTAAACATTTGTTTTTCTTCCAGTTTTGGGTCTTTATGAACTATTCTGTTGTGAACATACATGTACACAATTGTGTGGACAACTGTTTTTATTTTTCTTGTTTCTAGTAGATTCTAACTAGAGGTAGAATTCCTGGGTCAGATGGTAAGTGATAGTTAAATTGTTTTCGTAAGTGGCTGCATCATTTTGCATTCTAACTAGTAATGTTTTTTATTTTGTTGTTGTTGTTATACAACCCTCCCTCCAACTAGTAATGTTTGAAAGCACCTCAGTGCACTTTTAATTTGCATTTTAAAAATCCCATGGAGTTGAGTCTCTTTTCATTTAATAACCATTTCTGTTGTTCTGGGAATGGTTAGTGTCTTTTTGCCTTTCCTTCTTTTGTTTCCTCCCTTCCTGTCCTTCCCTCCCTTGTCATTAACATCTAGGTACCCTTTATATGTTAAAGAGATTATATCTGTCTAGATAATTTGTGTAGATAATTTTTCTCTGTTACTCATTTTTCTTTTGGCTACTTTGGGTGTGTTTTTGTAAAGAAGTTTTTAATTTTTACATAGTTGAAATAACCTTTTATAGTGTATGGGTTTTAAGTTATAGTTAGAAAGTCTCCTGCACTCCAGGGTTATAAACTATATCACATTTTCTTTTAAACTTTATATTTGATACATTTAGATTTATCCTGCTTTAACATGTGCGGTAGGTATCCAGTATTATTTTCTTGGTGGTAACTGCTGAGGCTGGCAGGTCACGAGGTCAGGAGTTCAAGGCCAGCCTGGCCAACATGGTGAAACCCTGTCTCTACTAAAAATACAAAAATTAGCTGGGCATGGTGGTGGATGCCTGTAGTCTTAGCTACTTGGGAGGCTGAGGCAGGAGAATCGCTTGAACCCAGGAGGCAGAGGTTGCAGTGAGCCGAGATGGCGCCACGGGACTCCAGCCTAGGCGACAGAACAAGACTCCGTCTCAAAAAAAAAAAAAAATTTTTTTTTTGTGGTATAATACTCATAAAGTTTACTGTTTAACTATTTCTAAGTGTGCAGTTTAGTGGCATAAAGTACATTCACATTATTGTCTAACCATCACCATCCTCCATGATCCATAACTTTTTTATCTTCCCAAACTGAAACTCTGCGCATTAAGCAGTAACTTCCCGTTCTCTCCTCACATGCGAAGTCCCAGGCAAATACCATTCCACTTTCTGTCTTTATGAATTTGACTTTTCTAGGTACCTTCTATAAGTGGAATTGTACAATAGTTGTCCTTTTGTGATTGGTTTATTTTACTTATAATGTATTCAAGGTTCATCCATGTTGTAAGCATGTATCATGTGTTTCCTTTTTGAGGCTGAATAATATTCCATTGGAAGTATATATCATATTTTGTTTATCCATTCACATGTTGATGGATGCTTGGGTTGCTTCCACCTTTTAGCTATTGCAGATATTGCTGCTATGAACATGCATGTATAAGTACCTGTTCAAGTTCCTGCTTTCAGTTCTTTTGGGTATATACCCAGAAGTGGAATTGTTGGGTCGTGTAATTACTGTATTTAATTTTTGGAGGAACTATTTTATAGTTTTCCACAGCATTGCACCATTTTAAACTCTCACCAGCATTGCACAAGGGTTTCAGTTTCTTTACATCTTCCCCAACATTTGTTATTTTCTTGATAATAGCCATCCTAATGGGTGTAATGGGGTATTTCATTCTGGTTTTGATTTGCATTTTCTTTATTATTAGTAAGGTTGAACATCTTTTCTTGTGTTTATTGGCCATTTGTATATTTTCTTTGGAGAAATGTCATTACAGGTTGATTGCTGATTTTTCAGTTGGGCTTTTTTTGATTGTTGTGTTGTTCTTTATTCTGGATATTAATCCCTTACAGATAGTGATTTGCAAATATTTTCTCCCATTCTGTGGATTGCCTTTCCACTGTTGATAGTGTCCTTTGATACACAAGTTTTTAATTTTGATGAAGTTTTTCTCTTTTTTTCTTTTGTTACTTGTGCTTTTGGTGTCATAGCCAAGAGATCATAGCCAAATTTAGTATCATGAAGCTTTTCACCTTATGTTTTTTTTCTAAGAGTTCTATAGTTTTAGCTCTTGTGTTTAGGTCTGTGATCAACTTTGAGTTAACTTTTGTGTATGGTGTAAGGTAAAGGTACAACTTCATTCTTTTGCATGTGGATATCCAGTTTTCCAGCACCATTTGTTCAAAAGACTGTCCTTTCTTCATCTTAGTAGTTATGGCATCCTTGTTAAAAATCATTTAATTATATATGTGAGAGTTTATTTCTGGGCTCCTGATTCTGTTAGTTCTTATGCCAGTACCATACTGTTTTGGTCACTATAGCTTTGTAGTAACTTTTAAAATGAGGAAGTGTGAGATCTCCAACTTTGTTCTTTTTCAGGATTATTTTGGCTATTCAGGATCCTTTGAGATCCATATGAATGTTAGGATGGATTTTTCTATTTCTGCAAAAATGTTATTAGGATTTTGATGGGAAATGCTTGAATCTGTGGATCGATTTGGGTAAATAGCTTTCAGATATGAAAGTTTGTCCCAAGTCTGAATTCTGTACTAAATGCAATTATCCAGATGGCAAATTTAAGAAAAAATGAAGCCATTTAAACTTATTTTTAAAGCTTATTAGGAGGGAATGAGATCAGGTTGTTTACTAGCTGTCCAAAAGAGAGTTTTTGCTAAATGTAACTTAGAGCAGGGGAGAAGGTGCTTTTATGAATTACTTTTTTGTTTATTTTTTATTGTAATTTTATAATAATTTTTTAAAGACGGGGTCTTGCTCTGTTGCCCAACTGAAGTGCAGTGGGGCAGTCATAGCTCCTCCATGGCTCAAGTCATCCTCCCTGCCTCCCAAGTAGCTAGGACTACAGGTGTGAGCTGCTATGTCCAGCTGATTTTTAAATTTTTTGTAGAGATTTGGATCTTGATTTGTTGCCCAGGCTGGTGTTCACCTCTTGTCCTCAAGTGACCTTCCTGCTTTGGCCTCCCAAAGTGCTGGGACTACAGGCGTGAGCCGTCACACCCAGCTCATGAATGACCTTTTTGAATATCCAGGAAATCTTTACAGAAAATTGCAAGGGCTGTAGAAAAATAAATTATACTGATAGGATTTATAAATTCAAAGCAAAAATTTATTTTGGAAAAGTAAGGTTAAAAGTGGGTTGTTGGCCACGCACGGTGGCTCACAGCTGTAATCCCAGCACTTTGAGAGGCTGAGGCTGGCTGATCACCTGAGATCAGGAGTTGGAGACCAGCCTGACCAACATGGAGAAACCCTGTCTCTACTGAAAATACAAAATTGGCCAGGCATGGTGGCGCATGCCTGTAATCCCAGCTACTTGGGAGGCTAAGGCAGGAAAATCGCTTCAACCCAGGAGGTGCAGAGGTTGTGGTGAGCCGAGATCTCGCCATTGCACTCCAGCCTGGGCAACAAGAGCAAAACTCTGTCCCCCAAAAAAAAAAAAAAAAAAAAAAAAAAGTGGGTTGCTGTGATACACTTGGTCAGGATCCTGAAGAACATCATTATTCTTTAGAGAGCAACAAACATGTATATATGCTTAGAGAAATGCTTAATAGGAAAGTCATTTGAAACCTATTTGTATTATTACAAAAATATTTGAACTTTGTGTCACTGAAAAACAAGAGCCTTGAATTTAAAGATAGTGATTACATCCTTAAATTACAATTTAAAAAGTTCATATGTCAAATGCCAATTAGCTGTTAGCAGTTTTTTTTTTTTTTTGTCAAAGAAAAAGCGAGAGAAACTTCTACCATCTACTTGTACAAAATTTCTTCTTTATGGTGACTATCGAATTTTTAGAGTTCATAAAAATATCTTAAGGATAATATGTAGTTATTTCATGTGTAAAACTCAATAGAATTGGTAGGTTAATGGAGGCTAGTTTACATTTGAAAAGCTTTTATTTTGGAGTTTTAAATAAATTTAATATTTAATATACTTTCTAATTTTTTTCTTTTTCTAATAACAATTTTCAAACCTCTTCCTCTCCTTAAATGTTTCTCATCTCACATATAAGCATTAAAGTATTTTTATATGAGCATTAAAAAGTATTTTTTTAGTCTGAGATTTCTACGGTTCTGTTCTTATTTTTAAAATTATTGCAATGTATTTTCTGTACGCTTATTCTCTGAACTTTGACTTGTTTTTTTTAATTTTCAAATCTTAATTTTTAAAGTTTGCTAGTAGTATAAAGCGAGTGGTTTTAAAGAGTGATTTTTTTTGTCATTCAGCACTTTACTCCCTGCGGGAGAAAATGTGACTTTTTGAAGGTTGAGCCTTCAAAACCTTTTTTAAAGTTTAGTAGATAACTTTACTTTTTTAGATTGTGTCCTGTACCACATTTTTTTTGAGACAGGAACCAAATTAGCTTTTAGAGTCTAAGCAACTTATGAAGTTAAGTAAACTGTGATATTTCCCCTCATATTTTTTAAGAATTGGTGAAAATATTGTTGTCTATGATTATTATCAAATGCTGTAATTTAGCAGTCTGCCTAACTAATGTAGACAGACTTTACATGATTTAGTTCTTTTGGGATATTTAAAATTTAAATCTAAGGTAGTAGAACATTAGTTACTGCTCCCCAAAATGTAGTAGATTATTTTGCTGTGGCATTTAAAATACATTAGAAGTGATTAAATAAATTATGGTATATCCATACAATTGGATACTGTATGCATTTATTCTTGTGTTTTGAGAAGAGCATTTTTGTTTTGATTACATATTGACTGTTTTGTATTAGGTTCATTTGATCCTTTTGGTGTTTATTTTGAAAGTAATTCATTGATGAATATACTCAGCCTAGGAAATTTGATTTTGGCCAAGAATGGGGTCTTGATCAGTCTGGTAAGCTGGTTAAATGAATGTTTCTTAAGGGAATTTCTACTGTAATGTGGTCTGTACTTCAAATATTACTGTAATATTTAGGAGACGATATTTACACACATAAAAATATGTGTGGCTTATGGTTGAAATGAAGATTAGTCAAAAGAAAGGATGCCTGATAGTTAAAATGATCAGGAAAGACTTCCTGGAGAAGTTTTAAGTTGTGATAAAAGTTTTTTTGTTGTTGTTGTTGTTTTTTTTTTTTTGGGAGGGTGCAGTGTGAGCGTAGATAATATGTGAGGGGGGAATAGGGAATAGACAAGATATAAGGGAAAAAAGAGTAGCAGGTGTAGTATGCTTAGAGCTGGGTTTATGTAAGCAAGTGATAGCAGATGCTTATAAAAATTGGAAATGATTATGGAGAACTTTAATATTCAGCTGAAGGAATCAGAGAATGATATAATTGTTCATGTGGATGGGCCTTTAGGAACAATTTTACAATGAACAATTTTACAGAAATGGAAACAAGCTTGTACTTAATCTTGTAGCCAGTAGAGCATCATTTGAAGATTTTTGAGTTAGGCCGTTTGAAATTGGGAAATATGTATTTGGTCTTCAACTCCATATTCGGACATACAACTCCTATAATTCTTAGAAACTCCAAAGTGACGTCTGTTTGAGTGCTAATGGGATGACTGTTGGCTGGCAGCCCCTAGGTAACTTCAAGATGGGGCTGGTCACTTGAAAGACCAAGGCATGATTAGTGAGTTGGGACTTCCAGCCCCACCCTCCAACCACTGGGGCTGAAGGTTAAGTTGATCACCAGTGGCCAATGGTTTAATCAATCCTGTCTATGCACTGAAGCCTCTATAAAAACCCAAAGGACAGAGTTTGGAGAGCTTTCAGATAGCTGAACACGTGGAGGTTCTGGGAGGGTGGTACGCTCGAGAGGGTGTGGAACGTCTACGTCTCTTCCTACACACCTCACCCTGTGTGTGTCTTTATCTGTATGCTTTGCAGTATTATTTATAATAAACCAGCTAATGTGTTTCTCTGAGTTTTGTGAGCCACTTTAGCAAATTAATTGAACTCAAGGAGGGAGTATGGGAAACTCATCTTCAAGCAGGTGAGTCAGAAGTTCCAGAGTCTGGGGCTTGTGACTGGTGTCTGAAGAAGGGGGGCAGTCTTGGGGACTGAGCCTTCAACCTGTGGATTCTGATGTTATCTCCAGGTAGATAGTATTGGAATTGAATTACAGAACACCCAGCTAGTGTCCACTGCAGAATTGATTGCTTTTTTGTTGTTGGGAGAAACCCTCCACACATTTGGTCCCAGAAGTCTTCTGTGTTGATTGCTGTGGTGGTGGTGTGTAAGCAGAGGAAAAAACAATTAGAGCATTGTTTTTAGGTATATTATTCTCTTGTCCTTTGTAGGAGTTCTAGAATTGGAAATACTGTTTTGTCCTGTTTTAGGGTATTGTTGGGTATAGCAGCTTGAATTGTGGTGGTGACAAATAAGAATAAAAGTAGAGAGATTAATATGTGGGATCAGACCAAGGAATAGTTAGGTATTAATAATTCACTATTGGTTAGATAGTAGTAGGCTTTTAGGTAGAGTGTTTTGGTTCAACAGTTTCAGACTGCTTTGTATTAAACAAGTTTTTATTTTGGTATAGTAGACTAGTCATTTCCATTTGTCCACTGGTAAGGTATTAAACTATACTGGATGGGAAGGAGAGCATCTAATGTAGTAGGAGCAGTGTTAATAGTGGCTTGGTGGCATGAAATGAGTTGGAGTGTTGAGAAATTGTCAGCTGTTTTTATGGTTAGGGAGTTTAATGTGGTGTCAGGGCAGCTGGGAGAGGTCAGAGGCCAAATAATAAAGGGACTTTTTTGTATACATTACAAGGAAATTTTTTGTTTTTCGTTTTTTTTTTTTAAAACGTGAACAGTGGGGAACTGTTGAAGAGGTTAGTCAGTAGACCAATATCACTTTTTTCAACAGTTTATGGTTTCCCCTTATTTTTAATGATTTACTCTTATTTGGCACACTTTTTTTTTTTTTTTTTTGAGACGAAGTCTTGCTTTATCACCCAGGCTGGAATACAGTGGCATGATATTGCCTCACTGCAACCTCTGTCTCACAGGTTCAGGCAATTCTCCTGCCTCACTCTCCTGAGTAGCTGGGATTACAGGCGCCCACCACCACACCCTGCTAATTTTTGTATTTTAATAGAGATGGGGTTTCACCATGTTGGTCAGGCTGGTCTCGAATTCCTCACCTCAAGTGATCCTCTCTCCTCGGCCTTGGCACACTCAGTTCTTGAACTTAATTTGGAGGCTAAAACATTCCCCAAAGATATTGTTTATTTATTTGTTTATTTTTTGAGACAGAGTCTCACTCTGTCTCCCAGGCTGGAGTGCAGTGGTGTGATCTCGGCTCACTGCAACCTCCGCCTCCTAAGTTCAAGCGATTCTCTTGCCTCAGCCTCCCAAGTAGCTGGTATTACAGGTGCCCACCACCATGCCTGGCTAATTTTGTATTTTTAGTAGAGTTGGGGGTTTCACCATGTTGGTTAGGCTGGTCTCGAACTCCTGTCCTGGTCCCGTAATCCACCTGCCTCAGCCTCCCAAAGTGCTGGGATTATAGGCATGAGCCACTGCTCCCAGCCTAATTTCTATAGTTTTAGTAGCGAGGGTGTTTCACCGTGTTGGTCAGGCTGGTCTTGAACTCCTGACCTCAGGTGATCCACCCACCTCAGCTTCCCAAAGTGCTAGTGTTACAGGTGTGAGCCACCACGTCAGGCCCCCAGCAGATTTTTTTTTTTCATTTTATCTTAGAAAAAAGATTCTTCAGATATTAGAGTCCAAGAATGTCACAGCAATTACCTGTCTGCTATTTATCAGTGAGTTTGAATATGGAATAATATAAAATGTTACATTCTCTTTAAAGCCTGCTTATAGTTAATAGCTTTTCCCACATAGCTAAAAAATGCCCCACTATCTCCTAAGTAGCCCCCACATACTGCTTGTCAGAGCTCAGCTTTTATAATTTCTAATCCTTATTTATGTTGTTATTTTGTTAGAAGAATGTAGGCCAAGTCTACTGTGACAAAACATTAAATCTTATATTTATTTTTGAATAGTAATTAATTTGAATGGTATGAAACAATGTACAATGAAAACAAATCTCCTTCTCATTTCTGTTCATCATGCCCCAGTTCCCTTTTTTGGAGACAACCAAAATTATTCTTGTGTAGTCTTCCAGAGATACGTTGTGCCTATACAAAATATTTCATATGTTTTTACTCCTCCCCATTAGTTTTATACAGATATACCATACTTGATACATTGTTCTGTATCTTTGTTCAATAAGTAATATATTTTGGGAATTGTTTCCTATCACTATACTAAGAGCTTCCTCATTCTATTTTTTGTAGCTGCATAATATTCCATAGTATAAACTTAGCATATTTCAATAGTTTCCAGTTTGATTGATATTTAGGTTATTTCCAGTCTTTTGCTGTTAGAAGCAAGATTGTAGCTAATGACCTTGATTGTGTATTATTTCACATATATTCCTGAAGGATCAATTTCTTGAAGTGGAATTTCTTTTCAGAAGCTCTGTGCATTTATAATTTTGATAGAATTGTGAAAGTAGGGGTTAAATGAAGTGAAACTATGGAATTTGGTATATTATTTACCTACGATGGAATCTCACTTCATAACAAATGAAATTCTAAGAAAGAAATGTATAATTGCTAAAATATTAGTGAAATCTTTATAAATTATTTTGTTTTGCAGGTATACAAAACTAGGATATGCTGGAAATACAGAACCACAGTTTATCATCCCTTCCTGTAAGTATTTCTTTTAAGCCACAAATGAGCTGATTTAAAAGATCCCCTTCCCTAATAATTTAAGTAAAAGAAGTAATCAGTTCTGAAATCCTAAAAGATTTAGTCCTTTTAAAAACATGATTTGCCAGGTTCTAAGTGTGGCCTCATTTTTGTATGTCTGACTATTCATTTCAGCTTTATGTTTAGCTCCCCATTTGCCATGTCTACTAAATACCTCTTTTTAAAGAAAAAAAGAAATTAGCTGATAATGAAACAGTACCCCAATTTTTAGGGTGATATTGCAGTTAACAGTATGGGGGTATAACTAATTATCAAGTAGTCCATTCCCCATCATATACCTATGAAGACTGTCCTTTGGTTTGTGGATATGACTACTGTTTGTAGGGCCCGTATCTGTTGACGTCCTCACTAAGTGCCCATGTTTCAAAATATGGATGGAAGGACAATATCTCACTATCTCACCTTTAGAGATGTTGACCTCAGCTGTTTTCTAATATCCCATAACCATACTGTTGTATGTCTTTAGAGTATTTTTGTTTTATCCTATTTTTGTTAATCTTGCTTAAGCTGACCATTAACTTTCAGTAGTTTTTAAAAAATATTCTGACATTGGTTTGTTAGTGCTCGTTTGTTAGCATAGGTCTGTTCCTTGATTAACGTACTTTTACACTTTTGACTTGCAAACAGTTCACGTTTTTTGTACATAATATAGTAACACTTCTGATCTATTTGTCTTACAGCCAAATTAAAACTTTTGCATACCAAGTGACAAACCTTTTGAGCCGTTGCTTAGTGGTTCTCCTAGACATTTTAATTTTGAGAGTGTCACTGATTTTTCACAATCTTATTTATGTGACTGAATTTTTTGTATTTCATTGTTATTCATTATGAAAATAAGAAAATGGAAAAATGAATATGTAGAGAGTAATGAAAGCAGTGTATGTTTCAGAATCAATGAAGTTGAGAATAAGATGTTAGGCTTTGCCAAAAACTGGATCTTTAGTATCACTTGAGCACTCATTGGACACAAGAGGTCAACTGTTTTGTCATTTGTGTAGTAAGAACAAAATTAAGTGTGTGGCATTAAAGAAATAACACTGTCTGGCCGGGATCGGTGGCTCACGCCTGTAATCCCAGCACTTTGGGAGGCCGAGGCGGGCAGATCACGAGGTCAGGAGTTCGAGACCAGCCTGACCAACATGATGAAACCCTGTCTCTACTAAAAATACAAAAATTAGCCAGGCATGGTGGTGCACACCTGTAGTCCCAGCTGCTCAGGAGGCTGAGGCAGGAGAATCGCTCGAACCCGGGAGGTGGAGGTTGCAGTGAGCTGAGATGGCGCCACTGCATTCCAGGCCTGGGGGGTGACAGAGCAAGACTCAGTCTCAAAAAAAAAAAAAAAAAAAGAAAGAAAAAGAAAAGAAATACACTTTCAAAATTGCACCTAAAAGGGGAAATGGTTTTAGGGTTTTTATCTACTCCTCACTTTCTAGAAACAAACTTATTTGACTTGTGTGTTTCTCCTATTTTGATACACTTTTCTAGGAATCAATTATGTAAGAACTTAGGCTACTGCCTAAATCTAATACTTCTTTAAAACCCAGAATGGATTTTAGTTGATATTGATGAAACAGCTCATTCGTGTGTCTAGTGGCCTTTATTATTACCTTTTAAATATTTTATTCATGCATGTTTGTTATCTACTGAACATGAAGAATAGGTTTGCTTTTCTTTGTAGTTTTTCTCACATTTATATGTCAATACGTTGATTGTTTTTTGTCTGTTATTAAGAATTCGGTGATACATGTTGGCTTTATTGCTGACTAATGTAGAGGTACTTCTTTGGGCTAGTACTTGACTTTAGTCGTATTTCAGTTTAGTGTTAGACCATCGTGTATGTACTTACTGGTTTCTTTAAGCTACCGTACGTAACACAGTACCAAAAATTGGGTGGCTGAAAACAACAAACACTTAGAATTCTGGAGTCCAGAAGTACAAAATCAATGCGTCAGCAGGGTCATGCTCTTGCTGGTGTCTTCTGGCTTCTGATGTTTCCTCAGGATCCTTGGCTGATAGATGCGTCACTCCAGTCACATGGCTGTCTTCTTAATGTGCGTCTTTACATCATCATCCTTCTGTATCTGTGTTCAAATTTTCCCTTTCTATGAGGACACTAGTCATATTGTATTAGGGGCCACCTTGATAACTTCGTTTTAACTGTGAAGACCCTATTTCCAAACACAGTTACATTCTGAGGTACTGGCGGTTAGGACTTCATATCTTTTTGGTGATACACAATTCAACCTGTAACAATGCTGATGACTTTTAATCTTTTGTGTATAATCTTTTGTTGTGATTGTATATTTCAGGAGACTACTAAAGTTATTTCTGCCATCTTAGCAAAATTGGTTTTGGTTATATTCGTAAATGGCTGTGTTAACTTTTTGTTGGAGGCCTATATAATCTTGATTTTTTGAACCATTGGATCTCATCACTATTGAATCCATTTTTTATCTTATCTCTCTGCCAAAATATGAAGTCTTTGCCATGACTAGTTGCAGTATGTTAAAAATTCATTTGCCTGCTGTAAGAAGGTTTTTGATTTTTGAGTGTTTTTTCTCACCCACCCAGTTTTAATGCTGCAGGTACAGTGTTTATAATTAGCAGATAGAGACATTGCCACTGTCTTTTACTAATGAGTATTGATATTTGATCTGGAAAGCCTGTGCAAGTGGTTCAAGGTTTTTTTTATATACATGCATATTTATTTTTAGGAAATTTATAGTGAGCCACCTGGATGTCTATGTACACTGTAAGTAAATTGCTGGAGAGAATTTCTAGCATTTAGAAGGACTAGATGGTGGATTAAAAATTTTTTTCTTCCAGTTATTTTCTGCCCACTTTCTTAAGGATATAGCTGTTACTAAATGAAAGTAACAGTTGAATGCCAGATCAGTTTAAGTGCATTCAGACAATTATTTTGAATGAAGAACTGAACTTGATGGATTCGTACATTTATAACTTAATCTAAAAATACATAACAAGTTTTAGCTTTCAAACTGTATGCTGGATTTCTGCAATTATTTAAGGATATTGTTGTGGGTTTCACCTAAATGAATTGAGATTTCCTTTTATATATGTAGTTTAACAGATCTGTATTACATTTAAATTACTAGACCACAATAGTAATTACTGTTACTAGACCCAATCACTATTACTAGACCCAGTAGTGATAGGGTAGAGATGTAAAGAAAGTTTAAAAAATTATTCTTGAAGTTTTTTTCTCATTTGTGTTTTTCAGTTTTTTTCTTTCCAGTTGTTCATCAAGCATATGTGGATTTGGTGGGATTACAGTTTTACTGAGAATCAAAGGAGGATTTATATAATTTAAAAAATATATATTTGAAACTTTCCCACAGATGTTGTTTTTCTGGCTTTTTGCATTTGAGGTCTTGTCTCTGAGTGGAAGTTGAGGTTTCGTTGTGTGAAATGAATTTTGTCACTGGTTTCTTATGACTTTTGTGAATTAGTTTGACAATTTAAATAGGCTAGGTCATGTTTTACTTTGTAGTACTTTGTAATGGGAGAAGTGTAAGGTAAAAGTTTTTCTCATTTGAGGAAAATGAATTCTTTGACATGTCTAACTTATTTTAAAGGTATTGCTATTAAGGAGTCAGCAAAAGTGGGTGATCAAGCTCAAAGGAGGGTGATGAAAGGTGTTGATGACCTAGACTTCTTCATTGGTGATGAAGCAATAGAAAAACCTACATATGCAACAAAGGTATGTTTTTATGATTTGTATAAATAACATTTTCAAAAAATAGTTTGTTCGATGCTTGTGCCCTCTGGAATTCACTCTATAATAGACCTTATTAATATCCTCAAACCTCTTCTCAGTAGAAATTTCTTTTTCCCTATGGCATCCTTCCCTGTTGCTTTAACTTTTTTTTTTCTTTTTTTTAATAACCCCTAAGAGGAAAGTTTTAGCCCTTTCAAATGAGCAGTATTTATTTTTCCACACCCACTGGATCTCAGGGCCCTCAATAAAATTACCTTTACTTCCACATTGCTACTTCTGCAAACTTTTTTTCCCCATCTTTATTCAAACTTACACCATTTTTCTCTTTTTTGAAGTTTATGCCATCTGTAAGTGCTGTTCTCTTTCTCCCTCTTTTTCTTTTTCCCTTTTTCTTTTCTACCCTTTTCCCTCCCTCTTTTAATTGAGGTGTAAGTATGTAAGTGTTAATTATACAGTTCGAAGAATTTTTATGACTGTAATCATAACAGGTAAAGAAACAGAACAAATCTAGTAACCCTGAAGCTTTCCTTGTGCTTGTTCACACAGTCACTACTCCATTCCCACCAAAAAATAAATGCTATTCTGACCTTTATCATCTTATTTTTTGACACTGACTTTGTCTGATTTGCAAATATCCTCCTTTGTACTTCTTCCCTTCTCATAATTTATTCATTAATGAACAACTACCATGTGTAAAATACTTTGCCATGTATCGTGAGTAAAATGGTGTATAAAAAAATTTCCCCGACTGCAAGGCTATTATAATGTGGTGGAAAGGAAGACATTGAAGAAATAATTACAAGTGTGTTGGGGGTTAGAAGAAGGGAAACACACACACAGTGCTCTGTGCATGTATCACAGGAGTAGCTAACCTAGTGTGGGGAATCAGGAATGTCCTCGAGGAGTAAATCTTTAAGCTGAGGCTTGAAGAATAAAATAGGAGTTAGCTGCTGAGGTGGGCAGGCTGAGTTGTTTTAGGTAGAGAAACCAATATATGAAAAGGCTTTACAGTATGAGAGGGACTAGAAGTGCATGACCAATATGCCTGAAGCATGGAGAACGAGGTGGAAAGAAGTGAGGAGGCTGTATAGGTAGGCAGGAAAGAGCACTGAATATGTTGTTAGACCATGTTAAAGAATTTGAACCCTATCCTATTGGCAACATTAATGAGTATACCTAGAGGAATAATTTTTGCACTTAAAGTGCAAATATTGGAATCTGCCTGTTTGAACTTGAATCCTGTCTGTGCTAATTTCTAACTTTGTGATATCATTCAGTGACTTAACCTTTCTGAATTTTGATTTCTTCGTCTGTAAAATGGAGATATTATTAGTACTTGAAGATTTTTTTCTTTTCTTTCTTTTTTTTTTTTTTTAAGACAAAGCCTCACTTTGTTACCCAGGATGGAGTTCAGTGGCATGAACATGACTCACTGCAGCCTTGAATATCCCAGGCTCAAGTGATCCTCCTACCTCAGCCTCCCAAGTAGCTTGGAATACAGATGCATGCCACTATGCCCAGCTAATTTTTTGTATTTTTGGTAGAGATGGAGTTTCATCATGTTGCCCAGGCTGGTCTTGAACTCCTGGGCTCAAGCAATTTGTCCCCTTGGCCTGCCAAAGTGCTGGGGTTATAGATGTGAGTTACCACGCCTGGGCCAGGATTGTTATAAGGCTTAAGGAGATGTGTATAAAGAAATTGTTATACTCTAGTGCTTTGAACATAATGGTTACTCAATATATGTTGGCTTATTTTACTTAGAAAAGATTACTCAGGCCACATAGACAATGAAGAGAAATTATTTGGGTAAGGTAAGCATGATTCTGGGAAAACCAGATAATTGACTATTGCTATAGTCTAAGCAAGAGATATTAGTGACGGCAGTGGGGATAGAAATGGAAATTGTGTAAGTGCAATCACACACACAGACATTTAACTTTTATTGTGGAAAACTTCACATGTCAAAGAACAGAAAATAATATAATGAACCCCCATGTGCCTATCATACAACTTTGGTGGTTATAATCTATGGACAATCTCATTTTGTCTATATAATCTTTCCACCCTCAACCTGCAATTATTTTAAAGTAAATTGTACATACTATTTCACTTAACAAATACTTAACTCTTAAATATGAAGGCTTTTAAAAAAGGTAAATATGACACCTTAATTTAGTATGCAGTTTCTTTATCTGATATCTAGTCATTGCTTAAATTTCTTTGATTATTTACTATATTGGTTATTCTGTTTGAATCAACATTAAAATGTGGTCTACTCATTGGATTTAGTTGATAAATCTCTTAAGTCTCTTTTTATCTATAGGTTATTTTCCCTGTGTGTTATGTTTCTTTTCTTTTTTGTTCTTGCCATTTATTTATGGAAAAAAACTTGAGATGTCTTGTAAAATTTCCTATATTCTAGGGATTCTGATTATTACATACTCATTGGGTCATTTAACATGGTACCCTACTTCCTATATTTACTTTTTTTTGTTGTAAATGGTAGTTAAATGTAAGTCTGATTAGATTTATGGGAGGTTTTTGTTTGTTTGTTTTGACAAGGAAAAAGTGGATAATTAAAGAGTAACAGGGCGTGATGAATGGGATATTGGTGATAAGCTAGATGTATCAATTGAGGGTAATTCCCAGCTCCGAGATAGTCTTATTTATCCCTTATCTGCTGAAATTGAGAATGTTAAAGGAAAAACATCTAAAAATTATTTTATTTTATTTTTAAGACAAGGTCTCAACTTTGTCACCTAGGTTGCAGTGCAGTGGCACAATCACAGCTCACTCACTGCAGCCTCAAACTTCTGGACTCAAGAGATTTTCACACTTCAGTCTCCTGAGTAGCTGGAACCACAGGCGTGTGCCACCATGCTTCGCTAATTTATTTTATTTTTATTTTTATTTTTGAGATGGAATCTTGCTCTGTCTCCCAGGCTGGAGTGCAGTGGCGTGATCTCACCTCACTGCATCCTCCACCTCCTGGGTTCAGGCGATTCTCCTGCTTCAGCCTCCTGAGTAGCTGGGATTACAGGCATGTGCCACCACGCCGGACTAATTTTTGTGTTTTTAGTAGAGATGGGGTTTCACCATTTGGCCAGCCTGGCCTTGAACTCCTGACTTCAGGTGATCTGCCCACCTTGGCCTCCCAAAGTGCTGGGATTACAGGTGTGAGCCACTGCGTCCGGCCTTTTATTTTATTTTTTATAGAGACAGGGTCTCCTTCTGTTGCCCATGCTCGTCTCAAACTCCTGGGCTCAAGTGACCCTCCCATGTTGGCCTCTCTCAAAGTGTGGGATTACAGGCATGAGCCACTGTGCCAGGCTTTTAAAAAAATTTTACTTGACATATAATAATTGTACATATTTATGGAGTATGTAGTGATATTTTGATATGTACAGTGTGTGGTGATCAAGTCAATGTAAGTAGCATATTCACCTCAAACACTTATTTTTTTGTGTTGAGAATATTCAGAATTCTCTGTTCTAACTATCTGAAAATATATAATAAATTAACTGTAGTCATCATATAGTGCTATAGAACACTAGAACTTATTCTTGCTATCCAGCTGTAATTTTGTATCCTTTATTCAAGCTCTCCCTATTCCCTTCTTTCCCCTACCCTTTCCAGCCTCTAGTAACCACTTTTCTACTCTCTACTTACATGAAGTCAATTTTTTTAGCTTTTGCACATGAATGAGAACATGCAATTTTTTATCTTTTAGTCCCTGGCTTATTTCACTTAATGTCCTTTGGGCTCATCTGTGTTGCCAGGAATGACAGGATTTCACTCTTTTTTTATGGTTGAATAGTATTGTGCATATATACTACACATATCCGTATGGACACTTAGGTTAATTTCATATTTTGGCTATTGTGAAGAGTACTGCAATAAACATGAGGGTGCAGGTATCTTTGATATAGTAATTTATTTTCCTTTGGGTATATACCCAATAGTAGGATGGCTGGATCATATGGTAGTTCTATTTGTGGTTTTTTGAGGAGCCTCTGTACTATGCTTTATAGTGGCTTTACCTATTAACATTCCCTCCACAGTATATATGAGTTCCCTTTTCTGCACATCCTTGCCAGCATTTGTGATTTTTTTTGTCTTTTGGGTAATAGCCATTCTAACTATGGTGAGACGGTATTTCTTTCTGGTTTTGATTTGCATTTTCCTGATGATTAGTCATGTTGGACGTTTTTTTCATGTATTTGTTGGCCGTTGATGTGACTTCTTTTGAGAAATGTCTATTTAGATTATTTGCCCTTTTAAAAAAATCAGTGTTTTTTTTTTTTTTTCTTGCTGTTGAATTGAATTCCTTATATATTCTGGATGTTAATCCTCTGTCAGATGTACAGTTTGCGGGCATTTTGACCCATTCCATAACTTGTATTTTCCCTCTGTTGATGGTTTTCCTCACAGAAGCATTTTAATTTAATATAATCCCATTTGTCTATTTTTGCTTTTGTTGCCTGTGCTTCTGAGGTCTTATTTGTAAAATCTTTTCCCGTACCAATGTTGTGAGAGGTTTCCCCTAAGTTTTCTTCTAGTACTTTTATAGTTTTGGGTCTTAGATTTAAATCTTTAATTCATTTTGAGTTGATTTTTGTATAAGGTGAGAGCTAGAGGTCTTGTTTCATAAGGAGAAACACTTTTGACTGGGTAGTGTAGAGAGGAGAAAATAAGTTTAATTTTGAACACATTGTGTTTGAGGTACTTGTGAGACGTCTGAGATTTTGTTAGAGTCAAATATGTGGATTTTGGAGGTAAGAAACAAGGCAGAGCTGGAGACAGAGATTCAGAAAGTGTCAGTTACCTTAGACGGGTTGACATTACCTAGGGGAACATATCACAGGGGAAGAGAACTAAGACAGAGCAGTGTGCCAGTTAGGTTTGAGTAGAGGAGGAAAAGTCTGCGAAAGAGACTGAGAATGCATGGGTAGATATGTAGAGGTAAACACTGTAGAATGGTGCTGAGATGAGCTAGAGCCCATAGATAATTTGCTGTCTTTCGCTACAAGGTGGTGATTTGTAACCTGAATGAGAATAGTTTTAGAAGAGTAGTTGGGCTAGATGAAAGTAGGCTTTTGAGTGATAGGCCAGGAAAAAAGTAACAGTAAGAGTACTGTTCATTGAGTTTCAATTGTGATTGGGAGGGAGAGAGAGATGAAGAGACACATTTCAACGTTAAGATGGAAGACATGTCTGAATGCTAATATGAAAGAACTATTAGAGATTAAAGTAACAGGAAAGATAAGGTATAATCAAGGTCTCTGAAAAAGCTGGAGGGATGAGATCCAGAACACAGATGACTGAATTGACATGCGGAATATCTTACATTATAATGGAAGTAAATGAGAAAAAAGGCTAAGTATGGAATCCATTTTACAGATTTGAATTCCTGACTGTTGGCTTCTGCTGCTTCTGCGAAATATGTGGTGGCATCATCTGCTGGTCATGGATGTGGGGAGAAGGTGAAATCTTAGCGGTAGGGGCGGCATTGACACTCGTCATTGTGAAGAGTAAAGAGGAACAGAGTAGAAGAGTAAAGGCTTGCCAGGCAAGGTTAGGTCCATTTGAGAATAATGACTATGAATTCTTAGTCTTTAGCACCCTAGTGCAAATGCTTCTGCGGTATAATCAGCATTCTGGATATAGGCAAGTTTATGTTAGGGATATATGCTGGGTTGGATTTTGGTAGACAGGATGAAAAAAGAACATGTGAAATAAAGGTGATGGGTCAAAATCTAGACTGTGTATATTGATGGCTAGGGAATAATTAAAGCAACCAGTGGACCAAAAGTCTTAATTGGTGTTCAGAAGAGATCTCTTGAGGTGGTTGAGTATGCTAGAATAATAAGAGGTTGTGATCAGAGAAGGGTATACCTGCATTTCAGCGATTGAGAGGTGATAGTGATGATGATATAAGATCTATACTGTGGCCAAAATGGAAAAGAGATACCACTGAAAGTGATGAAGTCAGTCAGTCGAGAGGCCAGAGTTCCTTTCCACTGATTCTGTCCACTCATTTTAAACGCATTTTTAAGTCTTCTAAGTGCTACTAACAAACCAGAACAAAACTTCTCTCAATCTTTATTCCTACCTTCTGTCCTCAGCAATTTAGCTATTTTTCTCTTTCCTTTTAAAACGACACTTCTTAGTGAGTCTCAAGATATTTGATATGCTCTTTGTTAAATCCAATTATATGTAACAGTTTTCATCCTTCTTGATTTGTCTTTCTTTTGCAGGATTACTCTAATGGTTATCTTCCTAACATGGAATATTTGTTTGTTTGTTTGTTTGTTTGTTTGTTTGTTTTTGAGACGGAGCCTGGCTCTGTCGCCCAGGCTAGAGTGCAGTGGCGCGATCTCAGCTCACTGCAGCCTCGACTTCGGGTTCATGCCATTCTCCTGCCTCAGCCTCCCAAGTAGTTGGGACTACAGGCGCCCACCACCGTGCCCGGCTAATTTTTTATATTTTTAGTAGAGATGGGGTTTCACCGTGTTAGCCAGGATGGTCTCAATCTCCTGACCTCGTGATCTGCCTGCCTCGGCCTCCCAAAGTGCTGGGATTACAGGCATGAGCCACTGTGCCCGGCCTGTTTTGTTTGTTTTTATTTGTTGTTTCTATTGTCACTGATTTCTCCTTTACCCACTACTCAAACGTTGGTTTCTCTAGGCACTGCTTTCAGTTCTCCTTTTTTTTTTTTTTCTCTTCTCATAAAATGGGGTGACTCAATGTTTTATTCTTTCATTAAAGACTTTCTCTAGGTGATCTCCTCCATTCCTTTGTCTGCAACCACAGACCAGATCTCTACTTTCAGTTCCTTGACTACATCTTCACCTACCTATTTCCTGGCTCTTGAGTTTTAGTATATCTAAAACAAAACGTATTATATATACTCCACTCTTGTTTATTCCAAGATCAGACAAAACACAATTTTTATGTTTTGATTAATGGATCTGGTCCATCCTAACTTCAAAGCTGGAAACCTGTTGGCATCTTCTGACTTTTTTCTCTTTTTTTTTTTTTTTTTGAGACAGGTGTCTTGCCCTGTTGCCCATGTTGGAATGCAGTGGTGAGATCTTGGCTCACTGCAAGACCCTCCACAATCACTTTGACCCTCTGGGCTCAAGTGATTCTTCCACCTCAGCCTCCTGAGTAGCGGGGACTACAGGTGTGTGCCACCACACCTGGCTAATTAAAAATTTTTTTTTTTTTTGTAGAGACAGGGTCTCACTACGTTGCCTAGGCTGGTCTCAAACTCCTGGGCTCAAGCCATCCTCTCACCTTGGCCTCCCAAAGTGCTGGGATTATAGGTATGAGCCACCATGCCCAGCCCTTTCTTATTCTTATTGACTGAGAAATCTTCAATGTGGCCCCTTGTCGTCCATACCACTATTGGTACTCTTGTTCTCACTTGGTTCTGTTAAGCTTCATTTGAGCTTTCCCAATGCTGCTATAATAGTCTTCCTAAAAATTAAAGCTGTTCTTATTCCCCTGCTTAAAAATTTCTCTGCTGTTTTATTTCTTATAGAATAAAACCTAAATAAAAGGAAAATTTTTGAGAATCTAGTCCCTTTGATCTAGAACTGGTATATCTCTCTACGCACCTTCAAATCTTTTGGCACATAAATTTCTCATTGATAACTTCAGTTTTGTTTTTGTATACCATGCAGTGTTTGTCTTTCTATACATCTTTTTCTGTTCTCCACAAGTTCCTCCATACCTCTCATTCCCCTGCCAAAAAAAAAGCCAGAAAGCAGAACTGAGTTAAGACCCGGCTTAGATATGACCTCCTCAGCGAAACCTTTTCTCTCACAAAACAAGGTGGTCATCTTATTCAAGGAACTATTTATTTATTTATTTATTTATTTATTTGACAGAGTGTTACTCTGTTGCCCAGGCTGGAGTGGAGTGATGTGATCTTGGCCTACTGCAACCTCTGACTCCTGGGTTCAAGAGATTCTCCTGCCTCAGCCTCCCCAGTAGCTGGGATTATAGGTGCCTGCCACCATGCCTGACTGATTTTTGTATTTTCAGTGGAGATGGGGCTTCACCATATTGGCCAGGCTGGTCTTGAACTCCTGACCTCAAATGATCCACCCACCTCAACCTCCCAAAGTGCTGGGATTACAGGCGTGAGCCATCGTGCCACCTTTTTTTTTTTTTTTTTTGGAGACAGAGTCTTACTCTATCGCCCAGGCTGGAGTGCAATGGAGTGATCTTGGCTCACTGCAACCTCCGCCTCCTGGGTTCAAGTGATTCTCTTGTCTCAGCCTCCCGAGTAGCTGGGATTATAGGCATGCACCACCACGCCTGGCTAATTTTTGTATTTTTAGTGGAGACGGGGTTTCACCATGTTGGCCAGGCTGGTCTCAAACTCCTGACCTCAGGTGATCTGCCTGCCTTGGCCTCCCAAAGTGCTGGGATTACAGGCATGAGCCACCACGCCCAGTCGGAACTTTATTTTTTTTAAAAACCTGTAGTGTAATATTTGTTCGTATATATTTCTTTTGCTAGACTGAGTTTTTTGTATGCTGGATGTCTGTGTCCTTAGCATTTGTGCCAGTGGCTTACAGTAGGTACACAGTAATAATTGATGAATAAATAATACTTAAAACATTTGAATTTGTAAACTTCTAATAATGTTAAAAATTGAATGATAAAGTAAACTGCAATTTTTTCCTTCCTTAAAGCAAACTGGGGAGTAGAAGTCCTTTTATAAGTATAATGCCTTAAAAAGTAGTGTGGAAACTAGAGTAAGAAGTAGATGTTAGGGATTGATACTGCAAGGTATTTATTTCTTTGTTCATTAATTTGTTTAACTTTAGGTATTGAATGTGTATTATGTTCATGGAATTATATTCTGTTGCAGAGGTTCACAAACTTTCTCAGTGCCGTTAGGGTCTCAGTAACGTTTTTCACTGTGCCACCTAGATCGAAAGAAATGTCTGATAGTTCTGTTTATTAAATACCTAGGTCCAGGCAACTTAGTAGCCACTTGAAAAAAATAAGACACTTAAATTGGAAACGTTATTTCACTGCTGAGTAATCACATTTCTGTTAGGATGCTTAGGCATCGCTCAGCTTCTCAAACCTGGAATCAGATGGGACATTGCCACCCTGATTTCTTGTTTTATATCGATGTTATTTTATGTGATAACTTGGTTTTTATGCCAGCAACTGCTGACAAACCAACTTCTGTAAGAAATAATGTCATTGAAAGGAATATATAATAGTTTGATTTATTGTTGAAACTGAATTACTGTGACTTGTAGATCACGCAGTGTCCAACTGATGTTGAGTAACACTATATTTCCCTGGAAAATTTAAAATAACTTTGCGGCGCCCTTGTGAATTTATGGTAGTACACTGGGGTGCTGTCTCAGTTCATTTTCTGTTGCTATAATGAATACTTGAGACTGAGTAATTTATAAAGAAAAGAGGTTTATTTTGGCTTGTGGTTCTGGAGGTGAGGAAGTCCAAGATGAGTTGGCCACATCTGATCAACCTCTGGTAAGGACCTCATGCTGCTTCATAACATGTTGGGGAATGGAAGAGGAAAGGGACAAAATACAAGGGACAACTTCACTTTGTAACAGCCTGCCTTCAACCCTCTGGAGAATTAACTCAGTCCTGCTGAGAACTGCATTAATTCCTCTAATGACCTGATGACCTCTTAAAGGCCCTACCACCTCTCGATACTATAACACTGGGAATTAAATTTTAACATGAGTTTTGGTGGGAACACACCACATCCAAATCATAGTAGGTATCTTAGCACACAGTTTTGGAAGCATGACTCTTAAACATTTATAAAACTTTTCTTATAACATTTTATGTGCTTGATTCTTACAATTATTCTAGGTATGTACTTACAGGTGCACTTTTTATATTCGGCATACAACAAATACTTGTTAATGGCCTAATGCATTAAAAATTAAGGAAATTGTGATAAAGTATAGTTTTTTAGGCTTAATTTTTGTAGGCTAACTTATCCTTTTATTACAAAACTTTTAAAATCTAGAAAGACTAGTACAATGGTCTTCCATGTAGATTTAACAGTTTTTAACATTTTGACATATTCACTTTGTTTTTATTGAACCATCCATCTGACAATGCGTTATTGAACTAATTTATCTTTAAATCCTTAAGTACACATCTTTTAAGGATGTTCTATAGTATCACACCTATGAATATATCCTCATCTAATATCCACTAATGATCTGATATTTCCTTTTTTGTATTTTTATTTGTTTTTTATATTAATAAGATTTAATTTGTATTTCCCTTTTTGTTTTAATAGTGGCCAATCCGCCATGGTATAGTTGAAGATTGGGACTTAATGGAAAGGTTTATGGAGCAAGTGATCTTTAAATATTTAAGGGCAGAACCTGAAGACCATTATTTTCTTTTGGTAAGTTACAAGTTATAATTTCACTGAGGAAATTTTTGAATACACTTAATGAGAACATTTTCATCATACTTCTTTGGTATACTTTGGTTATTAAATTGTCATATGTCTAAATGACTTTGTAATAAAGCTGTATCATCTTTAAGACCATCTAGTTATGGCTACAGGAGAATAGTAGTATGTCAAAGCACCACATGTTAAACACTTAAGAAGTGCTTTTGGTAGTTAATGTCTAATCTTTATGATAGAAACAGTAAGTAATGTTCAGAAAAATGTTGGAAACCTGTGGCACTTTTTTGCTTAAAAAACAATAGTCTGATTATTATATCATTGGTATTTCTTCATAACAAAAATACAATATAATCTAACTTTTTATTAAACATCTTTTTATTAAAGCAGTGCATGTTCATAACTTAAAAAATCAAATGACTTTATAAGATTTAAAACAACAAAATAACACTTTCCTTTCTTACCTCTCCCAACCTTTGGTTCATATTCCCCGGAGGCAAACATTTTCAATTTTAACAAAGTTTGCCCTGCTAGTAATCTTTTAACATGTTTCTTTTATTTAACATTTTTTTTTTATTTCTTCTGTCTTTAAGAATATTATACATTATTTACCAACTTCCTAATAGGAAAAATGAGAATTTCCCTTTTTACCTTTTCTCTCCCTCAACACAAAATACCTATCCTTTCCCACTCCTCGCATTGTAGTTACATCACAATTTTTGGTTAAATCAATATTCTGTGTCTTTCGGTGATTGTGATGGACTATAAAGTTGAAAGAACCATACTATGGACACTCATACACCCACAATCTAGATTCGATGATTAACCTTAACATTTGGCTATAATTGCTTCATGACGTCTATCCATCTTTCACTTCATTTTAGTTTTTAAATCACTTCAAAGTGAGTTGCAAATGGGAGTCATTTGACCCCTAAATACTTTAGCACGTATTTCATCAACTAGAGCTATCATTTGTGTATGGTTATTCTTTTCATATAAAATTTACATATCATAAAATCACCGGTCTGCACCATTCAGTGGATTTTGACCAGGGTTTGGCAAACTTTCTAAGGGAGCAGATAGCAAATATTTTTGGCTTTGCAGGGGTTATAGTCCCTGAGGAAACTTAATGAGAACTTTTTATACAATGGTCCCTGTCACAGCTACTCAGCTGTGCTGTTGTAGCATGTTAGCAGCCATAGACAATACTTAAATTCATAGGTATGTCTGTGTTCCAATAAATTTTTTTTTTTTACCAAAACAGGTGGTGGGCTGTATTTGACCTGCAGGATGCATGATGTGATTTGTCCAATCTTTGTCAGTTACATACATCTGTGTAACCTAAACTCTTACCAAGATATAGAGAAATTACTATCAGCGTGGAAAGTTTTCTCATGCCCTTTTGTAATTAATCTCTGCCCCCGTGCCCTAGTGACAACCACTGTTTCTTTTTCATCTGAGATTAGCTTTGCCCATGTTTGAGTGTCAAATAATGGAATCATGCAATATGTGCATTTTGGTGAAACACTTTTACTTAGCATAATCTGGAGATTGAATTATGTTGCATATACTGGTGATTTGTTGCTTTTTGTTGCTGGGTAGTATTCCATTGTATAAATTTGCCTCACTTTATCCATTTTCCTGTTGATGAATACCTGGGCTATTTTTGTTTTTTTTTTGTTTTTGTTTTTGTTTTTTTAAGACAGGGTTTTGCTCTGTTGCTCAGGCTGGAATGCAGTGGATCAATCATGGCTCATTGCAGTGTTGACCTCCCAGCTCAAACAGTTCTCCCAGCTCAGATTCCTGAGTAGCTAGGACACACAGGCCCGGGCCACCACACCTGGGTAATGTGTTCTGGTTTAGAGATGGAGTCTCACTTTGTCACCCAGGCTGGTCTTGAACTCCTGGGCTCCAAGTGATCCTCCCGCCATGGCCTCTCAAAGTGCTGCCACCATGCCTGGCTTAGTTCTAGTTTTTGGTTATAATAAAATAATTTGACCATTGTGAACCTTCTTCTACAAGACTTTTTGTGGACATATGTTTTCATTTCTCTTGTCTAAATACGTAAGTATGGAATTGCAGCGTCATAGGGTAGGTACCTGATTGGTTTTTTAGGGAAACTCATGGGAACTTTTCCCAAGATGGTGAACCTTTTTGCACACCCCCCAGTGATGCATTAGTAATCTGCTTGCTCTATTCAAGATTTGGCTTATCAATCTTTTATACTTTTTTTTTGAGACAGTCTTGCTCTGTCACCCAGGCTGGAGTGCAGTGGTGTGATCTTGGCTCACTGAAACCTCCCCGCCTCCCAGGTTTAAGGGATTCTTGTGCCTCAGCCTCCTGAGTAGCTGGGATTACAGGCATGCACCACCACACCTGGCTAACTTTTGTAATTTTAGTAGAGACAGGATTTTGCCATGTTGGCCAGGCTGGTCTTGAACTTCTAGTCTCAAGTAATCTGCCCACCTCGGCCTCCCAAAGTGCTGGGATTATAGATGTGAGCCACTGCGCTGCTAGCTTGTCAGTCTTTAAAATTTTAGCCGTTCTGGTGGGTGTGTACGATTTTTCATTTGCTTTTAATTTTAATTTTCATTTTCTGATAATTATGTTGAGCAGTCTTTCATGTACGATTGTTATTATTAGCTATTTGTATATTTTCCTTTGTGGGGTCCTCTGATTATCTTTTATGTAGATTTTTTTTCTTGGAGTTTATAATTTCACTGCCTTGGTTTTTAGTTTACTTAATTTTGTATGTATTCATCAGTAAATTATCTCCAGACTTTTAAACATAGCTCCAGAACTCTTCTAAAGAAGTTTAAACACCACAGGGAGTTTAGCTTATAAAGGTTTTATGTAAGGTAACAGTATACTTAGTTGTTTTGCTTTATATTTCTTTTGAAATAATAATTTTAAAAATATTTAATTTTTAATGGATTCAAGTTTTATCACTTTTTCCCTTTGTGATTTGTACTTCAGAAATTTAAGGAGTTATTCCTACCTTAAGGTCAAAAAGAGAATTCTGTGTCTTTTTTAAATTTAAAAATTTTTCTTTTACATTTAAGTATTTGAGATACCTATTAGATTGCCAGTCAGACTCACAAGAATCAGAGGTCTTACCCAGTGTTAATCTTTAAAAATTGAAACAGTTTAAGTGATCATGAGGCATAGGTGAAATATGAAGTCCAAGACTGCCAGATCTCTGAGTCCTTCCTTGCCTCTTTAGAGTGTGTTCTGTCCCAGACTTAACCTGTGAGGTTTCTAAGTGATGTATACAGTCACATAAACAGAAGAGTGCTCTGCAAACATCTTGATTCTATGCTCTTAACAGGTAAATTAATATAACATTTTTCAGAAAGCTGTACCATTAGATCTGTAGAATCTCGGCTTGTTTACTGTAATCCTATATACTTCGGGGACATTCATCTAAAAGCATTACTTAGATGAGGGCTCTCCCACTGGCAAATACCATTGATGTTTTTTCTGGAGGTTTGTCATTACCATATTTAAAGGATGATTTGACTGGACCACCTTTTCCCTACCTCCAACCCTCTCTCTCCCTGCTTCATTTCTTTTTAATGTTTAATCTGTATAAGTGGTATGATATAGGCATTCAGGGTATTTTTTTTTTAAAATGTGAATTACCATACTGTTTTCATATATGTATGGATGTTTGAATTCTCTATAGTTTTCCTTTGATCTCTGTGTCTGTCTTTCTACTTGTAAATTTAATGCATTTTAAATAAAATGTTTGAAATAAATTACTTCTCATTTAAAAATTGTCAAGAAAGTTATCAAAATAATCTGATATTATCTATTTAAAATGTTATTTATTTCAATAGACTGAACCTCCATTGAATACTCCAGAAAACAGGGAATATACTGCTGAAATAATGTTTGAGTCCTTCAATGTTCCAGGCTTGTACATTGCTGTGCAGGTAAGCAAGTTCATACTTTCTAAGTTTGATTCTTACATTTTAACCTAGTTTAATTTGCTGCCTAAAATACGTACTTTTTTTTTTTTTCTGCAAAGGTTTAAACATAATGTCAAAGCATGTTATACTTCTCTCCTGAATTGTTAATTTAGAAGTAATATTATGGGAAGTGGAGATATTTAGTCAGGAAAAGAGAAGTGTTAAAAAAGTAAGTTAGTGGTGTTTGGGTATTTCAAGGGCTTTCATAGGACAGAAATGAAGGAACTAATATTTATGGAATGCTTTCTCTGTGACAAGAACATTGTATATATATTTATCCTTGTAAATAATCCTTTATCATTTATCCTTATAAATCTTTTTGTCCTTTATTGTAGTCTTTTTTGATTGACTTATCTTTAGGTATATTTGACACCCTAATATTTCACTTCTCTTAATTTGTACGTTTATCTGTATGGAACAGCTTCTCTCCCACCCCTCAGGATCAGAGCTGACCTCATTTTTTTTTTTTTTCCCTTGTAGCAGAGGTAATCCCTGACATAACACAAATGCTTTATATGTGTATTAATTCATTATTTCTATTAAATGTAGATATTTTTGTTTCTGTTTTTTGTGGAGGAAGAAAACTAAAGCTGGAAGGCACTTTATTCATAATTAAATGGTTAGCTGTGATACCAGGCAGCTGAGGTCTGTCTGACTTTGCTCTTTCTTGGGATCACACTGGTTTTTGTAACTCCACGGTACACAGAATCAATAAGTGATAATTATGGATGAATATTTTAACTTGGATAGCAAAGAACTTTTTAATGTTTAATGCAATCCATAAATTTAATGAACTGCCTTTTAAATTCTCTGCTGCTAAAAATATTTAAGGAGTCACTTAAACCTGTCATGAACTTTATAGAAGAATTCAGTCTTGAGTGGGAGGCCCTTTTTTAGTTCTTAGAATATGAATAAAATGAGGAGTTGGGAAAATTCATCTTTCACTTGGGAGTTTTTGCTTCTCATCCTATGTTAAATATAATAAACTTATGTTTAACCATATTGTCAGGTAAAGCTTACTTTAAAACACTGGCATCATGAGCTTTGTTTCATTCCTCTGGAGTCGTAATTTGGTTTTTCAGTGATTTCCTTAGTGGCCTCTGAGTGCTCTTAATTTCATTATTTAATCTCTGTTCTGTTTTGTTGATGTTCAGTAGTCAATAACATTTCTGTAACATGATGTGCTGATACATATCTATTCTAGTTTGGGACCGTAACTGTTTACAAAAGACTTGTAAAAGTGATCAGAGATAATTCTTGGTTGTAGATGATAGTTTTGAACTTACTTATAGAGGAAGGATATCTCATAATGAAGTCTAAACAGTATATATATATATAACTAGTATTAGGATGGAATTTTTCATTTTAAGATTGTCAAAAAATAATGTATAGTTCTGTTAGCCTATAGTGATTATGTGGTGATTGTGTTAATATGATCTTGTGTTCAGATAGGAGGGTGACCTAGATAGCTTTCTAGGTCCCTTTTAGCTATTACAGTCCAGGTAGGTAAAATAAGTCCAGTATAAGTTTAGTTGTTTTTAATTACTAGTCATATACTTTGTTTGAGGCTTGGATTGTAAGAAATTTAGTTTTTTAAAAAATGAACTATGTTAATTTCTTAATTCTCACACTTAAAAAAGAATTGTGTTGTATTGTCTGTACCAAGGTTTTTCATAGAAAAATTTTATCAACGTTGCTCCATAATTAAATCATAGTAGTATTTGGAGGTGTGCGATGGCGTTTTCTGTATGTCATATAGTCCTAAACACATGTTACCTTAAAAAAATTTGAAGGTAGGCCTGGCACAGTGGCTCATGCCTATAATCCCAGCACTTTGGCAGGCTGAGGCAGGTGAATCACAAGGTCAGGAGTTCAAGATCAGCCTGGCTGAGATGGTGAAACCCCGTCTCTACTGAAAATACAAAAATTAGCCGGGTGTGGTGGTGGGCACCTGTAATCCCAGCTACTCCGGAGGCTGAGGCAGAGAATTGCTTGAACCCAAGAGGCGGAGATTGCGGTGAGCCGAGATCGTGCCACTGCATTCCAGCCTGGGTGACAGAAAGAAACTCTGTCTCAAAGAAAAAAAGAAAAAGAAGGTAATCTTTTAGTAATAGTTGTTTATAGCCATATATGTATTGAATAACTGGAGGTAGGGTGGTTGTGTACTTTCTGCCTTACATTGCAGTTTGTAACAGGCCAGCCCACGTGGACATAGTTTAAGTTCTGGCAAGTTAGTTCTATACAATTTTTTTTTTTTTTTTTTTTGAGATGGAGTCTTGCTCTGTCGCTCAGTCTGGAGTACAGTGGCATGATCTCGGCTCATTGCAAGCTCCGCCTCCCGGGTTCACGCCATTCTCCTGCCTCAGCCTCCTGAGTAGCTGGGACTACAGGCGCCCGCCACCGCACCTGGCTAAGTTTTTGTATTTTTTAGTAGAGACGGGGTTTCCCCGTGTTAGCCAGGAAGGTCTCGATCTCCTGACCTCGTGATCTGCCCGCCTCGGCCTCCCAAAGTGCTGGGATTACAGACAGTTAGTTCTGTACTGTTTAATGCAATCTTCCACATTTTTAGCTTTAGGACAGAAATAGCCTTTATAAAATATGTAAATCTTACAAATCATGCTCCTAAAAGCAAATGTAAACCTCTAAGTTTGTCTTAATAAAATGTAGGGAGTGAGCTATTTTATTGCATAATACAAAATTAATTTTATGTATTTTCTTTCCACAGATACTACATTTAAAATTGAATAAAGTACTCCAGGGAACTAGTTTTTTTTTTTTCGATTAACTCTTTGTTTTTTTGTTTTTTTTTTTTGTTTTTTTGCCTTTCTTCTTTCTTTGTGCTCAAGGCTGTTCTTGCCTTAGCTGCATCTTGGACCTCAAGACAAGTAGGAGAACGGACGTTGACCGGTACGGTAATAGACAGTGGAGATGGTGTCACTCATGTCATTCCTGTGGTAAGGCTATTTTACAGTTACTGAACAGAACATGAAATAACACATCTGGCAAAGTTAAATTATACGAATTAATGTTACTTTTAAAAAACTTTAAATGCTGCACTATAATTTGGCCATTTGTCCAGTTATAGCTATGTTTTGCTCACCGTTTAAAACTTTTATAAACAATTCAAAATGTTTCTTTTACTGTAGGTTTGTACTGCAATTAAGAAAATTACAAATTGCAATATCTGGAATGGAAGTATATTAATGGCTTTCATTCTGTTTTCCAGTTGGATGTGTGTTAGCCATTTGATGACCTCTTTTATTCATAATTAACAGATTTCAGACTGGTGTACAGGGTAACTGTATAACAGTTAGTTTTAAGTACCTGAACTTTAGTAGATGCTTTATGGTTTGTACTTAATAAAGCATATTAAGAAAAATGCATCAAATTAGATTGTCAGAAATAACATTTTTCTTCCAAGGCCGTTGTGCTTCAGTTCTTAATGATACATCAAGTTTTAAAAAAATTATGCCTAATGAATTCAAAATGACTACTAGAATTCATACTGTTTATTATTAAATGGGTATATAGAGAAAGGTTTATCTTTTAAAGTAATTTTTATATTATAATGAATATCACTTAAGGATTTACATTATTTTGAACTTTTTTTTTTTTTTATTCTCACTCCAGTGTTTAATGCATCAGGCAATGTCTGTTAAAGATTACATCCTCAGGGTGACTACCTTTGGATTAGACTCCTGGTCCTCCACCACTTTCACCCTCATGATATGTCATAATGGTTTTAGTAATAACTGCCATTGTTTAACGATAGCTTAAGATAAAATTCATATACCATACAATTCACTTCTTTAGAGTGTACAGTTCATTGATTTTTAGTATATTCACAAAGTCCATCCGTCCCCACAATTTTAGAACATTTTCATCACCCTACAAAGGAACCCTGTAACTATTAACAGTCACCACCCATTTCCCCTTGATTCCTTCAGCCCCTGGCAACCACGAATCTACTTTTTGTCTGTGTTAGATTTGCCTGTCCTGGCCATTTTATGTAAATGGAGTTAAACACTGTGGTCTTTTGTAACTGGGTGCTTTCACTTAGCCGAACATTTTCAAGATTCATCCATGTTTTAGCACGTATAGTATTTCATTTCTTTTTATTGCCAAATAATATTTCATTATGTGGATATATGAGATTTTATGTAGCCTTTGGGAGGATTTTAGTAAGCTTGGAAATTAGGACGTGTCCAGCATTTGATAGCTTTTTTTAGTTTACTTGGCAGTTTATTTTTCTTTCTTAGTGGTACATAAAATAATTTTTCATCTTAAAATTATTGTTTAAATCTGAAAATCAGTCTGTGATAAATATTATATTTTTCTTTGAGTACCTCAGTTTACTCATTAATAAAATGCAAATAATTGACTTGCCTAAGGTCACCAAATAATAGGTAGTGAGGCTAGGATTTGACCTGGTTCTGCCTTTCTTCAGTCTTTTCTTAACAGCTGCACATCTGAGCAGTACTATCAGCATGTTGATAATTAGAATAGGTAATTTGCAGAATAGAAGTTATCAATATGTAAAAGAATGAGTTTTAGTAAGGACATTAAGAGTGGGTATTCTGGCTGGTATGGTGGCTCATGCCTGTAATCCCAGCACTTTGGGAGGCCAAGGTGGGCAGACTGCTTGAGCCTAGGAGTTCAAGACCAACAGGGCAACATGCTGAAACCCTGTCTCTACAAAAAATGCAAAAATTAATTGAACGTGGTGGTTCATGACTGTAGTCCCAGCTACTCCAGAGGCTGAGGAGGGAAGATAACCTGACCCTGGAGAGGTTGAGGCTGCAGTGAGCCATGATCTCACCACTGCACTCTAGCTTCTCTAGCTTGAGCAACAGAGTGAGACCCTGTCTCCAAAAAAAAAAAAAAAAAAAAAAGGTTGGTGGGGGGGTGCTATTCCTTTTTATTGTTTACTTTTCCCGCCTTCTTTAGAATTAGTAGAGTATTTTTTATTATTCTGTTTTCTCTTTATTGACTTATTAGCTATGCTATATCTGTTGTCATTTGTTTGTTTTTGGTGGTGGTTGTTGTATGGGTTGTAGTAAACATCTTTAACTTACCACTGTCTAATTACAAATAACATTCTACTACTTCATAAATAATAATTATACAACAGCTTTGACCTTCTAGTCTTTGTTCTTATATTGTCATTCATTTTACTTTTATATGTTGTGAACTCAATAATACATTGTTAACTTGTTTCATTTTGAGTGGTGTATTAGTTTGCTAGAACTACCGTAATAAAGTACTACAGACTGGGTACCTAAAGAATAATGTATTTCCTCACAGGTCTGGAGGTTAGAACCAAAAATTGTGATATAACTACAATGTGAGGAGTGGGAAAGGATAGGTATCAGGATTTTGGCAGGGTTGGTTTCTTCTGAAGACTTTCTTCTTGGCTTCTAGATGTCCATCTTCTTTATATGTCTTCACATAGTCCTCCCCATACATGTCTGTGTCTTAATCTCCTCTTCTTAAGGACACCACTTATATTGGATTAGAGAAAGCAACCCTAATGAATTCATTTTAACTAGATACCACTTTGAATACCCTATCTCCAAAAAACAGTCACGTTCTGAGATAGAGCTTAGGACTTCAGCATGGGAATTTGGTGGGGAGGAAAAACACAATTTACCCAGTAGCAAAAAGTTATCTTTAAAAGATAACTTTTTTGGAGACAGAGTCTTGCTCTGTCGCCGAGGCTGGAGTGCAGTGGTGCGATCTCAGCTCGCTTCAACCTCTGCCTCCTGGGTTTAAGCGATTCTTGTGTCTCAGCCTCCCGAGTAGCTGGGATTACAGATGTGCACCACCACACCCAGCTAATTTTTTTGTATTTTTAGTAGAGACGGGGTTTCACCATGTTGCTCAGGCTGGTCTTGAACTCCTGCCCTCAAGTGATCCACCTGCCTTGGCCTCCCAAAGTCCTGGGATTACAGGCATGAGCCACTGTGCCCAGCCTTGAAATTGAGTTCTTTTATTCACGTACCATATCTAGTGCTCTCTATTCCTTTGTGAAGGTCCAGATTTCCACCTAGTATCATTTTCCTTCTGTCAAAATGACATCCTTCAACATTTCTTATAGTGCTGATCTGCTGGCTTTGAATTCTTTCAACTTTTGTACATCCTTTGAAAAAGTCTTTATTCTCCTTTAGTTTTGAAAGATGATTTTTGCTTGGTATAGAAGGTTGACAGTTTTCCCCTGTAGATGTCACTCCACTGTCTTCTGGCTTACCTTGTTTCTGAAAATAAGTCAGCTGTTATTCTTGTGTGTGTTTCTTTGAATGTAATGTTTATTTGGGTGGCTGTCTTCAAGATTTTCTTTTTATTCCTGATTCATTGGTTTTTAGCAATTTGATTGTGATGTACCTAAGTAAAGTTTTCTTTATGTCTCTTCTCCTTGGGGTTCATTGAGCTTCTTGTATATATAGTTTGTAATTTTCATCATATTTGGAAAGTTTTTGTCTGTTACTGATTACATATTTTTTCTCTTCCTCTTTTCTCTCCTTTAGGTACTCTAATCACATGTATATTAGGCTGCTTCACAGTGTCTCAAAGATCATGATGCTCTGTACATTTATTTTTTTATAATCTTTTTCTTTTTTTTGGATAGTTTTTATTGCTCTGTCTTCAAATTCACTATTTTTTCTTCACTGTGTAGTCCACTGTAATCTCATCTAGTGTTTTTCTTTTCATCTGGTAGATTTTTAAATTTTAGATACTGTATTTTTTTCTTCAGAAGTTCCATTTGGGTCTTTTTATATCTTCCATTTCTCTCTTCCTCATCCTCATTGTTGACCTTCTTCATTATATGGAGTATATAGTTGCTGTTTTATTGTCCTTGTCATTCCTCTGTATTGTTTGGTTTTTCTCCTCGTTAAGTGTTGTGTTTTTCCGCTTCCTTGCATGCTTATAATTTTTGATTTGGCACTCTATACATTGTTGTGTATTGTATTTTTGGAGTTCTTTATAAGTATTTAGGATTTTTTCCTGGGACATAGTTAAGATACCAGGAACTAGTTTGATCCTCTCAGGGGCTCCTTTTAAATGTTATTAAGCAGGTCCGTAACAGGTTTTTGTCCAGGGCTGGTTTGTCCCCATTCTTGAGGCAATATTCTTCTGAGGACTCTACTTCATGTCTTGTGTTTGAAAACATCTTTCAACTTTGGCTAGTGGGATCAGGAACTATTTCTGGCTATGTGTGAGCTCTGGTGGTGGTTCTGTCTACTTTTTTCTAGAGGTCCTTTCTCTCACCTTGATGGTTTCCTCACAGGAGTGTGCTGATCAGTATTCAGTTAAGGAGGTACTCTCTTCACATCTTCCCAGCTCCCTGTTGGTTCAACTCCTCCCCCTCCAATAATTTGGCCTACAAACTTCAGCCACTTTGGCCTTTCTGACCTTTAAATTCTATATCCCTAACTTAATGAGACCAGTTTGAGTTCTCTTTCCTATTGTTGTGGCCTAGTAACTCTCCCTAGGCAGTAGGATAGAGTGTAACATTCACGTTATTTGTTTCCCTTTTCTTAGAAAGTATCTCTGCCCTACTCTGCCGATTGTCAAATGTCTGAAAACCTTTCTTTCTTTCTTTTTTTTTTTTGAGACGGAGTTTCGCTCTGTCGCCCAGGCTGGAGTGCAGTGGTGCGATCTCGACTCACTGCAAGCTCCGCCTCCCGGGTTCACGCCATTCTCCTGCCTCAGCCTCCCGTGTAGCTGGGACTACAGGCGCGCGCCACCATGCCCGGCTAATTTTTGTATTTTTAGTAGAGACGGGGTTTCACCGTGTTAGCCAGGATGGTCTCGATCTCCTGACCTCGTGATCCGCCCGTCTCGGCCTCCCAAAGTGCTGGGATTACAGGCGTGAGCCACCGCGCCCGGCCGAAAACCTTTATTTCTTATAAATTGTCCTGTTTTCTCTTTAAATTGAGAGGGTAAGTTCAATCCCTAATATTCTGTCATGCCAGATGAAGGCATCCTTAATATTCTTTCCTAATGAAATTTAATTTTGCCACACTATTTGTTATACTTCTGACACATCAGTAAATTTGTGAATCAGTTCTACAGAATTTAGTTATTTGGCATTATGATGGTGTGTGGAAAGCTTCAGGTTTGTGAAATGGATACATACTTGATTAGGAAAATGATAAGCACTTTGTCACATTTCTTATGAAGCAATCTAAATTTTTTACTGAAATTATAAATGATTTAAAAATAGTACCATCTGATATAAAGTCTGCTATCTAAACCATTTGATATTTATATTTTGAAATTTATTATTTCTATATTGTTGAGTTATTTTAGTCATAGTTATAAACTGTCAGTGGGAAAATAAATCTAAGTTGCTGGCCATTCTTAGTTATAGTTTCTGAGGAATAAAGGTAAGTTCTGAGATAAAGCAGTACTTGAGACTATAAATACACTAACTTAATAAATTGGTCTTTATTGGTTCATATTTTTGGGTTATATTAATTTTCAAAACATTGAAAGTAAATTTGGTATCTTTTTTCCCCTCTCTAGGCTGAAGGGTATGTGATTGGCAGCTGTATTAAACACATTCCAATCGCAGGACGAGATATAACATATTTTATTCAGCAACTGCTGAGAGACCGAGAAGTAGGAATCCCTCCAGAACAATCCTTGGAAACTGCTAAGGCAGTAAAGGTAAAAAGTGTGATAGGAGTGTAATTTAGTTAAAAATTAAAATCACATTTATAACATTAACGTGAGAAATTTTTAATAGAAGAAGAGTACTTGAAATAATCTTGTTAACCAGTTATAAATTATTACCCTTAAATATATTTACATTTTCTTTGTGTTTCTTAAAAGAAAATTATTACAGCAGTTTGTCTTCTGTTTTCTTCATATTTTATATTTGAGAGGAGTAATATAAGAACATTTTACCAAATGACATTAACATAAATTTTTGTGATTATTCTCTTTATTAAAAATAAATAATTATTTCACTATAAAGTCCTTGCATCTCAGTTTCTTCACTGAATTCTTTATTTTAATTCTAAAAGCTTTTGTCATAAAAATTATTTTGATACAATTGATTCATTGTGCTATAGTATAGAAGCAGTGCTTGGCTCAAGTGATAGGGCACATAGAAGAAAAACATGAAGGCTATCTAAAGTATTTTATTAATTTTTTTCTGCCATGTAAGTATTATATCAGTGCTTCATGCAAACTATCAAAATACTTTAGCATCGTCTTTCAAACTTATTATTTGCCACATAACCAAAAAATTTCAGTGGGTTTCACGTGTTTTGAAAAGCAGAACTGCCATGGCAAAAGTAACTTACTTGTCTCTGTTTCCATGGTTTTTTTTTTTTTAATTACCTGTAAATTTTTAAAATTTTTAATTTCTTATTTTTATTGATTTTTTTTTTTTTTTGTAGAGATGGGATCTTGTTCTGCTACCCAAGCTGGAGCGCAGTGGCACACTCGTGGCTCACTGCAGCCTCAAACTCCTGGGCTCACGTGATCCTCCCGCGTCAGCCTCCTGAGTAGCTAGGACTGCAGATGCATATCACCATGTCTGGCTAAGTTTTTGTAGAGATGGAGGTCTTGCTATGTTGCCCAGGCTGGTCTTGAACTCCTGGCCTTAAGCAATCCTCCTGCTTCGGAATCTCAAAGTGCTGGATGTGAGTCACCATGCCTGGGCCTCTTTGCTTGTTTATGGGATTTTCCTTGCTCGTCAGAGCTTAAGAATGAAAATTTATCAACTACTTCCTAGGTAGTAAATTAGTAAATGACTACCAAAAGTTACCCCAAGTTGGTGGCATAAGAATTAAATATATAAAAAGTTAATGTGAATACTACTGATTCAACATCTTTGGGAAATCTGTGAAATTAAAGCAAAACGAGAAAACACCAGAGATTTAAATCTATTCCAGAGAAGATTGATGGTCATTCTGAATGTCTTTAAAGGAATATCATTTCTTTGTCATTCTCACTTCCAAGGTTTGGAGAAGACCTCAAATAGTGTAATCAAATGTCTTCGGATTCCAGTATTTTTTCTCTTTGTGTATTTTGATTATTACTGGTAATATTTGCATCTATCTTGGATGGTGCCTGTGATGTGTAAAAATACTGGAAAAGGAAGTTTTTTTAAAAAAATAAAACAAATATTGGTTGGCAGTTGGGAGTTTATAAATTACAAATATGATGTTATAATCTATAATATATTTTTCAGTGTTTTTGATGAAAACTTTTACTTAGGTCATATAACCAAATATGCAACAAAATAGAGTAATTTATATTTTTAGCCTTTTTTCTTTGCTCTTTTATTTACTCAGACCGTAATCAGTTTTGTTTCAGATAGATATTAAGGATCTATATTAATTTGTGTGGTTATCACAATTATTACTTATTCTTCAGTTCTGTATTTTATTTATTCTCCTTACCTACAGCACAAGATTCATTATTACTGAGACAGAAAATGTTGAATGACATTAGTGAACATTTTCAGGAAATAACATTGAAATAGTAGAAGTCAGCTCTCCAGTCTCTCAAATACTGTTTATATTTAAAGTCAGAAAATATGTGTAGGAGATGAGTATGTTTATTTGTACTACACATATGATAATATCCTAACAAATTTTTCTTCCAGCTTAATTTCCTAATTTTATTTTCTGAAGAGTTTTTTTTTTTTATTGGATTATAGTTTACTGAAAACATGCCATTCTTCTTTACTGTTCCTATAATAAGCAAAAAAAGTTACTTTTGTTTCTTTGTTTTTCAGGAGCGCTATAGTTATGTCTGCCCAGATTTAGTAAAAGAATTTAACAAGTATGATACAGATGGGTCAAAATGGATTAAACAGTATACTGGAATCAATGCTATCTCAAAGAAAGAGTTTTCTATCGATGTTGGTTATGAGAGATTTTTGGGACCTGAAATCTTTTTTCATCCAGAGGTAATTTTTTTTAACGGAATTGTTTAAAAGTATTCAGCAGCAAATATGAATTAATAGATATTCAGAGAGAATTAATCTCAGAAACTTTTATTAGTACACTAAAAGTTTGAGTTTTTATGAAAAGTTTATAAAACATTTTATGAACTTTTTAAAGAAAAAATTTGCTTTTGTTAAAATAAGCAAAATTGTTGCTATTTTTTGCAGATTTAGAAAAAACTTTTTAAAAAATATGTGTGGCTTATGGGGGGGTCATGAAAAGAGGAGAGCCCTTAAATTTTTTTTTTCTTCCCTCCATCATGGACTCAGGTAAAGTTTTGTAATTGAAATAAAATATTTTGGGAAAGGTTCTAGAAAGCTCCCCCCCTCCCTATTTGTGTAAAATGACCATTATACAAAGAACCTTCAATTAACCATTAAAATATATAACTAGTAGCAAAATAGTCTTCTGTCTATGAAGTTTTAGCAACATAAAGGCTTTATTAAATTAAGAAATACATACTTTTAATAATGGAAAATTCTTCTGGTAACTTAGTATCAGAATTGTAACTTTATTAATAGAATTACTAATATTACGTACTTACTCTGCTTATTTAATGTTAAGAATAGTTATTTTTAAAATTTTGTTTATTCACTCAGCAAATGTTAAATGGTTTGAATTTTCATGATCTCAGCTTAAGCACTGGGTATTCAAAGATGAAAAATTATTTTATCTTGCTCTTACTGAGCTCAAAGAATAAAAGAGATGAGTATTTAAACACGTAAGGTTATAGTTGCTTTAATGAGTGTATGTATCTGCTGAGGGCACAGGAACAAAGAGCATGTAAGTCTGCTTGGGAGAACATCTCAGGGGAGATAATGGTTGAACTGAGACTTAAAGGATGAATGGGTGTTTGTCAGTCATGTGTGGTAGGGGAGTATATGTATTTTTGTCAGAAGGTTAGCTAGGCAGAGGTCTTAGACATGAGAGTGCTGGAAAGAAAAGTATAGAGGACAGATTGGTAGGAGAGGGATCCAGATAGGTATTCATGGACCCAGTCTTGAAGGGCAGATATGTTATGCAAGGGAGTTAGCTAGATTCTGTAGTCATGCAAAAATTTTAAGCATAGAAGATAATTGTGTACCATATTAGAAAGGTTACTCTCGCAGCATTGGTTTGGACGGGTTGGAACAGAGGTGTGAATTGTGTTGGAAATAGGTGATTTTACTATAGTATTTTAGATGAAAGATGAATAGTATTTGTGGGTCAGTGAGAATGAGGAAGGAGGTGAGAGAAAAATAGAATCAACATAATCAGTAATTGCTTAGATATGAGGGGAGTAAGAATATGAGGAATCTGTGATAATTCACAGGTTTGTAACTTGGGCAACCCAGTGTGCCATCCACTGAAATTTGTAATACTGAAGGGGAGGAGTAGGTGAAATAGACAAAGATGAGTTTATTATATGCATCTTTTAAAAGGTTCAAAAACAAACACTTGGGTGTTGTAAAGTCATCACCCTTTGTGGGGCACAAAGGAAGAGGTTGGCTGAGAAGGGGCTGTGGAGTAGAAAGGTGAAGAATAGGGCCTTCGTGAACACAGACACGTGGACAGGCTGAGTAAGTAGAGCCTGCAAAGAATACTGAAGATGACAGAGAGGTAGAAGCCAAGCTAAAGGATTATGGTCATAAAATTGAGAGAAGTGAATGTTTCAAGAAGGGAGGGTAAATAGTGCCAGTTGCTGCAGTGAAGTAACATTAGAGGAAACCTTAGAAGTACTTGGAGTTTTTCAGCATCTAGGTTATTGATGATCATAGGGGAGGCGTTTCAATGGAGTGATACGTTAGAGCAGCTTGTTACTTATCTCAGTGAGAGGTGAAGGTTTGGAAATCAGCAGTCTGGACATTCTGAGAGATGGCTATGAAAGAAAAAGACAGTGGACGAGTAAGAATTCAGTTGCAAGAATAAGGCTCAAGATAGTTTTAAATTTTTAAGAGGGCTTACTCCAGTTACAGGAGGGAAGGAATTAAGTATAGGTACAGGAAAATGAACTAGGAAGGGCAGAAGCACAGGTAGGTAGTTGAAGAAGTTCATCATCATAGTTCATAGTTTTAATTTTTTTATGAGGTGGAATCAAGCTTATGTTTTGGGAGAAGGGACTGGACTAAAATTGAGGCCGAAGCGGGCAGATCACGAGGTCAGGAGATCGAGACCATCCTGGCTAATATGGTGAAACCCCGTCTCTACTAAAAAAAAAAAAAAAAAAAAAAAAAAAATTAGCTGGGCGTGGTGGTGGGCGCCTGTAGTCCCAGCTACTCGCGAGGCTGAGGCAGGAGAATGGCGTGAACCCAGGAGGTGGAGCTTGCAGTGAGCCGAGATCACGCCACTGCACTCCAGCCTGGGCGACAGAGCGAGACTTCATTTCAAAAAAAATTGAGGGCTTGTGAAGAATAATGACTTTCATATTTACTGTTGAGGGGAATTGAGAGGGTGACTAGTGAGTACATATTAATAGTATGGGGCATCCATTCTTTACTCAAGGTAGCAGGTTAGATACCCAAAACTTTTAGTTGTGCAATAGTGTCCTCTCGCCTCCCCCAGACAGTTGTGGGAAAGGAGGAAAAGGTTTTGATAAAGCAGAGATTAAAGTATTACAGCATAGAGGAGAGAGCAAGTCCTGAAAGCTGAATTACCTAGGGATAGTGAGGGTACAGGTATTGGAGATCATGATGAAATGACACATAATAATTGTGAATTGGTAGCAGAGGAGTGAGCATGAGAAGGATAAGGAATTGTGGTCAGACTAGTATACTGGAGTGTGAAGGTTTTTGGTGGTACATTTTCTTTGCACTTTATCAAAACATAAAGATTAAGAGGATGTATACACACAATTTTAAAGGTCAAATAACACTGACAGACTTAAAATTAGCAGCTCTTCACCCTCCTGCTGCCATTGTGTTCTATAGAGCATCCACTAGCTTTTAGTTATTGCTCTTGGTAGTAACCCCCAGATTTCTAAATACTGTGATGGTATTGCAGGAACATGGATGGAGCTGTTTCTTGATATGTCACTGTTAGTGGTTTAAATGCTAGCCTCCTTTCAGATTAGTTCTTTCTAGACTCTCTTTTCTTCCAGCCTGCCAACATGTTAGGTTATTGTTATTAGGTAAATCAATAGTATTGTAATATTTATAGTATTATACCTGAGACTGTTGTTCACTTTTGAGGCAAGTAGTGTAATGTGATTCTTTTCCCTTAAAATTCAGCTTTTCCTACACTTTCACCTTGTTTATTCATTTGCTTCATTTTCTTTTTTTTTAACTTTAAGTTCAGGGGTACATGTACAGGTTTTTATATAGGTAAACTTTTGTCATGGAGGTTGTACAGATTGTTTTGTCCCCAGGTATTATTAAGTCTAGTATCCGTTAGCTATGTTTCCTGATCCTCTCCCTCTTCCCACTCTCCACCCTCCGATAGGCCCCAGTGTCTGTTGTTTCCCTCCGTATGTACATGTTTACTTATCATTTAGCTTCCACTTAAAAGTGAGAACATGCAGTAATTGGTTTTCTGTTCTTGCACTGGTTTGCTGAGGATAATGGCCCCCAGCTCCATGCATGTTCCTGCAAAGAACATGACCTCATTCTTTTTTATAGCTGCATAGTATTCCATGGTGTATATGTACCACATTTTCTTTATCCAGTCTACCATTGATGGGCATTTAGGTTGATTCCATGTCTTTATTTTTGTGAAGTGCTGCAGTGAACATACATATGCATGTGCCTTTATGATAGAACAATTTATACTCCTTTGGGTATGTGGGATTGCTGGGTTGAATATTTATGTTTTAGGTTCTTGAGGAATTGCCACACTGTTTTCCACAATGGTTGAACTAATTTACACCTAATATACACCAAGAGAGTATAAGCGTTTCTTTTTCTTTCCAGCTTTGCCAGCACCTTTTTTTTTCTTTTTAAATTGTATTTATTTTTTAAAAATATTTTCTCTTTCCTTCATTTTTTAGGAGGGATGGTGTGAGAATATTTTTTGAGTTTTTAATAATAGCCATTCTGACTGGTATGAGATGGTATCTCATTGTGGGTTTGATTTACATTTCTCTAATGATCAGTGACGTTGAGCTTTTTTTCTTAAGATTTTTGGCCACATATATGTCTTCTTTTGAAAATTGTTCATGTCCTTTGCCCACTTTTTAATGGAGTTGTTTTTTCCTTGTATATTTATTTAAGTTCCTTATAGATGCTGGATATTAGACCTTTGTCAGATGTGTAATTTGCAAAGATTTTCTCCCATTCTGTAGGTTGTCTGTTTACTCTGCTGATAGTTTCTTTTGCTGTGCAGAAGCTCTTTAATTAGATCCCATTTGTCATTTTTTGCTTTTGCCATCTTCATCATGGAATCTTTGCCCATACCCGTGTCCAGAATGGTATAATTTGCTTCATTTTGTTTGTACAGTCATTTATTCATTCATTTATTTATTGGGGTTTGAATTAACTTTCTTGTTATACACGGTCTGGAAGGGAACCGAGGAGGGTGGGTCTCATTCTATATAGAGGATTTTAACAGTTTCTTTTCCAAACAGGATTGAAATATTGTATTCATTGTTTTTTTGCCCCCTGATTCATCCTTGGTCATTTACCTTTCCTTTTAATTCTCTTGCTGTCATTTTAGCGGAGAGTCAAGAGACGGGAGAGATAACCACATGTAGCTGGAAGTTAGGACAGATTTTTGTATGGGCCATTTATATGTGAGTAGATTAATAGAAGTGTGTCAGACCTCATTTCATTTAAGGCACATCAATTAACTTGAAATTGAAATCTTAGAGAAGAATATTAAAGCTCCAAGTTGGGGACAGGAATTAGAAAATTGCAGAAGATCCTGAGCAAATGTCCTGCATGAATAGGATCATGACCACACGATGGATAATAGCATGGGATATAGGAGATGAGCATTTGAATGGAATATGCTTGACAAATGAGCTTAGCTGATGCCTTGGCTTTCTTAAAAACCTTGAAGTAGGCTGGTTGTGGTGGCTCACACCTGTAATCCCAGCACTTTGGGAAGCCAAGGTGGGCGAATCACTCAAGCCCAGGAGTTTAAGACCAGCTTGGGCAACATGGGAAGAGCCCGTCTCTACCAAAAAAATACAAAAAATTAGCCAGGCATGTGGCGTGTGCCTGTAGTTCCAGCTACTTGGGAGGCTGAGGTGAGAGTATTGCTTGAGCCCAGGAGGTCCAGGCTGCAACGAGCTGGCATTGCACCATTGTACTCCAGTGTGAGCAACAGAGCAAGACCCTGTCTCATAAATAAATAACCCAAAGCTTTAGATATGTAAATAAAATGTGTTTCATATTGCTTAGGAAAGGTATAGTTGGCTGGATGAAAATGTGTCTTGCTGCTAATGTTTCATATATCATTTTTTCTATTAATTTGAATAACCTTTATTGTTTCATACACCAATTTTTCTTTATTTTTTAACTTTAAAACATTTTCTGTTGTCTATAGCTTTATGTTCCTTATAAGTAATTTCTTCTATGAGAAACCTGTTTCTCTTTTTAAAAAACCTGTTTTGTTTTCTTTTTTTTAAAGGCTGTTTTTAAAAATCAGTTATATATATGCACATGGTTTAAAAGTCTTGGTCTGCGTATCCTAACAAAAACTAGGGGTGCCCTGCATGTTTCTTTCTCTTGTTTTGTATTTCTAGAGGTAACCACTTCAAACTCTTCTTAGTTGCTTCTTTTGCTGATTACCTCCTTAGCTATGAATTGCTTGGTTATATTGCAACTTCAAATTTTTTTTCAGTGTTAGGCTTTTCTTGTTTTCTTTTGGAAACAGGGTCTTGCTCTGTCACCCAGTGCAGTGGCTGAGTCATGGCTCGCTGCAGTCTCCCCAGGCTCAGGTGATCCTCTCACCTCAGACTCCCAAGTAGCTGGGACTACAGGTATGTGCCACCACTTCCAGCTAATTTTTGTATTTTTCGTAGAAACAGGGTTTTGCCATGTTGCCCAGGCTGGTCTTGAACTCCTGGGCTCGAGCAATTCACCCATCTTGCCCTCCCAAAGCGCTGGGATTATAGGAATGAGCCACTGTGCCCAGCCCTGTGTTAGGCGTTGTCTGTCGAATTCCAACTATGGAAGAGGAAGATTGTCTTTTTTATCCTTCTTCTGTCATCACAGACAGGACCTTTCTATTCCCTTTTCATCTCATTTGTTACATTATAATTTCAAGTAGGTTGAAATTCAGTGCTTATGTTTTTGTGACCACAAATTTTGTTCATATCTGAGCCATGTAGTTAACCATGAAATCTTTTCCCTTCCTATAAGTAACTTTGTTTTCCAAGAAGTCATTAATAAACTGTTTGCTTAGTGCTAAAATAATTACCATTCATTCACCTCCAAACTCTCTTCAGTAGTTATATAAATCTCTTCTCAGGATATTCAGATGTATAGGGTTTATTCATCAGTTTAATTTTCTGAAGTGTCTTTTACATCCCAATCTGAACTTGCTTCTGTCGGTTCCCAGTATAGAGTTGCCATATTCCTTTACTATCATTCTAGGGATTCCCTTTCCCTCTCTCTTGTGTTGGATCTCTTTTTCGTATATCCTATGTCTTTTTCACTCCATTTACATGATCTAAATGAAAAGATTTTGTATTAGTATGTGTCACTTTGATAACATTAAATCTCTTTTCATTGTATGCGCAGCCTGTAAATAATTTAGAACTAATCTTAAAAACTGGAAAAAGGCAGGGCGTGGTGGCTCACACCTATAATCCCAGCACTTTGGGAGGCTGAGGCAGGCGGATCACCTGAGGTCAGGAGTTCGAGATCAGCCTGGCCAACATGGTGAAACCCCGTCTCTACTAAAAACACAAAAATTAGCCGGGCGTGGTGGCGGACGCTTGTAATCCCAGCTACTCGGGAGGCTGAGGTAGGAGAATTGCTTGAACCCAGGAGGCAGAGGTTGCAGTGAGCCAAGATTGCGCCACTGCACTCCAGCCTGGGTGTCAGATCGAGACTCGGTCTCAAAAAAAAAAAAAAAAGAAAAAAAAAAAGAAAAAATTGACACATGCCTAATAATTATCAATACAGTTATAGACTCAGTTTAATAAATAAAGGAATAATGTCTCTCAACTAGGACAACCTAATGATAAAAATGAATGGCTGAGGAGATATACAATACTTGTTTGTTTTTCACTAATTAGAGCTAGATTTTGATTATTTATTTAGAGACAGAGTCTCTCTCTGTCACCCAGGCTGGAGTGCAGTGGTGTGATCATAACTCAGTGTAACCTCGAATTCCTAGGGTCAAGCAATCCTTTTTCCTCAGCCCTCTCAAGTAGCTGGAACTACAGGTGTGTGCCACCATGCCTAGCTAGTTTTTAAATTTTTTGTAGAGACAGGGTCTCGCTATGTTGCCCAGGCTGGTGTCAAACTCTGGGTCTCAAGCAATGGTCCTGCCTTGGCCTCCCAAAGCACTGGGATTATAGGTGTGAGTCACCATGCCCAGCTTCAAGTTGTTTTTTGTTTTTGTTTAAGTTAGTTTTTTAAAAAGTATGTTTTTCTTGAGTGCCAGCTGTTTGGAAATAGTAAGTTTATTTTGACTATGGTATATCATCGTTTGAATATATAGCTGATGTTTGTTATTCAAAGTAGATGTGCCAAAAAGTTCTTGAGAGCGCTGAATTAGTGAACACTGAGCTAGCTATTGCTCCTAGGGGAAATACAGTATTAGGTTTCTTTGAGCCTCTGGTAACATTTTTGTTATCCCATTAACATATACCCTTGTTTCATGTGTGTTTCTTTTTAAAGGCACTGCATTTAGTATATCATTTTAGTATATTCATTTATATTCAATAGCACTAGAACACATGTCTGAACAAAGCTATCTAACTTGCTTTTTCTCTGTAAGACACATCACAGCCTCCTTGTGTTTACTAGCCAGCACTTGAGCAGTATGCTTGGGGGCCATTTTAAATAATGAAATCACTAACAAAAATATGAAAACCGTGCCACTAAATAGAACTGTGAAAAGGACACTTGTTTATAGTATGAGAGCTGAAACTAGATAGCAGAGTATCATCTTGTTCAACCTCAATGGGGAATGTGCACATCAGTGGACTCAAATTTTTGTTGCTCTACACGTGCATGTCCATGAATAACCATATTTTGATTTGGGGAGTAACAAATATGTTTTAGCGATTAGGTAAATTCACAAATATGGAATCATGAATAATGAGATTAGACTACATTTATTTATTTCATCCCCTATTGATGGACTTAACGGGTTTTTCCTCTTAGAAACAAGGCTATAGTAAATATGCATATGTAATAGCATACATGTTTGGGGAGTTTCTTCAGAGTTTGTTGTAAGAAGTGGAGTTACTGGTATGTGCATTTAAAATTTTATTAGCTATTTGTATTAGTCCGTTTTCATACTGCTAATAAAGACATACCTGAGACTGGGCAATTTATAAAAGAAAGAGGTTTAATTGGACTTATGGTTCCACGTGGCTGGGGAAGCCTCACAATCATGGCAGAAGGCAAGGAGGAGCAAGTCCTGTCTTACATGATGGCAGCAGGCAAAGAGAGAATGAGGAAGACGCAAAAGCAGAAATCCCTGATAAAACCATCAGACCTTGTGCAACTTATTCACTCCATGAGAACAGTATGGGGGAAACCACCCTCATGATTCAATTCTCTCTCACCAGGTCCCTCCCACAACACGTGGAAATTATGGGAGTACAATTCAAGATGAGATTTGGGTGGGGACACAGAGCCAGACCATGTCACTATGTTACTATTGCCAAATTATTCTCCATAGTGGTTACATCAGTGTATACTCTCACAGCGTTATATGAAAGTTTCCATTTACCCAGATTTTTGCCAGCTCATAGTATATGTATGACTTTACATGTTTGCTATTCTGATAGTTATAAAATGGTATATATCATCATAATTTTGAGTTTTCTCTGATTTCAGTGTCTTCAATCTGAATCTGTTAGAGACCAGTATTAGTGGTTTCTAAAAGGCCTTTTGTTTTTGAACTGAAAACTTTGTTTAACCTTTTATTGTGATATTTGTCAGTAGTGATATGATCTCTATTATATATCCAACTTATTTTTCAGTTTGCTAATCCAGACTTTACACAACCTATCTCAGAAGTTGTAGATGAAGTAATTCAGAATTGTCCTATTGATGTCAGACGTCCTCTCTACAAGGTATTTATAGCAAAATTGTTATTCAAGGTCTTACTTTAAAAAAACTTAAACACCTCTCATAAAAAGGATATAATAGCATTTCAGTACTATATATTATATCTTTAAACTTTTCTCTTTTTAAATATTATATTTATTTTCTCTCCACTAGAATATTGTCCTCTCTGGAGGTTCAACCATGTTCAGGGACTTTGGACGTCGCTTGCAAAGAGATTTGAAAAGAACTGTAGATGCCCGGCTGAAATTAAGTGAGGAATTGAGTGGTGGTAGATTGAAGGTTGGTTTTCCCAATTATTGGTGAGAAGGTTGAGGGTGCCTTCCTTGATTAGGATGAGAAATATTTGCCAGCATTCACTCTGATTTAGAAAAATAAGAGGAACCTGTCAGGTATTCTAATGGAAATGGTTAATGTTATAGATTTATGTCTGTGATATTCTGGATCATTTGATTCTTCTAGGATATTGTCTGTATTTCTGGAAAATAATTCTTAGTAATACCTGTGGAAAGACTTTTTTTTTAAATACCTCTCTCATAGATAATTAATATAGTAGATTTCTTTGCATACACCAACAATCAAATTAATTATGGATCCACAAAATGTTTTATACTATAGAAGGACAGCAAAGCTGAGTTGAGATTGATGCCATTGTTGAGTAGTCAAGCCTGCTCTCAAAAACTGACTTTAGCTCCCACATAGCAACCTCAAAGTGTGCAGTCAAATCGGTGGTTTAATAAAGTAACCTTTGTATTACATGTCCTGGACCTTTAGGCTTGAGGTTAAAAAAAATCAAAATTAATTTAAAATTCTTAGATGTCTACTTTCTATATTTAGAGATAGATTCTTCATTTTTTTCATCCTTGTTAAATATTGAAGCAGAACGTTGATTTAGAGGAATGATATGGCTTTTTTCAAAGCTGTTTGAAAAAAGGTATTTCATGTGAATAAAATACCTTCTGCTTGGAAGATTACCAAGAATGAGGACTTTATCTGAGACTTCCATAATCATTCAGAATTACTTAAAAGTAAAGCACAGCACTCTAGGGTTTGCTGATTGTTGAGAAATTGCATGATGGCTGACTGTTGTCAGTGCCTATATTTTGATTATCTTGAGTAAACCTATCCCTAGGAATGCAGTAAAAAGTATATGTTTTGGGTGGAAGGCAAAATATTGAACTCTGTCCCTATAATGTCATGACTTCACACTTCAGGAAGTCTACTCAATAGACTTTTAAAATGTTGTGTTTGCTTTTGCATCCCCTTCCCAACCAACCAAACCACCAGCCCACCCCCATTCATCCATTCATTTGCCCATCCGTCTACTCCCCTTACCCACATATCTATCTACCCTACCTCCTACCTAAAAAAGAAGTCATTGGGTTTTGCAAGTATAAATTCTCTGTACTGAGAATCCTACTAACCACATTGATTATGTGAATGAACATAGTGCATGTTCTGGTTTTTTTGTTAGAATACTTAAAAGATTGAAGTTGATTGTCCTAATGGTATGGTTATGGATGTATTAAAGTAGCTGTTTAGTTTTTAATAACTCATTACAGATATATAAGTACAAAACAATGCTGTATGTTTCTGAGTATAGTATTTTAAAAAAGTGAGATTGTTTAACATTTTTAAGCTCTTTTTACACTTGTAAATAAGAAATAAATTTACCCAGTGATCAGTACCGTATCGACATATTGAAAGAAACAGATTGGGTGTCCCTTTTTTGAATTGCTTCATACCAGAAGTGTTGCAGGTTTTGAGTTTTTCTGGATTTTGGAGTATTTGCATTATATACTGGTTCAACATCCTTAATCCAAAAATCTGAAATTCTGAGCATTTCCTTTGAACATCATGTTGGTGCTCAAAAAGTTTTTGGATCTTGGAGCATTTTGGATTTTCAGACTTGGGATGCTCATCATGTATAGGAAAAACCTTGTGTTTTGGAGGACTCTGCCTTCTTCACCTTAGTTTTACTTGCTAGTAACTTTTATAGATCTTAATAGCATGCCTTTATCTATCTATCTCTGGCTTTATTTTCCTTCAGTCTGTAATTTTTAATGGCAACCAAACAGTTTTGAAAAAAGCCATATCATTCTGTTTCTATAAATAGGTGTGTGTACACACACACACACACTAAATTGTAGATATGATGGTTCATTATCCCCAAACATTTTAGTATATTTCTAAAATCAAGAACATATTACAATTATCAAAATCATGAAATTAACCTTGATCCAGTGTTATCTAGTTATAGAACTGATTCTAATTTTACCGGTTGTTTCACTAATGTCCCTTATAACAAAAGGAAAACAAAATACCTTCTTCCCCCTTATCCAGGATCCAATCAAGGATTGCATGTTTCATTTACTTATTGTGTTGCTTCAGTCTGTTACATACTCAATGTTTTTTGTCTTTCATGAATGAATGTGACATTTTTGAAGAGTACAGCCATTTATTTTGTAGCATATCCTTCAGCTTGGGTTTGTTTAATATTTCTGCTTGAGTAGGTTCAGATTATGTACTTTTGGCAGTGATGCCACAGAATTGATATTGTATCATTTTTAGTGCATTGTATCAGTAGACACATGATAGAATTTGTCCTGTGTGTGAATTTTGAGCTTTTGGTTGAAGTTGTGTCTGCCAGGTTTTTTCACTATAAAGTTATTATGTTTTCCTTTATATTTAATAAGAATCTAATGAGGAGACACTTTCAGACTATCCTGTTTCTCTTTTAAGTTTCAGTCACTAGTTTTTAGCATCCATTGTGATTCTTCCCTAAAACAGTTATTACTGTGGTAGTTGCTAAATGGAGTTTTGCAATTTCTGTCATTCCTTCTATGTTTTTAAGACTTGTTTTACTATAAGCAAGAGTTTTCCCTTCTCCCACATTCATTTATTCTTTTAGTAATATCTATATGAACTCCTGATTTCTCATTTTGTGGTCTATATCTTTAATATCACTGTAATATCATAATATCAGTAATACCACTCATCATTAATTTTAATCCCACATTTTTTTTTTTTTCAGATTTGACCAGTGGGAGTTATTCAAATGGCTCTTAGGTTTTTTTTTTTGATGCAGCCACATCTTTTTTTTTGCCTACTTCTGTACTTCCCGGCACAGCAAGGTGTTTCAGGCTGATCTTGTACTTTCTCTTTTCTGGCCCTGGAATCAGCCCTTTTTTTCTCCTTTTCTTTCTTCAAGACACCCTTGTCTTATTCCTGTTAGTGGAGAACGTTACTAAGAAACCAAGCTTTGTGCTCATTGCTGTTGGGGTATCACTGAGTCTAGGCCTTCTCAGTGATTAGAGCTAGGGGTGTGTGTGTGTTTATACATCTATATCTAATTCTCTACATAAATTAAAACCATGAATTTTTACAGACGTCTCCAGTTATAGAAGGTTCACTCTAGTTTTCTGCCCTTCCATATTGTAATGCCCTTCTCTGACAGTGAGAAACCTGGCTCCTATTATCTATAATATGTTTATGTTTTTGCTTAATCCTGGAATATGTATATGATAGTTTCAGAATTGTTAATCCACACCACTGTGAAAAATAGACCCAAAACTAGAATTCAATATTTGCTTATATTTTATCTTCAGCCTGAAGGCTTATAAGATTCAAAATACTATGCTCACAAGTTGCTTGTGTTAGTCCCTTTCCTCACCTTAGTGTGCTTATGTTTGAAAAAAGTACAATTAGTTTAATTTGTTTTTGTTGTACTTTGTTTTGCCCCAACCTCCCCTTCTTTTAAGGTGTTATTTTTTAGTATGTAAAACACTAACATTTAGATTCTTAAAGTCAGAACTGTATAAAACATGTGCTCATTGTTATTTCCCTTCCATTTATTCTGCTCTGTTCCCTCCCTGTCTCTTCCACAGTGTTCCCAACCCCTTTCCTCTGAGACAGCCAATCTCAATTGTTTCTGGTTTGTAAGATACCACCTGAATTTAGTACAGATATTATTTTTGTATATGTACATTTAAGGTTAAATGACACAGAAGTTGTTATTTGAATTTACTATGAAGATGATCATACTATGTCTTTCTTTAGCCAAAACCTATTGATGTACAAGTCATTACACACCACATGCAGCGATATGCAGTTTGGTTTGGAGGATCAATGCTGGCTTCCACGGTGAGTGTGATGAAGCTTACTTTTATTTTATTTTATCATTATTATTTTATTTATTTTTGAGGTGGACTTTCGCTCTTGTCACCCAGGCTGGAGTGCAATGGCATGATCTTGGCTCACTGCAACCTCCACCTCCTGGGTTAAAGTGATTCTCCTGCCTCAGCCTCCCAAGTAGCTGGGACTACAGGCATGCGTCACCACACCTGGCTAATTTTGCATTTTTAGCAGAGACTGGGTTTCATCATGTTGGCTAGGTTACTCTTGAACTCCTGACCTTGGGATCTGCCCACCTTGGCCTCCCAAAGCAAAGTGTTGGGTTTACAGGTGTGAGCCACTGCTCCTGGCCTTTATTATTATTATTATTTTTTATTGAGATGAGGTCTTACTATGTTGGGCCAGGCTGGTCTCAAACTCTTGGGCTCAAGTGATCCTTCCACCTCAGCCTCCCAAAGAGCGCTGAGTTTACAGGTGTGAGCTGCTGCGCCTGGCTGAAGCTTATGTTTAAATTTATATATATATATTTAAGATAGAAGAGTCCATCAATACTTGGAGAAGAACAAAGCAAATTCCTTTAAATTGTATCTCAAAATAATAGGAAACTTTGTATATATGTGTTTGTAGTATTTTAAAAATTGGAAGTAATTTAAATTTAATTGGAAGTCATTTGAATTTAATTTTTTTTTTTTTTTTAGCTTGCTAGACATTATTTTAGAGTGACCATTTTATACTATGTTTTAAAGTTTATCTGTAGGGAAAGTTCTGTTAAAACTGGTAATTTAGTCATCAGAAGGTCCTTGTTTGTTCTGTTTAAGTATTTAAAAACATTAAGGTAAAAGTTAAGCTTCATTGCATAGAAAGTATGATGTTTTACACTGAATAAAGGGAATTATTCTAAGAATCCTGTCCCCAAATTAAAATGTCTTTAAAGCCCCCTAAAAAGGTGTTCTAGTGTTCTAATACCATTAACCTAGGAAGTATTGGTGCTTTGTTCTGGTAGTGCATGCAATATTAAAATGAAGGAGCTTTTATCTGAATTATTGAATAACTGTACAACTTTGGATTTAAAACCATTTCCAACATAAGAGGTGAAAGTTATTTTTTTCCTCAATTTTAGTCTTCTTCAATTGGGCCATATAACCTAGTTGAGTTTGTGACTTTGCCTTGAGAAATGAGGTAACACAGCATGGAACAGTCTATCTTTTCCAGACCTTGAATGAGGAAGGCAAATGATCTAGACATTTCTTAGAACTAGACGAAAAATAGTCATAGCATGACTAGGAGTAGTTTTATCTGTAGTTAGGCGAATGCCGCTTCTTTACATTATTGGTGCAATGAAAGTATGGGAAAGTCTCAACAGAACAGACTGGACATTTGAGAACCTTCCATTTTTCAAAATTTCAGAATCCTCGCAGCAGGTGTGTGAGACAAGGATTGGGGACAGGAGTTAATTGCTCTTTTGGAGTTCCGATAAAGATTTATAGCTGATTTTAAGTCATGGCTGCTAGAATTTCTAAGCTTTCATGCCATGAATGGACTAATAATAAACATTTTAGACTTAACATCTATTTTAAAGCATCACTCTTAAAGTTTATTTCAATATACCTTCAAGATGGTAGATTTTTGACCCTTATAAAAATACATATTTTTTGTTTTCAGCCTGAGTTCTACCAAGTATGCCACACCAAAAAGGATTATGAAGAAATTGGACCTAGCATTTGTCGTCACAATCCAGTGTTTGGAGTCATGTCGTAAAATTGGCTTCATAGTTATTGGGGTTAGGGAGGTGGGGAAGAGATAATCTTTCTGATTACCTGTTTTGTCTGGATGGCTGGTTTTGAGGTTTTAAACCTGACTTGAAATAGTAACACCAAACATGATTATACAGGAATATTTTAATAAGTGTATCACCATGCAGATGTAGAAGAGAGCGAAAGTGATTGTGTTTTTCTTTAGATTGAATATTTGAATCTTATGTGTAACAAAAAGAAGTGGGTTTTAGTTCTTTCTGTGCCCTGATATTTTGTATATTAATGAATTATCCAAGATTCGATGGGATTTATCAGTGTGTAGATAGCTCTATAATGCTTGAATTGTACACTTCTAAGTGTGCAGTGCAAGAGCTTGTTTATATTTCATACTTTTTATACTTTGAGGAAAAAAAGTCAAAGAAAAATTGTATTTGAGGGAAAAAACCATGACCAAGTAAAGGATAAATTCAAAAAATAGCCTCATGAGACTTGGCATACACACTCGTGGGATTCCAGTTATTATGGAGTGCTTCCATCCCTCTCCACCCCTTCCCCCCAAAAGGTTTTCTTTGCAAGTGCTTTTGGAACTAAGAGCTAGTATCTTGGATTAACTGATGCCTGCTAGTGCTTTCTGATTACTCGCATTCTGTTTCTTGCTTTAAAAGAAGAGTAAAGACAAGAGTGTTGGACCAGTATTGCAGTTCTGTAGTGTCATTTCTTATAAAAAACAAAACAACAACAATAATTTATCAAAATTGGCATATTTAAAGCCTAACATTCTAATAAAGGCACAAATTTCTTTTTAATACTTGTTTCAGCCTCTTTAATCTCTTTATAAGTTAACTAATAAATCTATTTTCTTCAGACTTCTGCAATAGTTCTTTAAAATCACAACAGTTAGCAAGCTGACTTTTGTAATGTGCTCAATACAAATACTTGTGAACTTTTAATATGTTGAGTGCTTTCATTTTGATAACTGGATCTCCATTTGATATTTTCATTTGTATAACTCATTTGCAGTCTGAAAATTTTTTTTAGTGCCAGTCCCTGAACATATCATTGAAAGTTAATTTTCTTTGCATTTTAAAATATCTGGATTATGAAGAAAAAGTGATGAAAATAAATTAAAACTGAATTACCTTTTCTAATGTTTTTTTTTTTTAAGTAATGTAATTCTATTTTGTTTTTATGTATGTGATATCTGTTTCTGTTGAGATTTGGGAGTTATTGAAATCTCTGTAATGTGTATGGTAGAAAATTTCTTGTGACCTTAAAATTTTACCAGTTATTTATAGAAAGAGAAAATGGGAAATGTTTTATAGGCTTTTTACTAGCAGTATCAGTGAACACTTGAACTCCATTATTCATGAAAATAACACGTTAGGATTGGAATACGTCTATTCAAAAGTGAAAGAATATAAAGTGTTTAGTTTTTTGTTTTTACTCTAAAGATAGAATTGGGGAGTAAACTTCAGTTTTTGTTTAGAGTGGATCTGAATATTTAAAATCCTATAATAATTTTTGTGAATCTTCATTCTTTGAGTATGGGATTGTAAAAGACAAACTATATCCTACAGTAGTATCATCATCAGTATCAAAGGTCTCCTTTTTTTACTTGGAAAAGTAATTCACAAACATTATAAAAATACTATTCAAACAGTACCAAAGAGTAGATTAGCAAAAGTAAGTTTTTTTCCCTAGCCTGTCTCATTTTTCCATCATTACACAGACTACTTGGAATGTCTTAGATGTCCTTGTATTGTAATTTTCTGTGTAGGTAGAAATAAATGTAGCTTTCTTATTTTACACAAATAGGAACTTACTGTATATACTGTTCTGCACTTTGCTTTTATTAAAGATCTTTTGATAAAGAACTATATTGATAAGCAGTAAAGATGTCATGCTCCTGGCCCAATAAAATATTGTTAGCATTGTCATAAATATGTCTTTTCCACCGGCGATGGTTGGGTAGTTAAGTGAATAAGCTAGAAAGACATGTTTATAAAGCTATTTGATGACAATCTCAGGCATATTTATACAGAGATGTTCTTAACTGTTTGCTACAAAAACATGAAGATCAAAAACTTTCTTGAAGCTTACGCTTAACTTATTTGGGGAAACAAAACTCCAGCCCTTCTTGTGTATGTTCTGATATCCCTTTGCTCTACTTTTAGAGGAGTGAACCCTAATAGGATGGTAGCAGCATTCTTGTTTCTTTATATCTCTCCTCTGTGATTGTATACCGTTTTTTCAACTTAAAGCAACTTCAGCTGGAAATATGTAGAGGTTGGCCAAGGTGAACTAAATAGTCTGTAACATTGATTAGATATCAAGCAACGTGAGCATGGTAGCAAAAGCACTAACTGAAGCCAGTGATTTAATTTTTAATTCTGATTCTGATAATTGATGATATAGCTCCTCGAACTTTGTTTTTTGTTAAAACTTGGAAAATATATTTGTATTATTTTGGACAAATTATTTGAACTCTCTGGACCTTGATTCAATTTATATATAAGGTAAAGGCATTATACTGGATTATCCTGCAATTTCTTTGAGTTGTTAGAATATAATGTAGCTTATTAATAGCAATATTAGCAGTGTAGTAGATTCTGACTGCAAAACCTAGCCTTTTCTATTGATTCATTAGTGGTAGTAAAGGTATTATCTGATTTATCCTTTTTAATAGGCAGTGCTTTGATCAAGTGGGAAATAGTAATGGACAAATAAAATCAATGATCATTATCTAACTTGATGCCTGCTTTTCAAAAAGTGAGCAAATTTCACATCTTCACCCTTAGACATTAATTCATGGCACCTACTATAAGTACTCATCCTCTTCTTACCTATCTTCTTTTCTATAGGAGATAAAGTGGTTATTCAGACCCCCCAATACAATTTTTTGGTTTGTTTTCACAGCTACTTAAAAGATTAAAATAACTATTCTTGCAGATATTTCTAGGAATATTTTTAGAAATAATATGAAATACAGGGATAATAGGCCAATTATGATCTTTATTTTTAATTTCTACAGAAAAGTACTAGAGAATATATCTATAGAAACTTCTTTCAGATAACCCTAAAGATGATACTAGAATGTTTATAAAATTATTGAGAAGATTATTTGTGTTATAAAGCTTATTTGTACCATAGTAAAGGATGTTTTTGTTCCTCTTCATTCTGGGCTAATCTGTCAATACTGAAGTCCAGTCTTTTCCCCCTTTTCTTACCAGCTCAACCTTGATTCCTGTGACCCATTCTTTCTGATCTTTCGTAGTTCATAGTCACCAGGCATGAGTACCTTGGATAGCCCTCTGAAGTCTGTTACCACCCAGATTTCCAACTCGGGTTAATTGGTACTAATTCTATTAGCTGGTATAAATAATCCAAAATCTGTGCAGACTCTGGGAGCAAAATGTTCTACTCAGTTTGGAATACTGTGCCTTAAAATATATTTCATTGTAACAGCACCTTGTATATATAGTTGGCCAAGGACAGAGTTGTTACAAGTTACGTGGAACTTTCATAGCAAATCTTGACAGTAAATACCTTGTTCTTGTATTAGGTCTATATCCTGAATTGACCTTTAGCAAGAATCTTTAGATCTGCTGGAGGGCTGGGATGGCTTTTGGACTTCAGTGAAAAAGAATTTCTGCTACTCATTGTTGATAACGCTTCAGTACTGTATAAATGTTTATCCTTTTCCACGTAATTTGTTTTCTATGATATGAGAACTTTTATTATAATTTGCCTCAGTCTTGATAGAATCTTAACAAAAATAAAATCTGTGGTCGTCTGAGGTATTCTCCATGCTATAACCCAGTTTAGCTGATGCATTTGGAGCTTGGGTGCTGAAATTAAATATAACCTATTTGAGTTAAGGATTTATTACTAGTGCTCCAGTGGTCACAGGAACAATAAAAAAGGAACAACGATAGAAATACGTGATCTAGGAAAGAAGGCAACTGAAAAACCTGAAAGAAAAAAAATGAAAGATTAAAAGTATACGATATTCTATTTTGATTTAGCAATTACTTGTTTTCTAGTGTTCTGTCAATTTTTGGTGACTTTTATAATTACATTAAAACTAAGATGCTGAATTAAAATAAAGTTTCTCTTTTATTCAAGCACCAACATTCACTTATATTACCTATATATTGCATCAAGTTTTGAGCCTTCAATCCCAGAAGCATTGATTGACTGTCTACTGTGGTTCAAGTACTGTGCATAAAGATGAATAAATATTCTGTCCTTGGCTTAGTCTAATAGTAAAGGCACTCTTAGAGGAGGGACAAATATTTTGCCTAGATAAGATTTGAGAGATAGTAAGTGCGGAATTTCTCTTCATAAAAATGGTAGTGTTAGTTGTTTAGAGGGAGAAGTCCAGCTATGTAAGGTGAAAGTGGGGCTTATAAAAGTGGATCTATTGTTTAAAAATTAGTACTTTGCTCCTAAAATTTTTACCTAAGTGTTACATCCAACAACAGATGAAAGTAATTCGACAGTAGCATCTGCTTTATTCATTTCATATTTCCAGTGCCTGACATATTGCTTGGCATATAGTAGTTTAGTGGATGTGTTTGATGAATGAATGAGTAAAAATTATTTTTCATGTTAAAATAAAACTTTGAATTACATGAGTATACAACTTTTGTTCCTTCAAAATACCCATATTTGTCAAATATGACCGAATTACGACTTTTTTTCTGTTCCACTAGTTTCTACCTTAGAAGTGACATTCTGCGTAAGGTAGTGGGGGATTACTAAGTGATCATGACTTTTCTGAAGCAGGTCTTAAATAATTATCTAAGCCTTCAGTCATTTCAAAATCTCTGTAGTGTAAATGATCACAGGCTCTAAATCAGATTGTTGTACAAGGTAATTGACATGTCCTGAAATGTAACATTCAACATTAACAGTAGAAACAGGCCTCATTTCTCCCTCTGGCTTTTATTGATCAATTTTGATATTGTCCAGATCCCATGTTAAACCACTTGATTTAGAGATGACTTAATTCTAAACTTCCTCCATTTTTAATTAATAAGATTCAAGGTTGCAGTAAATTGTTAATCTTATTTGGAATTATATTAGAAAGTCGATATCGGAATTGGAACCACACATCTTTTTCTTATTGTGGGTACATGGGATCTTTCCCAAATAAATTCCTGAGCAACAAGAAAATCTGAGACTTGTTTTAAATGCTAAAATGATTAGTTGGAATAATGTATACATTCATGAGATGACTAAAGCACTAGTGGGGTAGTTTCTACTGCAGTAGACTGATTTTTCTTAGCCCAAACCTTGAAAGATGAATGTTTTAGTAGATGGAGAGTAGGTGGGGATGATATTTTAGATATGGCAGAAGCAACTTGAGTTACAGCAATTGGGGAGGGGATTAGAATATTGTGATTAGGAGAAGTGAGGAGAAGAGTGGGAGAGAAGACTGAAGGATATCTGACACCTTCAAACACACCCTCAAACACAAACATTGGCTAAAAAAGTTGATGCAGTTCAGGGTGAAATCACACACATGATTGACATAAATAACATTGTGGAAAAGTGACTTTGCAAAGACCACACAGGTAGTTGCAGAATAGAACTTACTGGTTATAATTTTTTTGATATTTTACTGAATAGCATATGGTTTATTAAATTTTTTTCAAAATTAATTTGGCAACATTTCTTAGCTTCTCTGACTCATTCTATTGGGAAAGCTGATAGCAAGATTCCTGTGCTAGACTACTAGAGGGAGGTATCAGATGACCAAGTCATGTCTGATACTATAGTTACCAGATAGTTACCAGGCTAATGTGCTGAACTAAGGAAGGAGCCTAAAACTCAGCAGTCTTTTTGAGATTGGATTGGACTTTATGAATAGGCAATGAGCTCTTAAAAACGACATTCCATATACAGAAAAACTATGGGGATTTCAGACTGCCTAATTTAGCTTCTCCACGGGGCATACTTGAGGTCGTTCACATTTTGGCTATGTATCTCCACATTGGTGCTAAGTTTGTGTACCTCGTTTCTGATTTCACTAATGCTGAAAGTTCAACTTGCCAGTGACCTAAGTGGATCTTTTATGAATTAGAAAGTACCTCACTTGGCTTTTGAAGACTGGTAAAACATTTTTAGGCTACAAATAAAAGGGAAGTTTGTAATGATGTTATAAAATACAATGCTTGGCATGTGGCAGATGCTTAAACATTTGTTGAATAAAGTTATCTTCCTTTTAAGATGGTCCATTGAAAAAATGGAGCAGCCGTTATATGTCTATATATGTTTTAATGACCTCAAGCTCAGAGATCTGCTAGTGATCTCACCTTTAGATAACATCTGAGTTGAATGTCTGTGGAGTCCCCTGCCACTGGTATATCTCAAAAGAAATAGCATTATTTGGTCTGGGCAGTACTGTCTTTGTCTATTTATCTATCTTCACCTCTATAAAGTGGGAGGTTGCAACTCTGTGGGCAGTATTCCTCAGGGCACTAGAACAATGAATGAAATGGTGTTACGTATTTTCCCCTCAAGGAGAAATGACTTCTTAAACCCCAAGTGGAAGATTTTTCATTCCGTCATTAGTATTCTAGTATTCTTTTTGAAATTGAAGTAGCAACATGCCTTTGACCTGTTTCACAAAGTTGACAAACGACTTTTTGAGACATTTAGCCAAGAGATGGAAGGAGTGGCAGATGTGGCTTCTGAGCTTACTCCTTCCGTCCACCCACTAGATGTCTCTCTTTTCTGCCCTTATCTGTAAGTGAATATATTTAAATAAGGCTTGCTATTAAAATCAAATTGAATCTGGACTATGGAAATAATGCATTTCATTTTCTTATTTAAAGCATGCCATTTTCAGTAATATACCCATGACTTGAGTAAAACCAAAGATGTTCTTTAGGGTATGACAGTAATTTGCAGTGGGATTTATTTATCAGCAGTATTGATTTGGAACATTCTATATGCTAAGCACTCTTCAAGATGCTGGGGGTAGTGGTGAATGAAATACGTGATTTTTGCATTCTGGAACTTTAAAAGTATATTCAAGCTACAGCAAAGTAACGTTAAAATTTCAAAATCAGAAATAAGATTGTTTACATTCTTGCATTAATGAAATCCAGGAGAGGTAAAGGATTGAGTAACATTCTAAGATTTATTTTTTTTTGCCCTTGAAATTCTCTTTTTACAGTACTTGCTAGTGTTCTCTACATTTTTTTAAGGTTAGACTTTGTACAGTTTCTCCAGTTGAAAAGATGCGAAGTTAATTGCATAATTACTGAAACGTAAGACATGTTCATCCCTTAATATTACATTACACATACATGATAACTGGCTTTAATTCATCGTGCAGATTTGAGGCACTCATAAACTGGCCCTACATTTGTCCATTGAAAATATATGTACTATAAATGAAGGTTTCTTCCCTGGAAGAGAAAGTTCAGAAACTGTTTCCATATTTGCAACATGTGATCTAGAACTACATAAGTGGTACGTTTTTCATGTTTCAATCTGAATCCTAAGTGATGGCATGGATTGGTTTAACCAGTTGCTCTGTATTATTTTAGCATAGAACTGACCATTGGCATCCCGCTCCCAAGATAATTTTCCTAAGGTGAGCTTTACCATGGAAGAAGATTGTGATTTTGATTTTATATCCCAAAATATATTTACTCAAAGTATGCTTTCCTCTGTATCCTAATAATTTAAGTTGGCTATTTTCCACAGAAAATTTCAATAACTTAAAAATGCTCAAAGTTATAAAATTACCTTAAGAACGAACTCAAAATGTATGGTGTTCTGAGGTCCAGGCGTTATGTGCTCGGGGTCCCTTACATCCTTGGCTAGATCATTACCCTTTCCAAAGTAGCTGGCCTCCTTGGGCTTATTATAAACTTACAAATGAGCAACTATAGAAGGAAGTAAAGTTCCTTAAGAAAGTGGATGCGGGCCATTTTAGCTTAAGTAGTAAGCAAACGAGCTGAAGCTACACTTATCAAGAAAGCAAACAGCTTTCTTCCATGTGCTGCCAAATTCTTTTAGAGTATCCTTATAAAACCTGCAAAATGGACTCAAAATTTATAGCTTAAAGCTAACACTTATAAAGAAGATCCGCATCCCAGGTTGTGAGTTTTGGGGATAGCACTTCAGAATGAGATAAAAGCTGCTTGAGGTTAGATACATATGAAGGCTTGTAAATATTTTGAAAAATGGAATTAATATGTGTTCTGGCAGCACAAAAGTCTTTTAGGTAGCCTTGAGTTATTTTAGAGTGAGGGAGCTTTCCCTTCACATCTCATTGTGCCAAGTAGGACTCCTGCTCTAAGATGTCTTACACACCTGGCTCTAAGCAGCAGCTGTAGTAATGCATATGTGATGTCGCTGCTGACCTCAAGAGGGGGCTCCACACATTGAGTAAAAACAAAGCAATCTTACATGGAGAGGCCTTCCTGACACTTGTCATCACTGCTGCCTTTGAATGTGTACCTTAGTGTCATCTCTGAGATAAGGGCCAGTTCTAATACATGTGGCTGATCAACAGGACATGGTTGAATACTTGGTAAGGACTTCTCTTTAGGAATGGTTTTCATGTATTAATCTAGTTTTAATTAATCTAAACATTGATGAACTTGATTATATTTTGGTGCAGAGCTGAACTGCTTTATCAGATGGGAAGTTTTGTCTCATGTTCACTAAATCCAAGTAAGTTTACCCTAGAATTATTAAAAACAGAGAGAAGTTCTAGTTTCATGTCTTTCACGCTTCTGAACAACAACTTTTTGTGCTATCTGTTCTCTGATTTACACCCACCAGACTAATTTACAAACAACTCCTTGCAGTGTATTAACGTTTCATGATGAGATGAAGTGGAAAGTGTTCTATGACACAAAAGCCCTTTACTCAAGGGGTACCGCAGGGTTGAGAAAAGCTTTCCACTCCAAATGGTGTCATTATGTTCTCTATAATGGGTGCGATTGTTTAATAATGACATATTTGAGCTGAGATGATTGAACATACATTATTTGAGTAATAAAAACTCAATAGGCTATGCCTTTTTAAGCAGTTAATGTATGCCTAGGGTAAGATAAGACAGAAAAGCCTCGTTGTCATCCTCCATAAAAAGAGCAAAATCTTAAAGGTGCAGGTTTGAAAGTATATTTCTGTAAACGGGATTTACACAGAAGGCTATCCTGTGTGCATAGCTGTTTCCTTTGAAAAGTTCCCTTTGTAGGAGCAACTTTGTTGAATAGATTCCTATTGAAATCCTATTAAAATAATGGTTTTTTTCCAGCTGAGGAGGATTGGCTTGCCTTCAGTTTTGCAAGTGGGAAGCTCTTCTAATTTTAGGAGAGCTCCCTAACCTGCCACTTGACCTAACCTCTTTAGGTTGATGAACTTGAAATACTGCTGCTTCTTGGTAATCAGGTTCAGTCCAAAATTTTTTTCTAAGTATGTACCATATAAGAGACACTGTGCCAGACCTTGGCGGGAATACAGTGTACTTTGTATTTACAGTCTCGCATGGAGACAGCCCTGAATATTACTAACCAAAATGCAGGACAGTGTGTGTTTAGTGTTGTAACGGAAGTGAGTAAGTAAAAATTAACTCAGACTGAGGAAGTATAAATCTGTCTTGTCCTTCATCACACACAGATAAAGCCAGGAGACAATATTTCTCCCAAGGACCTGCTACAGCTATAACCTGTCATAACTCCCTTCGAGTGACTATTTCCCTTCTTACTCGCTGAGAAACTTTCTTCTCTAAAATCACAGACTATCAGAAAATCTACGGTTGAAAGTTCTATCAGTAAGAATGAAACATCCCACTTTTACATAATTCACTTTGACAGAGAGAAGCAGCCTTGATTCCCAAAGGAAATGCAGAACTTCAGATAAGGACTTCTTGGACACACATTCCACATCTATCTTAACTATAGTTTCCATGGATACAGGATCCTAGGCCCACTTGCACACCTGATCCCTTTAGACACAGCCCTGCTTTGTTCTGAGCCTATGGAAATGCTGATTCATTTGAATTTTACCCTACCCTTAAATCTTAATTTCTGTGGTTCCTCTGTGTATAGTTTCCTTCATGATAATGGGTCATCTTTGTCAGACTATAGGTTTGTTAACAGTATTTGATACTGCAGACATGAGACCACGAAAACTGTATTGATTTTTTTATTTCAGTAATTCTCAATTTAGCATTATATATGTGTGTGTATTTACATAATATGTAACATATATCCCTTTATCCTGTTTTTTCCACTTTTAATGGTTTTGCCTTTTTTTTTCCTTTTTTTTTTCTTTTTTTCTTTTTTTTGAGACAGAGTCTTGCTCTATCACCCAGGCTTGAGTGCAGTGGCTTGATCTCACCCCATTGCAACCTCTGCCTCCTGGGTTCAAGTGATTCTTGTGCCTCAGTCTCCTGAGTAGCTGGAATTACAGGCATGCACCACCACACCCAGCTAATTTTTGTACTTTAGAGACGGGGTTTCAACATATTGGCCAGGCTTGTCTCGAACTCCTGACCTTAAGGGATCTGCCCAACTCTGCCTCCCAAAGTGCAGGGATTACAAGCGTGAGCCACCGTGCCCAGCCAGTTCCACCTGATTTTTAAAATTGCGTTGGCCAGCATTGGACACACAGTAAATGTTTAATAAATACTTTCCACGTTGAATCAAAGAAGTTTCCTATCTTAGCTATTTCCTTGAAACTTTCCTGAAGTTTGAAACCTAACAGATCATCAGTGACGTCCTCATCACAGTTTCACCTCTGCCTAATAAAGCACAAATTACTCTTAAGCAGTGAGGCGCTGTGCAGTTGAAGCCTTTTATAACTCCATTTGTCTGCAGTCACCTAAATGTCAGTGGACAGATGTGTTTGTCATAGTGTGTGATAAGTGCAAATAACCCTTGTTAGTAGTGTCATTAGAGGTGAAATAGATGCATAGGAACTAAGAGGTCATAAGCTGTCAGGTTTTACTCTAAGGAAATATAGAATGTCATTTGCACCTGAAAATGTGCAGAAGTAAATGGACAATTCTTCACCCCAATCTGTTTTTCAAAGCTTTGCATGTTTACATTTGTTCATCCACTACCTTAGTCACAGCATAGTGAAATAAACCATAAATTAAAAATAGCTCAGCGTACCACTGAAGAATCAATAGATCTGAATATAGTAGCGTAGAAAAAGCTTCGGTTTACTGGATGTACCTTCAAGGTGGACCATACCCTTTAGGTAGAGGATTAGTGGAGAACAGAAATCTCTGCCTCTCTATGGCTAGAAGTGGATCTATGTCATTGACCTACCTACAGTGGCACTTTTCCTTACTTGAAAGTTGGGTATACAGTGACCTCACCTACTCATAGAACCTGCAAAAGTGGGAATTAATAGAAAAAGGCTTTTGAGTAGCCAAAAAGGATTTGATAAAGTTAATATTCTAAGTTAGCCTGTTCTCTTACCACATAGTATGTCTCCTCAGTTCTTGTTTGCTTGATGCAAAGTTCTGAAGCTTAGTGACAAGGGACTTACCTTTGTCCCTGTTCCTACATCCTTCTAGGCTCTAACTGGTTTGATGAAGCGTGAGTAGCTCAGAGATATACATGCCAAGAACGGCCTGGAACAGTTTTATTGCCCCTCCCCTGCCCAACTCATTGAAGGAAACAGGAGGGAGTGAACCCGTCTCTTCTGCTGAATCCATTGCAGTCCACTTTTTTGTGTTCTAATGAGTATATTAAAATTGCAGTCTGAAGTCATTTCAGAGCTCCTATCCTTTACTACAAGCTGACTTAGGTGGGACTGCTCCAGCAACTTGGGGCTAAGAGGCACAGGGTCTGACTTCTCTCCCTGCTTCCCTACTCCTGCTCCATTAAGGGTGAGAGGTTGGGGAGTTTGCTGTCCTCTCTGTGATGACTTGTTGCTGCCAATCTGATTCCTAATGCTGTAGATTTATTAAGGCTAGATGGTGGAAGATTGGGCCCTGATGACAACGGAGCCATCCTGGGTTCCTCTGACCGTGATGAACCTCCTGGGAGAGGCAGCCACAGCTGAAGCACACACAGCTCCCTTCTGCTGTGGCAGCCCCACGAGCCTGCAAACCCCCATCTCATCACAGCCTCGGTTCTCAGCTCTGAGGCTGGCCAGACCTCCAACTGGTGGGTAAAACGCAGACATTTCCAAACACCAGGAAATATTTTCTTGGGTGGGTGGGAGTTGGGGGACAAACTGAATTTCTCCCTTGGACCATGAGAAGGAGAGAGAACCATTCTTGAGAAGAAAATTATTGTGAGGTGGTAACGCTCTCTCCCTCTGCAGCTGTCTTTATTGCCCCAGTTGGGAAACACTGTTTTATACATCACTATCTTATGTGTCTGCTGATGGAGTTTGCTGATGCTAAACAATGTCTCCAGGTCTCCAGGATGGTTTTCTTCCTGTCTGGGTCTCTTTCTACACCTCCTGCCAAGTCCTGCCTGCCCCAGTCCTTCTCTGGGGAATGGGTCTAGTTTTCAGGACCAGATGCATTGCCAGAGATTGTCAGACTGTGTCGAGCTCCTTTTCTCACATTTGATGGAAACAGTCTACACACATCAGCAAGCCCTGAATGCACTGTGTTAAATTAAAAATAACTATAAGCTTCCCAGTCATGGTCTTAAGTCTGGTTTTGATCATTTTTCCATGAAAGATTATTTAATTAAGTTAAATTCTTTAAGATAAATTGGGTTTAGAAATGATTAATAAGAGAAAGTACTTAAAGGAGTACATCCGGAAAACAAAGCTGCCAAGTAGGTAAATATAAAATTACTATCAAGCACCTACTATGTGCCAGGCAATGTTTTAGATATTTTGCATTTGATCCTGCAACCATTTCATGAATTAGCGTTGCTAACTCCATTTACAGAGGAGAAAATTGACAGTTGGTAAGGATAAAAGACTTGACCAAGGTTACAGAGAGTATTGCCTAGACCCTTTTGGATACAAGTAACAGAAAACTCCAATTCCAATTATTAATTAAATAAGAATGTCCTCTCACATCAAAGCAGTCTATAGGTAGGTGTCTCCAGGACTGATTGATTTAGTGGCCCACCAGCATCATCGGGGGTCCAGTATTTTCCCACCTTTTGTTGTGTCATTCTCAGCATGGAGGCTCTGTCCTTAGTTTGTCTTCTCCCTTTGTTGACAGATGGTGGTTGCTATTTCAGGCCCAGACATAATCAAATCCATGTGAAGAAAAGAGATTTCTTCCTGCGTGGCCCTTTGTAAGAGAAAGAAAATGTTCCTACAAGTCTTCCAGAGGAGTTCTTAATGGTGAGAACTGCACCATGTGTCTAGGTTGAATAGATTTCGAAGACAGGCTTAGTGAGACACCAGGTGAAAGGGTGTGTCCTACTAGAACAAAACCAGTTCTCTGTTTGGAAGAGGTGGGGAATGTACACGTTCATTGTTGGATACACACCAGCATTGTCTGCTGCACACAAAGTAGAGCAGGGATTCAAACCCCATTGTGTCTCATCTCAAACCTGCGTTTGTGTCTCATTCCCTAAGTCACACGCATGTGGGGGCTTACTGTGTTTGGCTATTATGAAAAATAGGATTGTAATAAACCCCAGATTTTGAGCAATTTACACTTAAGATTATGTTTGGGTTAGATAAACATTAAAATTTGTTCACTTTCTCTGAACATTGGCCAAATGGTGTGTGGAACCAGTTATGGTCTTGCAGAGTGTGGCTTTCTAATATTTAAAGCATTTAAAATTTATTTCCTTCTATCTGGTGTTAATAATCTTTTTAATATAGTGTCCCTCTCTCTCTCTCCCCTACTGGGGAGTGGTGGCTAATGAGGTTGGAAAGGTAGAGAGAGAGAAGAGGCCCTTGAATGTTAGGTTAAAGGATATAGATTTTTATGTTCCCTAAGGAATATGGAATCATTGAAAGTGTTATCCAGAGAAAGACATCACCCAAGCTATAATTAGGAAATTAATTTGTCGGAAGTGGATGAGAAGAATTGAGAGAAAAATTTGAGGTTTTACTTTTGTACGGGGTATGGCTCTCAGTCACCTGAGTCTGTTTTGCAGGAAATGCCCATTTCCTTATTTTCTTCAGGTTGTGTTTCAAGTTCCATTCTGCTGGGCTTGTAGGAAATTCAGTCTGAATATCATGATTTGGTACTCCTGCTTTCCCAAGCATGTTCTCAAATACGGAAAGATGACTAGGAGTCTGGGAGTCCTGGGAAGGATTCCTAATTTCCATCCCATCATGGTTGCCGTGGACGTCTTTGAAGCTGGGAGGCCTCCTGTGGCTTAGGGCATAGGAGCTTGGTCTCTAGGGACCAGGCTTTCTAGAGACACCACACAGCCATCCCTTCTGAAGTAGTGCTGCCTCTTCGGGTCTGCCATCAGTATGGCTTAGGAGGTTGCTCTCTTCACCCTCTCAGTCTCTGACCTCTTTGCAAACTGCATTCGGTGAAATTTATAGACCTTATTTATAGTTTGATGTGCTCTGATGAATTGAATACTCACATAAGCACACCCCAATCAAGATATAGCATATTCTTGTCACTCTAGAAATTCTCCTGTGCTTCCTTCCAGTCCATCCCCTCCCTACCTGGAAGCAGTCACTCTTCTAAATGTTATCCCCATAGTCTAATTTGCCTGTTCTAGAAATCCATATAAATAGAATCACGCAGGATACACTCTATAGCGTCCTGCTCCTTTTACCCAACATTGTATATGTGAGACTTGCCTGTATTATAGAAATCAATAGTTCATACCATTTTGTTGTTTAGTATTTCTTTTCTGTTGCTGAGTAGTATTCCACTCTTTTATCTTTTAGTCTTTCCCTCTCCTCCTGTTGTCCTCAAAAGCACTAACTGTGCTTTCTTCAATAAAAGCCAGGAAGCCTTCACCTGAAGCCAAGGATGCACAGGGTGCTTATTTTTTCATGGAATAGAGGAGGGAAAAGGCAGCACAAAAAACACAAGTTAGTATCTCAGGCAATTGGTCTGCCACATAATTATTCAGAGAAGAGACTATGAAGGCCTGGATTAGGGTGGAGCATGGGAACAGGGAGGAGAGGGGGCTATGAGAAGGCTAGTGCAGTGGTGGCATTGATGGGATTTAGGACATAATTAGACCTGGGGAAAGGCAGTGGAGGAAGGCCAATGCTGAGTTGTTTAGCCTGGGAGGTGACTGAGGTGACTGGTGTAGAGGTGAGGATGGATGTTGGTACAATATCTAGAATAAGAGGAGCCTATTTAGGAGGGAAAATGGTAAGTGCAGTTTGGTACCTGTTGATTTTGAGGGGTATATTGGAGATAATATCCATTATCTAGAAACAGATCGCTAGCAGAACTGAAAGTGAAGATAAAGAGTAATACATGAAGAGGTGAATGCTGAAACCTTGAGAAAAGAAAGGTAAAGGAGGGAAATAAGCCAAGAACAGGGCTTCGGGGAATGGCATGCAGGGGACCCAAGGAGGAAGAAGAGCCAAAAAAGGAAGGAGGGGGTGGCCACAGTATTATGAGTGGGAGCAGGGTGTCCTGGGAACGAGGAGAGCAAAGGACATGAAAGAAATAGCTGGCAGAAATGCCAAAGCCTACAGAGAGATGACAAAGATAAAGACTGAATAAAAGGTCATTACATTTCCCAGTTGGAAGATCACTGGTGGCCTTTGAGGGATCAACTTAAGAAGGGAAATGGGAATTGAAGAGGATTGCAAGGAGACCTGGAGTAAGGGAGAATAATGAGACAGCTCCAATCATTGGAAACAGCTCTTGTTATTTTTTTTTTTTTCAAGAAATATGCACTTAAAGAAGGAAAAAAGCTCAATGGTTGCGTGAGGGCTGGAGGATAGGTTGGAAGCGGGTTGCTTGGGTTAGTTCTCCTGGAAGCCTCGAGCATACCTGTGCGCTGAGGCTAAGGAGGCAGAAGTGAGAAGGGGCGGGTTTTGACTCAAGCTCCCAGAAGAGGCAACAGATGGTGGGATGGAAAGTGAGAGAAAAGTGGATTAATTCTGGAAAAGAGTGAGGGGTCAGTCCTCTTCTTGGAAAGCAGTGGAGGAGAGGATGGGTGATACATTCCAGGATGAGGAGGGAGCAGTCCCAGCTCTGGTTGTTTTCCAGCATGACCACAACCCCTCAAGAGATTTTTTTGCTGTATTTACTCTGAATACATGCGATTTATAAAATGTGCCCTTTAAGGACCAGGAGGCAGGATTTTGAAGCAGCACCTATAAAGGAGGCCTTTTCCAACAGCTCCAGGCAAGACAGTAGAGATGATCCCCCAAAAGTCAATCGGTAATCACTCTATCGTGTTCGTAGCAAATGGCAGCAAGTCCTAGGTTAGGAACCGTACTATGAAGTGTTAATAAGAGACACTGGGCACATGTCCTCTGATCAGATTAATCAGAGGCCAAACTACACGGCATTAACAACAGACATTAGCATTGGCTGGGTAGGTTGGCAAGGCGAAAGTGGGAAATACCAGACCTTGGATTCAGAAGCACTTGTCTGCACTCATTTTCAGAATTATATCTGCAGCACAAAAGGGACTCCCAGCATGTTGAATTGGCTTCACAATTAACATGATGCTTGGAAGCACACGGTTTGCTCAGGCTTGAGTTGTTCTGTGCTGCTTGAATGCACATCCGTTGGTGGCACACACAGGGGAGCAGTGATGCTGTGGTGTTTTCTACCTGACCTCCACAGGCCTGGCTATGTCCTGGAGGGCTCTGCTTGCTAGAAATTTGGCTACTCTGTAAAGGAATGTTACAGTTCTTGGAAATTCTAGTGAGTGTTCTCAGTATGCCCAGTGTGACAGGCCCAAATATACATCTATTAAACATACAGGAATGTATTTGTTGACCTTCTAGGGAGAAGGCACGTGTCCAAAGCTGCCCCACTTGCTCACATTGTGGTGGCTTCTGTATTCTGTATTACAGATTTTATCACTGATACCTCTAGAAAAAAGTGTCACTTCCCACCTCCCTTTCCCATTCCTGTGGATCTTGAGAATTTTTGTCAGTTTCTTCTCTTATCATGGTCTAACCCCAAACAACTTACAGTGGGTGCCACAGGTGTTAATATACAAAAGAATAAACAATATAGCTAGGATGATCTCTTCTTTCTGGAAGATTACTGTACACAAAGACACTACTTTTTCTAAACATTTAGAAATGAATTCCTAGAATTCTGTCATTGCAAACTGAGTGGGAACAATTCAGAAACTGAAGGCTGCAAGGGTTTGTCTCCTTCCAACTTCAGCCTTCCTTTCCCTCTCCCACAATGACCCTGGCCTTTTTGTGTGTATAAATTACCTCTGTCTGGGGTTGGATGGGGCACTGCGCTAAGCCTCTGGGAGAGGATGTGCTCTAGGCCTCCAGGAACTCATACGCTGTGACAGATGGTGGCAAATTAAACTGGCAGTTGAAAAAGCCAGAGTGTTTCCAGGGCTTCTGCTAGAGGAGTGGTTCCAGAGGGGTAGAGTCAGGCAAGATGAATAGCTGGAAAGTGGCCAAAAGCATTCCGTGAAAACCTATGTAGAAGAAGCTATTCCGGACCCTGTGTGTGCACACAAAGATAAAAGAGACCTATTTCTGTCCTATAATCTAGTAAGATTGACAACACACTGAAGGGAGCAGGGACAATGCTAGGCTGAATAGGAGTAGGAACAAAGGTTTATATGAGAGTGAGCCCAAAATTATAGCTGTAGTGTGGAAATGTGTGTGGATGGGTGAGCCTTGAATGACATGGTAAGAATGAGAGAAACTGAATGCTGCGGCTGGCCGGGACCCTAGGGATGACCTAGGCAATCCCCTCAATTTAAGCATGAGGAAACTGAGATCCCTCCCCAGCAAGGTGAAGTGACTTGTCCAAGGTCAGGGTCACTTAGGTACTTGATACTCAGTGATTAATAGCACAAATAATATCACCAGCGGCTAAGATGATCAAGCACCTATTGTACTCACTAGATTAATCACATCCTCACAGTAGGTTATTTTCGCTTGACAGATGAAGAAACTGAGACAGAAGAGGGTAAGTACCTTGCCCAAAGTCATGGAGCTGGTAATTGTTGGAAATCATGAGACTCGCACAGCAGTTGGGCTCCAGGGCCTATGCTCCTAACCTCTGAGCTACATGGCCCCTTGAGCCTCTAATTCCTGGGCCAGTGCTGCTTGTCCTTGAACCGGGCCTGGAAGGGGTTGGGGAGACACTGTACTCTCCTAAACAAGGGAGTGACCTGATGCAGGTGGCATTTAGTGATGCTTCATATGGCTTCAGTGGTCAAGGTGGACTAGAGAAGAAATGGAGAAGGGAGACCAGGTAGGACATGATCTAAATCCAGTTGTGATGCACATCTGGACTGCAGCAGGAATGGAAGATGGCACTGGACTGGAATGATTAGTTAGCAGTCATTTATTCTACAGTGTGAATTAGCCTGTCCTGTTGCTTATCCTGTGGGAAAAGAAAAACAACTGAAGGAAGGAATGGAGAGAGGGGAGAAAATAAAAAAGAGGGGAGGAATAGTATGTAAAGGGAAGGGCAAAGGAGCAAAAGTAGAAATGGAACAAAATTGATGATGACTTCACAATATTCCTCACCTAGTCCCTGGCCTTTTGGGTATAGTTTAATTTAAACCATCTATTTCTGTCAATTTCTCATTGAAGGAAGAGAACAAGAACAATGCCATCTCCTAGACAGCACGAGACCTTAACAAGGTAGTAGAAATCTCATGAGGAACCCAGCTGGTGTTCACAGATCAGGAACTCCCACAGGGAAGGACTTGCCACCCCACTGCTAGGACCCCATCAGAAGACGGCCCCATCAGCATGCAGCAGACACTGATGGGACCCCATTAGCAGACAGCAGACAGCTAGCTCTATGCTATAGAGACCCTCCTCATCCAAGGTCGCAGCCTTCGTGGGGCAACCCACATCCAGTGACTGACTGACACAGAAGGACAAAGCCAGGCCATTTTAGCCCAACATGGGCAAGCCTGACAGGCCATTAAAACTCCAAAGCTCCCTGTAGGGTGGGCCAAGACTCCTGCTGTGCCCTCTCACAGCTCAACTCCTCCCTCTACCCACTCCTGCCTCATCTCCCTTCCTTCCACAGGTATGGATCGGAGAACACTCCTTAATAAATCTCCTGCCCACTGAACTCTGCTCAGAGTCGGCTTCTGGGGAGCCCAGGCAGCATCATGGAGATTCTCTCTGGCTGCCTCATCTCTCCCCACCAAAACTCCAACTTCCTTTTGGTTAGGGAGTGCCTCCTTCCTCCTGCACCATGCACTTCCTCCACAAACCGTTTACATCATGGGGGATGATCTTTCCTGTGGAGACAGCCTCTGCTCTTCAGCTGAGGCAGAGGCTTAGTGGCCTCCCTTGCTGAAACCTTCAAACAGGCTTGGGGCAGGTTGGTTTATCTCCCCGTTGACAGCAGGTGTATACGGAACATGGAATCCCTTAACATTTTTTTGATTAGAAGCATGTTTTTTTTTTTTTTTTTAATTTCTGTGAGACCCCCTGGGTCAGGCTTCAGGATCTGCTGATAGACCTTCATCAGCAGGGGTGTGTGTGTTTCTGTGTGTGTGTGTGTCTAAATGTAAGTAACCACCAGAGCCTGCTTCAGTAATCAAGGGGAATTCATTGTTATAACAGAATAACCCATGAAGTTCAAGGGCCAGAATGCAGCCCAGGGATGTGGACTGCCTCAGGGCATAGGCAGAAGGGCCTCTCCAGCTGTCTCTGCTCTGGGCTGGTACTCACTCTGCAGGCCAGGCAGGGCTGCTGCTTTGTGCACATGGCAGCAGCAGCATGCCCCTAAGCGCTGGGGTCCACCCCACCGCAGATCCAGCTGCACTTGTTCGTGGTTTCTGAATACTGGTTCCAGATCTCAAGAGAGTGAGAATCTGACTGCCCAGCTTGAGCAAGTGGTCAACCCTGCTCACCCTGCTGTTTGGGGGCTAGTCCCACAAACATGGCAGACACCCCCGACCTCCTATAGGGGGTGCAGAGTCTCAGAGAGAGGGGCTGTGGTGAACAAAGGGGACAACCCTCCACAAAGGGCCCATGACACTGTGCGAACATGCCCACAGAGGGGTGGGTGCACCAATTAGAAAATGTTCGCATGAGATATGACTAGATTTCCCAAGAGACAACTCTCATAGATCAATGTGCCTGTCACGGAGGAGCAAGGAGTACGCTTGGAGAGGAAGAGGCAATGGGTAGCTATTTAAATTCATTGTAAACTGAGAAAACTGTAAACAGGGATGACGCTGCTTATGACATAGTCACATACACAGTGTCACATAGTTAAGGGGATCAGCCACATTGAGTGTGGATCTCTCCTCCTCTCGGAGCAACGTTCCTATTGACATTCGGAGAGGCACGCTGCCCCCAGATGCTCATTTTCAAACACAGGACGTGAGCAGTTTCACAAATATCCACCAGATGGTACCTTCCTACCAGAAATTAGGTTTCAGGTTGTGAAAATCCAAATTGTTTTTCCATTCCACGGACAAGCTATAGAATTAGATGCCTATCCTGGCTACGGTCAGAGGAAAGAAAATGGGTGAGAACCAATTCCAGGGAACGACCCACGGAGTTTTTATTCTCAAGAATACCAAACAGAACTTGCAGGGTCCTTTGTGTGGTGGAGGGAGGCAGCTGCTGTGGATGAGTCATGGAAAGGCCATGTGCAAGGGAAAGACCTTGAGGTTATCTCCGGAGAGGGGTTGGTTGTAAACATCCTCAATGGCACCTTTGTTTTATCCCACTAGTTGCCAAATACCTGTGATTCTGCACAGCGCTCCTGGAATGCTCAGAAATTATGACTGGTTACTCTGTCAAAGAAAGTCTTTGTTGTAGAAACTTCCTCATTTGTTCAGGCCTTTGGGTTCTAAGCCCTGAGCCATAGTCTCCCCCGGTTGTTTGCCTGTGTGGGCTAGGGAGGGTGACTGATGTTCACCGTGGGGTGACCACCTTGTCCTGGTTTGGCAGCTGCCTTCCTGCCTTTAGCAGTGACAGTAAAGCAAACCCAGGCGGTTGGTCATCTCGGTGCACTGAGCTGTACACACCAGGGACAGTGCTGGATCCTCACGCAGGTTCAATGAGCTGGGCGATTTGAGGTGGTAGATGCCGTCTTCACATGATTAATCATTTTGTTCTTGGCATTTTCCTAGTAGGTCTCCCTGCTTCCTTTTGCCAGAAAAGGTAAAGTTCTGGAGAAAGAGGTTTTTTCTTGGCTTTTGAGTTCAGGCCTTACAGAGGTAAAACCGAGTAGATGTGGGAGAACATGTGGTAAACAGATACAACTTTCCCGGGATGGGGAGAGAAAAATAGTGAAACTCCATCTCCACTAAAAATACAAAAACTAGCCCGGCGTGGTGGCACGCGCCTGTAATCCCAACTACTTGGGAGGCTGCGGCAGGTGAATCACTTGAAGCCGGGAGGTGAAGGCCGCAGTAACGCTGTTCCCTGCATTGGATGAAGTGCTCCCCACCAAACTCTCTCACCGGAGAGGGTGGGATCTGCGGGCTCCCTGGGTGGCTTGATTTCGACACCCTGTGGGCTGCCTTCCACTCTGGTACTTTCCTCTGCCTGCTGATGCTTGAAATTCCTTGAACCGGCCACACACACCTGCTTTCTGGAATCAGAACACTGGAAAGGCTTCCTGGGACGGGAGAAGAGTGATTTACATTCCTGCCGAGGTGTAAAGCTGCGGATGGCAGGTTCTCTCCTGAGAACCGGCTTCAACTAGGAGGAGGAGGTTGGAAGCAGGACCCCGAGCTGACCTGTTGACCAGGAGAGGAGTAAGCAGAAGGGAGGCAGGAGCGGGCGGAGGAGAGAAGGCCGGGGAGCCGGGATGGGGGTCACCGCCCCCGGGGAGCCGGGATGGGGGTCACCGCCCCCGGGGAGCCCGGATGGGGGTCACCGCCCCCGCCCCCGTGATGCCGAGCTGAAAAAGACAGTCTCCAGGTAGGATAATCCGTCACACTAGATGCATATAGCTTCATGCAAGAAGAGCGACTGTTGCGCTGTCTTCTACCCCCTTTGGCCGCGATCCCGTGACAATGCCGGCATCCGGGCACCAACTGGCTTTTGCGAACCGCTCTCCGCTCCCCGCCCGGATTCCGAAGCCCGGAGCCGTTTACAGTTTGAGGCGCCGTGTGCCGCCCCCTGGTGGCCGGAGGCCGTTACTGTCGCGGCTGAGGGGGCGTCCCGGTGTATCCGCAGCGCGCCCTGGCCGCCCTCTGGTGGCCGGAGGCCGTTACTGTCGCGGCTGAGGGGGCGTCCCGGTGTATCCGCAGCGCGCCCTGGCCGCCCCCTGGTGGCCGGAGGCCGTTACTGTCGCGGCTGAGGGGGCGTCCCGGTGTATCCGCAGCGCGCCCTGGCCGACCCCTGGTGGCCGGAGGCCGTTACTGTCGCGGCTGAAGGGGCGTGTCCCGGTGTATCCGCAGCGCGCCCTGGCTGCCCCCTGGTGGCCGGAGGCCGTTACTGTCGCGGCTGAGGGGGCGTCCCGGTGTATCCGCAGCGCGCCCTGTCCCGCCATATACATTCCGTGCTTTTCAAACACCCGCCGTGGGCTAAGCATGGGACCCACGTGGGGCGGGGACACACGGCGATAAAGAGCCAGGCCCTCGCTGCCAAGGAGCTTTCCCGTAACACCGATGCATCAAACAAAAGGTAGTAAAAGTGCCTGGGTTTTTGCGTTGAAATATCTTTCCCTTCAACTCCCCACAAGGTGCTTTTACTCCCCGTCATCACCACCGCCTGCCAGAGGCAGTAAACTTGGGTCCAGCGGGCCCCTGTCAAGCTGCATAACCACACAGTGAGAGGCTGTCTAGAGAAAGGCGTTTGTTCAGGAGCAGAGCGTTGCAACGGTAACACGCATGTCATAGTAAACTGTGCATATTCGAGGAGGCAGAGGAAGAAAGGAAGAGGAAGGTTTTCAAAGAGAAAGTAAGGAGGATTTCATAATTGTTTTCAAATGGTTATCCTTGGCTACAGAGATCAATAACAAGGGGTTGCCAGTCCAAGGTTAGACAGGCAGTTGCTGGGCGAATGTCCTTGTGGAGGTTTTTTTTTGTTTTTTTTTTTTTATATATATGTGTAAGGCTGTGATGGCCTTTGTGCAAGGTTATGGTTTTGTAGAGCCTTTTGTGTTAGTTTTTGTTATCAGGCATACAAGTGTGGGAGTGCTTTCTTCTTAGCTTTCCCTAGCTCTATTTGTCAAGTTTTTTTTGGTTTGTTTTTTGTTTTTTTTTCCCAAGATGGCGTCTTGCTCTGTCACCCAGACTGGAGTGCAGTGGCACGATCTCGGCTCACTGCAACCTCCACCTCCTGGGTTCAAGCGATTCTCCCGCCTCAGCCTCCTGAGTAGCTGGGAGGTGCCCGCCACCACGCCCAGCTAATTTTTGTATTTTTAGTAGAGACGGGGTTTCACCATGTTGGCCAGGCTGGTCTCGAACTCCTGACCTCAGGTGATCCGCCTGCCTCAGTCTCCCAAAGTGCTGGGATTACAGGCGTGGGCCACTGCGCACAGCCTGAGTTTTTTTTTTTTTAAAGAAAAAACATTAGTAACTCCATTTTGATTCTTACAACTTCCACACCACCTAGCACTTTATCTCCAACCCTCGGGGACAGCTGGTCTTGTAGACTCTGGCAATTCTAGACAATAACCTCACAGACAAACCATGATTACTCATTTCCCTGGGGCATGGCTGCTCTCAGCCCTTCTACATCCCCAGTCCTACTTATTTGCTTATCTCCTGGCCAGGCAAACCTCCTTTCCCCATGAAGTCCTTCCATGCCTGCTCCAAACCCACATGGCCTCTTTATTCTCAGGACTTCTCTCTACCATTATTTTTTTCGTTTTTTTTTTTTTTTTTTTTTTTTTTTAATTTTTATTTTCCAAGTAGACGTGAAGTTCCCCGATGGCTGAGGCTGTGTTACACCAATTTTCTACCCATCCTTCCTTCTTAAATTATGTCCCAGAGCTCCCAAGTTTCTCTTTTATTATGTACAGAAACTGCCTTCTTCCTTTCAAATATTGGGGCTACACTTAGGCCTCATCAACATATTCCCTCACCAGAGATGGGAAGTAGTTAAGTCAGGATAGGCTAAGTTATTGGCAGTAACAATCCTCAATCTCTGTGGGTTAAAATAACAAGGTTTATTTCTTCCTGATGTTTCACAACTACCGTGAATCACTTAAGGATAGGGTTGCCAGATTTAGCAAAGAAAAATACAAGACATTCAAATTTGAATTTCAGATAATCGGCGAATTTTTTAGTATAGGTATGTCTCAAATGTTGCATACTAAAAATTATTATTTTTTCCTAAAATTCGGGTGTAACTGGCCATCCTGTATTTGAGCTGACAATCTTGCTGAGGGGTCTGCTCCGTCTCCTCACTCAGGACTCAGGCTAACGGTGCCTCCACTCGTCAATAGCCCAGAAGAGAGAAAGGGGATGTGGTAATTTGCACACTGGCTCTTGGAGTGTTTTTGGATGGAGTAATCTACAACACTTCCAATCGCATGTCTTTGGTCAAGGCTAGCCAGGAGGCCATTCCTAACCTGGAAGGGGTGGGGAAATGAAGTCCTACCCTGTGCTCAGAAGAAGTGAGCACTAGGTTATTGGTAAACAGCCCAAATCACTACCATGGTTAGAGGTATTTCCATAACTGCTGTTAGGAAAAACTGATTTCTCCATCTTATTAAAAGAAATTAGAGGTGAGGGTGGGGGTGAAGGCAAAAGAAAAAAACCAGAAATTTGTATTAAGCATAATCTTTTTCCTTGTAATTTCTATCTAGTGGTTAACCATTGCTTTCTAGTGAGCAGAAAATAGCTTTCCATACCCACTTAAATATGTGAAAATAAGTAAATGTTGCATTCCCTTATCTTTTCTTCTCAGGATTAGGTGCCTCCCCATTTTTTTTTTTTTACCACACTTTCCTCATACGATGTAGTTTCCAGAACTTTATTTACCATTGATAATATATACTAACTGAATTGTAGCAGGCTGTATTCACTAAGTGAGCCAAACCGCGCCCAGCCTCATTTTATTATTATTTTGTGGTTCTAGATACAGACTAGACTCAAACATAGAAGAAAGCAATTTATTTTGAGATGGTGGCAAGTCAGGGGAGCCTCTAAGTCCTACTTGTTGGAGTTTTTTGGTTGCCCTGTGACCTCTCGCCTTTGGCTTCCTCATTAGATATTAAAGACATTGGCGGTAACACTGGAATGGATGTGAAGATGGGAGAGGTCTACCCATAGCCCATTCTACAGAGCAGAACTGAGGCTCAGATATTGAGGTAGATTAAAGATGGCTGCCAGTTCAGTGCCACTTGTCCCGTTGAACTGTGAAGTCTTATCCCCCTCCTTGGGTCTGCACCAGCCTTGATGACTTGCTCACTACAATGTGGTAGAAGTGATGGTGCATGACTTCCAAGGTTAGATCAGAAGAAGCCTTGAAGTTCCTGCCTTGGTCTCTTGAAACAACTTACCGTGTAAGAAGTCTGACACCCTGAGACCGCCATGTTGGCACAGTTATGGGTGGATGCTCCAGTAGATGGATCCAGCTGAGCCCAGCCCTCCAGCCATTCCCACCCCCAAACCATGGGTGAAACTGTCTTGGACCCTCCAGTCCAGCCCACTCAACATCTAAATACCACAGACTGACCTCAGCTGATACCATCACCCAGTTAAAATGTGCCTGAAACTGACCCACAAAATCATGAGATAAACTAAAATGGTTGTTGTCCTAAGCCACTAAGATAATAGAGCAGATATATATGCACTTAACACTCTCTCCCGGGGGTCTGCTTTTCCTTTCCCCATTTTGTGTTGCACGCCTGGTTGTTCTCACAGATTTCATGAGTGGGGAGGTGTGATGAGCCTGGGATATTCATCTTCAACAGAAACAATCCAGATAAACTCTTCATTCAAACAGGGTTTGGGCTGCACTGCAATTTTGTTGTCAAATTGGATTTGGAGGTGCTCAGGTTTAGCAAGCACTTCCATGGGAAAGAGAACTCTGTTGGATGGTAATGTAAGAGGACTCTGTCTACAGAAATAAGGTGAGACAGCTCAGTGCAGTTTAACAATTGTGCCATGTGCTTAACTAATCTCTTTCTTACAGTTACTCTTTGAAGTGAGTATTGTTTCCATTATACAGACAAGTAAATTGAGGCCAGGCAGCACAAGCAGTAAGTGCCAGATGGGATTTCAAACCAGGCTTGTTTACCAGATAGGCTACCATGAGGTTAATGCCCAAGAGACAGACCTAAACATTCATTTTATAAATGAGAAGACTGAAGACCAGAGAGATTAAGTAGTTTTGCTGCTGTGCTCTATAACTAACCACGCCTTTTCTGGCCAGTAGACTCCAGCCTGATCCTCAAGGCTCTCTGGAGTGTAGGCCAAAGCCATGCTGAGTGAGTGTCTTCGGGAGTGCTATTTTACGAGGGAAATAGAAGAGATGATATCTGTACTTCCATTTCTAGTATGTTCCCAGAGAAAGCAAGTCCCTGATCACCTTCTGTTTCATTCGTGGCAGAAGGCTGGGGACTGTGATTTGGTGGATGAACAGTTAGTACCTCCAAAATGCTGGATTGCTGTCATGTGCTTTTCTCTGGAGAGAGCATCCTCTCAAGAAAACATCCATCCCTGTGATCTGGCAGAGGTCACAAAGATAGTTCCATCTTTGCTCCACAGCACGGAAAACGGGAGATATAGTAAATCAGTGGAGCTATTCTGGGATCACAGGCTACTCAAAAGACCATTCCTGGCTTCTCTTGCATCTCTCAGGCTGCCTGGGCGCGGGACCCAAGTCAGCATCCATCAGCAGCAGGGGGAGTGGTGCAGAGGCTGGTGCGGAACGTTACGTATTTACAAATAGAACAAGGACCCGGTGTGACTTGGATAAAGAGAAGTCCAAATAGGGTCAGAAATTCTAAGTTGAAATCACTCTGGAGATTAAGTATTTATGAAGCACTTTGTACCCACAAAATGAATTTGAATCATTTATCATCCAAACTCACAGTGTCATAGTAACATATAAGTATCTGGGTTATGGCTAAGGACCCAAACTTGAACTACTACCTGTATAAAAAGGGGACATTTTTATGCACGTGGGTCCTGTTTTTAATGCTATTGTGGAGCAAAATCAAGAATTTTAAAAATAAATACCTGAGTCTTGATCCAGACCCATCATGACTGTGGAAACCTGTAATTCTCTCCTGTGACACTTCTGAAATGGTGGCTCTCCTGTCGCAGGCAGCAGTGAAAGGCGGATTCTTTCCGATGAATCTCTAATAACCCTCCCTTCTTTGTCTCACAACGTGGTGATTTGCCTTGTGTAGCTCTTTATGTTCTGAGATGAGCAGATGACAGATTGGGATGCTGGAGATTTTGAATGTGCACACGGCTGAGAAGACCACGCCAGTTGGCTTACATGCCGAATTCAAGGTGAAAACTGCTTTGGGTTGTGGTAGTTGAAGCTGTTTGCAAAATCAGGAGCTGACTGTGGCTCTGCTGGTTATCCAGAAGCCTCCAGGAAGTCATAGTACATCTCATTTCTCCTCTGACTGTTCAAATGACCTCTTTCACAAAAATACTTCTCTACTTAATCTACCCTCTCTCCAATTGTCTAAAACCCCACTTTACTTCTTAGAATTATTGACCATAGGATCTAAAAGGAATTGTATAGATTATTTCATCCAACCTTCTTATTTCATTAATGAGGAAACTGAGAGTCTAAAATGTTAAAATAAGACTAGAATACAAGTATTTCAAGTCTTCTTTCAATCTTGTAATGTTTGATTTTGTTAAACATGTATCCCATAGCTACATTGAATGCTTTTTACTTTGGATTCTTCTCCATTCCCTAGTATGCCTTACTCAGGGCTCATTCATAGCACAGAAATGTCTGATCAGCAGTTGACTGGTAGTGGCTGCCTGGAGTGCTCTGCTTAGGAGGAGCCAGCGGAATAGATCTCACGGTTTCTCTCCAGATGTGACCTCTACTGAGATAACTTTGATCACCCTAGCTAAAAAGTGTCGTCTCTCCCCGATTCCCTTAGGCACACATTATCCCCTTTCCTTACCTAATTGTACTCCTATCACCTCTCATTAACTAAAATTATTTTTCTTGTGTATTGCCTTATTTCCCCACGAGAATGTAAGTTCCAAGAGGGCAGGGACTTTGTTTGTCTCAACCACTGCAGGGTCTGCTGTGCTTATGAGAGTGCTGACATGTAGGAGTCACTCAATAAATAACTGTGGAATAGATGGCCAAATGCTGCCATTGATTAGTGATGTCTGCCGTGGGCAATGGAGAGACAAATTACTGGGGTCAACGCAAAGCTTTTGTCACCGGTGGTTATTGGCCAACCAACCAATCCCAGATGCAAGACTGGTTTCCTTTTGACATTCAATTTAATTCTGGGCCATTGTGGGATAACCAGTTATTAGATACTCTGGAAGGAAGAATTCCCTGAATCACTAGTTAGGCAACTTAAAAGAAGAAAGGCACATTTTCTGCTATCTCTTCTCCTCATTGTCTTATTCATCATGACACTTCTACAACGTTGCAGAATTCTTAGCACATAGTAGGCGCACAATAAATATTTATTCACTGATAATTTGTGCTTTCTCAATGTCATTTTAAGAGGATTTTGTAAAACTTTCCTGCTAATCTGAAAGAGCTGCACCACAGAACACAGTATATAGCTCAAAGTACACAGTACGTATTGGTGTGCCTGATTGAGACTCAGGTGTACAAAGCCATGAGCAAAGTTCAGGTAAATATCCAAATTAAACTGTTCTAAAGTAGGTTGAGCAGCATCCTTTACCTTAGCCCTGAATATTGGCTGTTCTTAAAGTAGGTTGAGCAGCTTCCATTACCTTAGCCCTGAATATTGGCTGTTCTTATCCATCTTCTCCTTGAAGTCAATATTTGAAATAGGCTTTTGTGAGGCAGGAGAGGCTTAAGAAAAGTAAAAAAACCAAAGAGGGATTTAGTGCTTAAATATATTTATGAATTCATCTCAATTTCTCTTTATCTCTTTTTAAAGAGCTGTGGTATATGTGAAAACGTTTGTAGCAGGTAGAGGTTTTTGAAAATTGGCTCATTTTTAACCCAGTCGATACTGTTGTTTCATGTCAAAAGCAGGATATGATGCAGTGCCCTGATAGATCTGATTTACTGTTCTCTAGGACTCTGGGGTTGTATACCATCTATACTCTCCCAAATTTGATGGTGTCAATATGACCTAACGTTTAATTATTTGCATAGCCTATTTAAAATTAAAATAGCAACAGGCTCTGAGTTCTTTTCAAGCTTTAATACACTCTCCCTTTAAAAATATATTTTTCATAAATTACTCTGCTGTCTGGCAGGCCATCCCATTCTTCAGTTCCTGTAATAAAAGGGGATGGTGTGATGTGGGTGTGAAACGCAGAGGAGAGCACCATGGTTAAACAAGAGCGGACACTGATCAAATCCATTAATCAAAGTGCCTTTTAAATCTCTGCAAGTTGAGAACTGTAGCATCCAGGGATTTGATTAAAGAGGAAATATAAAATGGCAGAAGAGGCCAATAGCTGCCTGGGCAGGTCACCTCTCAGAGCCCCTGATTAATGGAACGTGGCTTTCAATGGAATTTGTTTTCTCTGAATCATCTTTTGGAGCTTATTTGCTAAGAAAAGGTGGATTTGAGCTGCAATATCTCCTTGTGGCTATTGGAAAAACACCAATACGGCAGAAACTTGAAAATCTCTTCAGGCTGGCCTCTTATGCCTTTTCCTCTTTGGATTATCCCAACTCCCCTGATTTCCACGTAACCCAAATAACTTCACAAGGGTAACATCACTGTCCAATTTCAGTGTTCTAAAGGCAAGGATTCCTAAGCACTATTGAAGCAGGTTTTTACCCTAGAGGTGAATACCTATTATCATCAGTGCCATTCAGTCGTTTGTTGGCTTGTTTGTTCATTATTTTATTTAATCCATTTATTCAGAAATACTTCTTGAACATTTATGTCTAAGCCCAAAATTATATGTCAGAAGAAAGGTGAAAAGCCTCCGTGCCTGTCCTCTAAGTGCCTTCAGTGTGGTGGAGAGAGGTCAAGAAACACCTGCTATAAAATACGGCGAGTTCTGGCTACCCTGGAGGCTATGCCCTGGAGGAATGATGGGAGCAAGTAGGAAGGAACTCTGAAACCTCTGGGGGGTGGTGTTGTGGAGTGTTCCCAGGGAGGTTCTCAATTGGAGAGGAGTTGGGAGGTTGGGCAGGGGGAGAGCCAGGGCGAGTGAAGGCACCTGCGCTGAGTAGAGGAGACAGAGCATAGAGTGCTTGGGAATGGCAAGTGCAGCCACAGTGTGGAGGATGCAGGGGCAAAGGTGTGGATAGGCCAGCAGGAGCCTGTGGGAGAGGACTTCTATTTCAGGGGGAGATGGGAAGCCATTCCAGGATTTTCAATGAGGAACATGCTAGAAAGACAGCTCCTGGGGCATTGTGGAGAATAGGTAAGAGTTGGAAAAGATTTGAGTGAGGGAGAAAACTAGGAGCTGAGCCCAAATCTTGGAGAGAAATGGCTAGAGTATGAGCTAATAAGGGAAGTGGAAAAAGGAAATTTGAGATGTATTTGAGAAATCTACAGGATCAATGTGAGGCAAGCCAAATCTGGCGAGAAGTAGGACTTCACCTGTGTTCAAGGTTGCATTTACTTTGGTTTGCTTACAAAACCTCAAATCAGCAAACTAATGCCATTTGTGGGATTAGAACAAAGACCTCCCACTGCCCTTCTTGTTTCTAGAGGTTTCCCATATTTTGCAGATGTTGGTAATCCACTTAAGTGACATGCCCACCAGGCCAGAGAGGCTAAGAACTGTGAGTTTTATGGGCTTGGTTACATTAGCACCTAGAATCACTAATAGTTCCATGCAAGGCAGGTCACACTCCTCACACTAAAGTCTGAATTCTGGGTCTTGAAGTTCTGGATTGAACAATTTTTCTTTTCTCTCCATATGATTCTGGACCTGAACACTTCTTATCTATTTTGTGATCTTTCTCTGGGTAGGACTGGCCAAAGCTTATGATACAAAGCTTTGTATCATGAAGGGAAGAGTGTAGGTGGTCTCCCAGGCTGCTGGTTCAGGTGAATGGGTACATGGTCGTGCCATTCATTCACCTTCATGGTAAACACAAAGAAGAGATAGGATTCGATAAGGTAAGAAACTTTAAGGTATGTGTGCTTGAGCTGTTTGTTGGACTCCAGAGAGGTTTAGGTCTGGAGTTGAAGTTTAGGTCTCCCTGGGATAGTAGTAGATATTTGAGATTTAAAAAAGATGTGGCAAAAACCATCATTGTGTGTGAAGGATGGAGGATGTGTAGAACATCAGGACAGAGCCCTGTGAAACATTCATATTTAATCAGAGGAAGAGAAGTGCTATGGACTGAAGGTTTGTGTTACCCTCAAATTCATAAGTTCAAGCCCTAACTTCCAGTTTGATGGTATTTTGAGATGGGGCTTTGAGAGGTGACTAGGGTTAGATAAAGCCATGAGGATGGGGCCTTTCTGATGGGATTAGTGGACTTATAAGAAGGAAGAGGGAGAAGTCTCATTCTCTCTTTATGTGCATAAACTGAGAAAAGGAATGTAAGGACATAGCAAGAAGGCAGCTGTCTGCAAGCCAGCAAGAGAGCCCTCACCAGGAACCAAACTAGCTGGCACCTTGGTCTTGGACTTCTCAGCTTCCAGAACTGTGGGAAACAATTTCTGCTGTTTAATCTGCCCAGTCTATGGTGTTTCGTTATAGTAGCCCAAATTGACTAAAACAAGGAGCCTGTAAAAAAGAATAAAAAGACTAACAAGGCCAGGTGAGGTGGCTCACGCCTGTAATCCCAGCACTTTGGGAGGCTGAGGTGGGTGGGTCGCCTGAGGTCAGGAGTTTGAGACAAGCCTGGCCAACATAGTGAAACCCCATCTCTACTAAAAATACAAAAAATTAGCTGGGCATGGTGGCAGGTGCCTGTAATCCCAGCTACTCGGGAGGCTGAGGCAGGAGAATTGCTTGAACTCTGGAGGCAGAGTTTGCAGTGAGCCGAGATCGCGCCACTGCACTCCAGCCTGGGCAACAAGAGCAAAACTCCTTCTCAAAAACAAACAAACAAACAAACAAAAAGCTAACAAGAGGGCTAAGGGGAGAAGCAGGGCATAATAGCTCCATGGAGGTGAAAGAATTAGGCTGGTGTAAAGAGAAATGGCAGTTCAACTGTGTGAAAAAAAGATACAAATTTCGGGTGTGCATTGGGCTCATAGGTCTATTTTGTGCTTAAAGTTGTTGTCCACGTGTGTTATATGCAGCACTTTCAGATAGAATAAATGAAGAAACACCCATTCTGATCACCAACATAGTTGTAATTAAAAATTTAGTTTTCTTATATTACAATGGTGACAACTATTTATTGTAGGAAAAAAATTAGATTAGGATAAAGAAAAACCAAAAATATGTAAAAGAAATATCTTTGCTAATATTACTATTCAGTGAAACTGCTTTTATTAGGTTGTTGCAAAAGTAATTGTGGCTTTTGCTATCACCTTCAATGGCAAAAACCACAATTACTTTTGCACCAACCTAATTAAATCTCTGGTTCCTGTATGCCCTTCCTTGCTCTTTTATTCTGTCTCTTCCACATTTACATATTCACACGTATATTTACACGTTCACACGTATGTATAATAAATAAACGGGATCGCATTGCTGTGTAACCTGCTTTTTCAATCTAATGAACGCGTTCTATGCCAATACATATTTATCCATAGAATAATTTTTAAAATGGCTATAACCAATCTCCTATTGTTGGACATTTAGGTTGCTACTATAAATAACATTGTAAGGACTATCTTTATGGCCACAAATTAATTCTTATTCTTAATTAGTTGCTTGGGTTAACTTCCTTAAAGTAGAATTGTAGAATCAAAAAGCATTCACATTTTTAAGAAAGCATCGTTAATATCCAACTGTTTGTATGTTATATATATGCAATACTGAGAGATAGGCTTTAAGGCAGGCTTTGTTAACTTAGGTAATTGTTGAATTAGGTTATTGACTAATCCATTACCATTTTATTGAGACCTATATGCAGCTCACTATGCATATTTAGGTAACATGAATACTAAAATATTTAGAGCAAATTCTGATGGCAACTTTTAGTTATTTTATATCAAGGAAGTGACTAGAATCCATAACTGGTGAGGCCAAGAGAATAATCTCTCTTAAAGGCTATTTTAGATATTTTTCTGTTATCCATATGCTGCACTTATTTGTGCTAAGTTCTTAGTATTTACTTGCTCGCTTGTTCAATGTTCTGTCTTAAGGTACTGAATTTTTCTTAAATATTTTCGTTGGAAGATTTTATTGCTTGCTAGTTGCCTGCTTTTCTACAGATGAGAAATGCCACTGTGAGGTCTGTCTTCTCCCTTTCTAGGTAGAAGTTCTGTGCTCCCTGAGGTGATGAGTACTTTTGGGTACCATGATGGCTGAGGAGCACTTTAAATCTCTTCTGGTGGGAAGAGCTCCATCTAGGTGGTAATCTGAGCTGAAAATGGATCCTTCACTTAGTAGTATTGCGGTGATTCCCATGCAGGGCTGAGCACATGACTGCTTACCCACCTCATTCATCCATGCAGTAAATAGTTATCAAGGATCGGCTATGTGTTGGGCACTGATTGATGACACTTGGGAGCAAAACAGACAGCACCTCTGTCCATGCGGGGCTTTCGTTCTTGCAGGGGGCTCAGAATAAAAAAAAAATCAAGATTGTATTACATGATTATAAGTGTCATGGTGGCAATAGAACATATTCATATAATACGTGTGACCGGGGTAGTGGTAGGAGACTGTGTCACTGGATTGGTTGAGGAGTTAATGTTTGAGCTGAGAACTGAATAACAATTAAGAAGTAGCCAGTCTTGGGAAGATCTGAGGAAATGATACTTAGCGGAGAAGAATGTAAATGTAGAACCCCTGAAGAGGACTAAGTTGGGTATGTTTGAGCCACAGAAAGAGGGCCAGTGGGTCATTTTGAACACACAGAGGGTGGTTAGAGATGAGCTGCAGGCAGGTGGGGAAAGATGATGTGGAGTCTGTAGGCCACAGCAAGGAAAACTGGATACATTCAAAGTGTGATGAGAAGCTTTAGTGTGTTTTAAGCCAGAGAGTGACATGACTGTTTTACATTTAGAAAAGTTTGTGGGAAATGGATCCCTAGTTTAGCCAGGAAATTGCCTGTTAGGAAATCAATAAGGAATTTTTAGAATATGAGAACACTAAAACCGTGCTGAATTCTTCTGAAAGGCTAAGTTAGATGAGGGCAGAAAATCATCCTCTGGGTTCAGCAGGGTGGAAGCCATTGAGGACTTGGGTAAGAGGGTCTTCATTTCAGAAACGATGATGGAAAACTGAGTAGAGTGGGCTGAGGAGAGAATGGCGATCTGGGGGAAAACTGAGATGAAGAAACTCTGGGCCTGGGTCAGCCACACAGCTAAGGCTAGAAGCAAGGCGAGGTGGTGAAAAAGGGACCAAGGGAAACTACATACTGAGCAAGGCAACCTCCAGCGCCCTTGGCTTTCTCAGCAGTCACAATACTGGCAGCCATCCCTATGTGTGCAAGGCAGGAGTCTGGGGGACTTCTGTCTGGAGAAACTGTCTAGTGAAGACAAAAGAACTCCAGATGCTGACATCTGACGAACCTAAAGAAAGGGGCCAGATACCCACCCCATGACTGTACAGTGAGGTACACCAGTGAGTATACTGCACTCCCACACCCATGGCTTCTGGCTGCATTCTCATGCCTTACTTTTAAACATATGCAGAAACCCAAAGAAGAACATACATTTGAAGCATCCTCTATTGTGAAATACAGAGACCAAACCTGACAAACAGGAAAAAAGAACCCAGAGAAAACAGACAATGTAGAGACCAAACACTTCAAAACACCATAATAAATATTTTCAGAGACATAAGAGGAGATTTTACATACATAGAAAAAGAAGAGGGTACTATTGAAAAGGACCATTCAGAGAAAAAGATAGAGGATTGGAATTTTAAAATATGATAGAAGAATTGGCACAGAAAGTTGAGGAAATCTTCCACAATGTAAAACATAACAAGAACAAAAAGAGATGGAAAAAGAAAAGTTAAAAAATTGACATCACTTTGATAAAATAAAAATGAAAGATAAAGCTTAGGAGTTTGTCAAAATCAAAATGTTAAGCTACTATAAAACAGAAAATTTTTAATGCTGGGTATTAAATGAAATGAAAAAAGCATATTTATTGACATAGAAAGGTAGTTACAATCGGCCGGGCACGGTGGCTCACGCCTGTAATCCCAGCACTTTGGGAGGCCGAGGCAGGTGGATCACAAGGTCAGGAGATTGAGACCATCCTGGCTAACATGGTGAAACCCTATCTCTACTAAAAATACAAAAAATTAGCCGGGTCTGGTTGCAGGCACCTGTACTCCCAGCTACTCGGGAGGCTGAGGCAGGAGAATGGCGTGAACCCGGGAGGCGGAGCTTGCAGTGACCCGAGATTGCACTACACTGCACTCCAGCCTGGGCGACAGAGCCAGACTCCATCTCAAAAAAAAAAAAAAAGAAAAAGAAAGGTAGTTACAATCATTTAAGTTAAAAAGTATGGTTTACAGAATAATCGCTGGTTTGTTAAATTAAAAAAGTTATATTCATGCAAAACAAACCATAGAATATGTACATCAAAGTAAGCTTATCATTGGATTGTGATATTATGGGTTATATTATTTAGGGTAGGCTGAACTCTTATAACAAATAGACCCCAATATTTAATGGGCTCAAACTGTTTTCCAACAACTCTATTGAGGTATAATTCATATGCCATACAATCACCCTACTTAAAGTTACAATTCAGTGTTTTCCAGTAAATTAACAGAAATGTACAATCATCACCATAGTCAATTTTGGAACATTTTGGCCACCTCAAAAAGAAATCCTGTACCCTTTAGTTATCATTCCCCCGCATTGCCATCCTCCCAACCCTAAGCACCCACTGGACCTCTGTCTCTGTAGATTTCCCTATTTTAGATATTTTACATATATGAAATCATATGATATCTGGTTATCTTAGTTCAATTTCTGTTGCTTATCAGAATACCTGAAAATGGGTAATTTGTAAAGAAAAGTCATTTATTTCTTGTAAATATGGAGGCTGAGAAGTCCAAGTTCAAGGGGCCACATCTGGTGAGAGTCTTCTTGCTAGTGGGGGCTCTGGCTTGCCAAGGGGGCTGGGTGTGCTAAGGTGCTCTCATGTGCTAGCTCACATATCTCTTTCTTCTTTTAAAAGGCTAACCATGATAACCCATATAATCTGTCAATCCACGAATGGATAGGTCCATTGATAAAGGCAGAACCCTCACTGAGTGTGCTAAGGTGCTCTCATGTGCTAGCTCACATATCTCTTTCTTCTTTTAAAAGGCTAACCATGGTAACCCATATAATCTGTCAATCCACGAATGGATAGGTCCATTGATAAAGGCAGAACCCTCACTGAGTGTGCTAAGGTGCTCTCATGTGCTAGCTCACATATCTCTTTCTTCTTTTAAAAGGCTAACCATGATAACCCATATAATCTGTCAATCCACGAATGGATAGGTCCATTGATAAAGGCAGAACCCTCATCATCCAATCACCTCTTAGAGTCCCCACCTCTCAACACTGCCACACTGGGAATCAAGTTTCAACACGAGTTTCAGAGGGGATATTAAAACCATAGCAGTGGTCTTTTGTGACTGACTTCTTTCACTCATCATAATATTTTCAATTTCATTCATTTTGCAGCATGTATCAGCACTTCATTACTTTTTATGACTGAGTAATATTCCATTGTATGAATACACCATATTTTGTTTATCCATTCATCAGTTGTTGGACATTGTTTATTCCCCCACCCTATTGGCTATTACAATGCTGCTATGAAGACTTATGTGCAGGATTTTGTGTAGACATATGTTTTTATTTATCTTGGGCATATACCTAAGAGTAGAATATATGTACTTAGGAGGGTCATATTGTAACTCTATATTTAATTGTGTAAGGAATTTCCAGATTGTTTTCCAAAGTGGCTGTATTATTTAAAATTTTCACTGCACATGAGGATTCTGATTTTTTCACATCCTCATCAACACTTGTTATATGACTTTTTAATTTTAACCATCTGTAATCGGTATTAGGATTCTCCAGAGAAACAGAACCAATAGAATAAATATGTATGTATGCATATCTATCTATCTATCATCTATCTGATATAGACATATGAAAGGTAATTTGTCAGAAGAGGTGACTCATGTGATTATGGAGGGTAAGAAGTCCTACAATGTGTTATATGCAAACTGGAGAACAGGAAAGTCAGTAGCATGACTCCATCCAGCTTTGAAGATCTGAGAACCAGGGGAGCTGATGGTGTAGCTCTTAGTTCAAAGCAGAAGGCCTGAGGAACTGGGTTGGGGGGCACTGATGAAAGTCACAGAGCCTGAAGGCCAGCGAGCCTGGAGTTTTTATATCCAAGGGCAGGAGAAGATGGGTGTCCCAGCTCTAGAAGAGACAGAGAGAGAGAGAGAGAGAGAGAGAGAGAGAGTGAGCAAATTCTTTCCTTTGCCTTTTTGTTCTATTAGGGCCCTCAGCTGATTGGATGGTGCCTGCTCACATGTGGGTGAGGGCAGATCTTCCTTATTGAGTCCACTAGTTCAAATACCAACCTATTCTGGAAACAACCTCACAGAGAGACTCGAAATAATGCTTTGTCAGCCATCTAGATATCCCTTAACCCAGTCAAATTAACACCTAACATTAACCATTACAAGTTCACTCTTTGTCAACTTGGCATCCACATGCATCTCCTTAAGCCATACTTAATCTTCAAATAAAGACAATAACAAGGTCATAGTTCAACCTAACATGATATGCCTGAAAATGCCCCAAACCGTTCCTGAGAAGAGGAGGTAAAGCCCTTGAGTGACATTTACTCTTCTTCTGATAGTCCATAATTTAAATACTATGACATAAAATTAGCAATACTTGAATACTGATATAAAGTTAATACATCTTATATTACATGATAAAGGAATAGGAGAGGAAATGAAACAAAGGTATTTGCTTAATATATGTATATATACACACAAACTTTTTTTTATACTTTAAGTTCTAGGGTACCTGTGCACAATGTGCAGGTTTGTTACATGTGCATACATGTGCCATGTTGGTGTGCTGCACCCATTAACTCGTCATTTACATTAGGTATATCTCCTAATGCTATCCCTCCCCCCTCCCCCCACCCCATGACAGACCCCAGTGTGTGATGTTCCCCATCCTGTGTCCAAGTGTTCTCATTGTTCAATTCCCACCTATGAGTGAGAATGTGCCATGTTTGGTTTTCTGTCCTTGTGATAGTTCACACAAACACATTTTTTTTTAACACAATAGGGAAAAATACTCATGACAGTTACAGTCCTTACTTCTGTAACTGGTCACATGATCATAGCTGGTAATGGTAATTACCTTTTTGTACTATCCATTCTGTATTCCCATTGTCTTCAACAAGCACCTTAGCTGGTGATGGTTTTCTCACCTGGTGGAGTGACCTAAACCTTCATTCCATTTGTAGTCCTTCATGGGTTGGGTTGTTGTATTTTCCCACTGACCTTAATCACAGGGCATAGTTATACAAAGAGATACCCTAAGGGATCTCCTCTATTCCAGACATACTCTTCCTTCCTCCACTTTGGAATAGTAGTCCAGTTTCCCAGTGGTAGTCTGGATCGATCATGCCAGCCAACACTGTAATTCCCTTCTTAGCCTATTGACTCAGAGACATGAAAATCCCAATGTGGCTGGGTGGCATCTTAACCTTCAGTTGAATGGAGTCATTGTTGTGTCACCTGATGGAAGCATTCTTCCTTCTGGAGCTAACTTCTAGGCTGGCAGAGCATAAAGCTGTGGGAATAGGAAGCAAAAATTTGCTAGTGGGTCACCAGGGATAATGGTGAGTGGTGGCCTTTCTATTTCCCCTCCTTGATTCCTGGACCCATGAATGCTGAGATGAGAGAAATAGTACCATATATTGGATTCTGATTCAGAGCATATTTAGCCGTCTGGAGAAATTTGTTCCAGCCCTACAAAATATTGTCACCTAGCTGCGCTGCATCTGTGACTTCAAAATGACATTCCACAATTTTAGCAAGCCAGCTGCTTCAAAATGATGAGAAACACGGTAAGACCAGTGAATCTCATGAGCATGAAACCATTGTCACACTTCTTTGGCTGTGAAGTGAATTCCTGTTCTCCTTTTCCCCTGCAAAGGGAAGTGATGGCTCAGGGGATCCTCCTTGGCAGTAGGATTTGTTGAGGGTGAGAGTGTAGCATGTGATGATAGCATTGGGGTTCCAGGGTGTAGGTGTGTCTGAGGTGGTGTCAGGGCTGGGATGTGGGATGTGGCAACTCTGGCCCGAGGGAGGGTGCAGTAGCAGCTTTTGCTCAGGGGAGGGGGAGCAGTGTGGACTCTGGGCAGCTGTGTCACTAGTGCAGCTTTGACAAAGACTGTGGGGATCCCTGGTGATAAAAATTGTGGGTTTCTGTGGTGGCACTGCAGATCTGTGCCAGGTTGCATGATGGGGTGATGCAGGTAAAACGCTTCCTATGTTTTTCTACGTGATCACTCTCAGTTTTTCTTCTCTACTGGGTTGCTGCATCTTCTTCACTGTACTTTGGAGATTTCCTGGATTTTTTTCTGTTTGTGGTAGTTGTTAAATCATCCATTGCATTTGTGGTGGGATGTGGGTTGGGACTTCCTAGTCTCCCACCTTGCTGATGTCACTCTCTGTAGAAATAGTTTCTGAGGTCAGTGTTTAATATTTGTTCTAACATCAGGGCTCCCCCTAGTTGTCTTCTTCCCCACTTCTCTCCTATAAACTAGCCAGCCTACAGTCTAGGCTGTATCTTCATTAGATCCATGAATCTCTTCCCACTACAATCTCCATTGTTCTTGAGAGTGCCCTTAGGCTTGAACGTCCCTAGCTCTGTTGCAAATAAAGTCAGTTCCTTTGGGAAGAGTTTAGAAGCTATTTGTTTTATGGCCAGTTTTCCCTTCTAGGCAAAAATCTCTGAGTCAGGACTCTGGAGCTGGGGGTAGGGACAGTGCCAAGCCTCTTTTTGAGTGACACCCATACTCTAGAAGCTTAGGGGATGGGCTGCAGCCTAGGGTTCTCTCAGCTTGCCAGTCCTGGTGTGGAGCCACTGCCTCATGAATGAAGGCAAGGGCTATCAGGGCCCCAGTATTCTCAGTGTGCCACGTCCAAAATGAAGCCTTCATTTCATGGCTGGGAATTGGGAGGAAGAAGGGAGCACCCTGCATCTTGACTGCAGTCACCCAAGACTTGGCCTTGGCAACAATATGCTAAGGGCAGAATAAGAAATGTTACAGTCTTGCCCTGTGTTCTTGACTATAGTAGTCTGGAGTGCAGTTTCCACATCACGGAACAGGTGGGGAGGGAGATAAAAGGAGTCTTCATTCAAATACCACAGACCTTCACATTTTGTACTGAATTTTTATATATTCTCTTGAGTAGATGTTTCTTCATTGGCTTAGGGTAAACTCAAGTCCATTTCCAGAGGTCATTTATAGATCAAGACTCATATTGACTACGCCATTGTAAAAACATGGTTTCCAAGGTTGCTGTCGTCTTGGCTATTCAGTTTTGCAGGAAGAAGAAAGAGTGTAGAGGAGTGTCCACGGGGGATTTTATTGACCATGCCAGAAAGTAGGACACATCACTATCACTTATATGTTATGAGTGGGTAGAAATAATGTGTCTCACTCACCAGTGGAATGCAAGTGTTCACCCCAGTGGTGAGGGAAGTTGGGAAGTGCCATTAGCCATGGGTTTAACAGTTTTGCCACATGAGTACTTTAGATTTTCTCTTAGCTTATTTGTATTTTCTGATTTTGCACAATGGATCTATATTTCTAATACAATGTAAATATAAATAAATTAATAAATAGAGAACAAGCAGTAAGGAAGTAAGGGTAGGGAGTATAGACAATCCCTTCTAAGAAGTTTTGCAGGTGCCATTACTGGAGTGAGAAACTAGGTTAAGAAAAGGTTTCTAAATATGACGATTCTGGCATATTTTTGAAAGAATTATCCAGAAGACAGGAAACAACTATTAAGTCTTTGAGTTGGTTCTCCCTAAATGTTATATAGAGTGTCTCTTTCACTTGAGAGAGGAGAGGGAAATAAAGAAAGAAGGGTTTCAAAATGGTCACCCTTGCTGTTTCTTCTCATTAGACTGTAAGGTTCAGGATTTCAAAGCTTTCCTTGGAACATTTGGAAGCAGAAAAAAAAAAAAAGAAAAACCACCCACAACAAAACCAGTGCTTACTGAGCCTGACAAAGTAACAAATTGTGGAAATTTCCAAAGCTAATTATTGCTGTTTTTCTAAAAAATTCCTTTGATATGCTAAGAGTTGTAATTAGAGTCATTAAATACAGAAACCCTTGGGTTGCAAAGAACATAGGAATAACCCACTGATGTGTTGATTATGGGTGGGTTGCTATTTATCAACAGAACTTAGCCGTGACATACAAAATGAGACTGTCATGCAGTGGGGCTGCCTTTGCAAACTTTCATGGAGTTAACTCCAATGCCAGACATCTATTGGAAAATTCTATGACAGATAAAAAGAAGGCACTGTGGGAACATATAAGGAGAGAAGTTAATTCTCACTGAGGGAATTGGGATCAGCTTTAGAGAGGAGATAGCATTTGAACAAATTCCAGAAGGCCAGTAGGGATTTAGACAGGAGATCTTGGAGAGAAGATATCCTAGTCTGGGAGTGCCAACATGGCTTGAAGGCAGAGGACAGGCAATAGGAGGTGTTAGGAGTTAGCTTGGCTGTGGCTGGTAAATGTGCAGAAGCACAGTGGAAGGTCAGTCCAGAGAGGGAGTGACAGCACAGCCTGGAGGATGGAGGGTGATGCATGCCAGCTTAAGAAGCTGTGCTTTTTACTGTTAGTTCTGACCAGTTTTTAGAAAAACTAATCTACTAATAATATGGAGGCAGGGGTGAGGATGGAAGAAATATTGGAAGTCGACTAGAAGGAGGTGAGTGCACAGTTTGTTCAGGAGGTGATGACACACTGATTAGCGCTGGCAGAGAGATGTGGGGGAGATATTAAGACACCCCTAGAGTGTGAGGAGGACTTTTTACAGCTTCCGGAGAGGAAAAAGTGGTTATCACAAGTCTGCAGGGCTCTTTGAGCCTTCCCCAGATGTGGAACAGAGAAAGTTTGAAGTAGATGCCATTTTAAGAGCCAGGACATGGATTCTCCCTCTCTGCAAAACGTCCTTGCAAACTCTCGAGGGAAACCAGTGCTTCATGTTGTTAAAGTTTTACAAGTTATGGCATAAATTGTTCTTCAAGTGCCGAATGTAGTGACCAATAAATCACCGAGAGGATTCTCTGAGATTTGCAATTGTGGAATTACAGATTTTGTACCTAGTCTTGGATGCACTGAGCTGGGTCTACTCTGAGGCAGCAAGCTGCAACCCTGCCCTGTCCAGTCACCTCACTGTCACCTGGAAGAATCCTGTTCTTTAGTGGAAATAAGTCACAGACGTCCTCAAAGGCGAACGCTCCAGGTGCACCCCAGAGAGCTGCCCCACTAGCTCTGACTGGCTGATGCTGTGTTTGGCTCCAAGCACTTCTTGCTATAAATCCACCACAGGTGTCCTTACTCTCCATCACCCAGTCCTTTGTTCCGTCATTGCCTCATATTCATTTAGCAAGACTTCACTGAGAACTTAGAGACTCGCTGCTTCCCTGTGGGGCTACAACAGTAAACACCACAGACAGGCGCTGGTGGCGAAGACAGCCAAACAGACCAGGAATTACAAAACACTTCGAAAAGTGCTCTGATGGGAGAAACACAGAGTGCCGAGGGAACATGTGGGAGAGATGTTGGGGAAACTTCTGGAAGGAAGTGGCCAGGTGAGAACTTCAGTCATTTTGGATGAGTTCCTCTTCCTATGCTCCAGCCCCACATACTATCTTCCATGCATTCTGTTGATTCTCCGCTGTGACATCTACCAGGTCAGTCCTCTCCTTTCTATTATTTCCCATAAATAATTTTTCCAACAGCTTCTCTGGGAGGCAGAGTTAGGAAACCAGGCAGGCCCGGACATTCCAGCTGTGTGGCCTTGAGCAAGTCACTGAACCCCTCTCAGTCTCAATTTCTTCATCTAAAAAATGGGGACAACAATGCCTTACTCGCAGATACATCTTGAAAAACAAATAAGATAATATTTTAAAAAACAGCCCAAGGCCTGGCATTTAAAAGATAATCATTCCAGTTTCCTTTCTGAGCCTGCAGTCTCTTCTTTTGTTTAACATACTCTCCTCACAGCTGCCAAATTCATCTCCCCCAAACTTTAATCTTATCTCTCCCTTGCTCAAACATTTTCAGATCCCATAGCCTATGGAATAAAGGCTGTCAGTCAGGATCCCTGCAGAAATGACTGAAGAGAACATAAGGAAGGAGAAAGGCAGGGGTTCCAGGAGCACAGGGCAGGGGCCTCGCTCACACAGGCCGTTGGACATCTGGAAGCTTCCCCGAGGAAGTGATCCCAGAGCTGAGAGATAAAGGCTGAACTAGGCAAGAAAAAGGTGAAAGGAGGTGTCCAGATAAAGGCTGTTAGGGAGGAAGCAGCCAGTAGGGCTGGAGTGCAGAGAGCAGGGAGGTGATGAGATGGACCAGGACCTGTAGAGAACCCAGAGCCCAGTGGGTCGAGAGTTTGTCGGATTATTTGCCAGATGTGAAGCAATGAGAGCCGTGCCAGTGTTGTTTCCTTTGTTGTGTTTTGTTTTTGTTTGTGTTCGGTGAGACAGGGTCTTGCACTATCACTGGGCTGGGTTGCAGTGGTGCCATCTTGGTTCACTGTAACCTTGACCTCCCAGGCTCAAGTGAATCTCCCATCTCAGCCTCCTGAGCTACTGGGATTACAGGCATGCACCACAATGCCCTGCTCATTTTTGTATTTTTTGGTAGAGATGGGGTTTCCCCACGTTGCCCAGGCTGGTCTTGAACTCCTGAGCTCAAGTGATCTGCTTGGCTCGGCCTCCCAAAGTGCTGGGATTACAAGGTGAGCGACCGCACCTGGCTGTGCCAGCATTTTAAGCTGTTGCTTGTTGACATATCAGTTTTTCTTGCTTGGACAGGATAATCTCTGTATACCTTATGGTGAACACCACAGGTGTTCAATACATTTAACTGACCAGGTGAATGCAGTTGTAACTATAGAAATGGAGGGAGAGAATTCTGGTCACTGCATCTTCTGATTTTTCAGGTGAGAGTTCCTTGAAGCTTCACTGCAATTCCCCAGCCACAGAGTGTCTGAAGACTGCTGCAGGTCCAGTTTGAGTTGCTTTTACTCTCCAGGAACACACAGATGTGACTAAAAAAATCTGCATTCCCCTAAAGTAACAACATTCATGCTACTCCAGAGACCCAGACAAAGGGGAATTAAGCTTGCTTGAACTTGAGCCTGGGGACCAGGATGCTGATGGAGGCTTTGCAGATTCTTGGGTCTCCATGGAGACGAACAGACTCTGGCAAAATTTCCTTCTTGGGAGAAAGGCAGTGTTGGCTGCTTTCTTTCCTCTGGCCACCCTGAGAATGCAAGACTCATAAAAGTGCTGTGTATAGATTCTCTGCAGACACGGGGCCATTTTGTACCATTTCTGGCCTCTTCAGAGCCCTTCTGAAGTGCTCTCTGGCATCCAGCATCCAGGGTGTCCAGCTGCCTCCACAAACAGCAAGAGCTCATCAGTAATGGGTGACACAAGTCACACAACCAAGAGCCATGTGTCTGGTTCATAGCACCTTATGCAAAGTGAATGCTCACTATGGTTTTTAGCAAAAAATGTGTGGAGAATAAAGAGGAATAATAGCCAACTTTCCAGGTGACTGTCTTCCTTAGAGCTGAGAAACAAAAACACATAGTTCAGGCTTCTCAAATGTTAAGGGCTTACACTTAACCTAAAATTAACCAGAGATCTGGTTATAGAGAAGCTTCTGATCTGATTCAATAGGTCTGGAGTGTAGTTGGAAGCTCTGCATTTCTAACAAGCTCCCTGGTGGTGCTCATGCTACTGGTTCGAGGACTGCCCATAGGGCCAACAAGGAAGTAAATGGGGCAGCCAACTGTCAGCCAAATTCTGAGCCAGGGCAACAATCACACTTGATTTTATGTGCATGAGGTCCAGTGTAGTGTTGGAAGATTCAATTCTTTTACACCCGTGGAAATATATGAGCATGCATACTGTCTTCGTCTGTTAGTGTTGCTGTGAAGAAATACTTGAGGCTGGGTAGTTTAATAAAGAAAAGACTTTTATTTGGCTCACAGATCTGTAGACTATACAAGAAACATGGCACCAGCACCTACATCTGGTGAGGCCTCAGGCTGCTTTCACTCATGGTGGAAGGCAAAGGGAGCCAGTTTGCAGAGATCACATGCTCTGTATGTGTGTGTGTGTGTGTGTGTGTGTTTGTGTTTGTGTGTTAGAGAGAGAGAGAGAGGGAGAGAGAGAGGTGGGGAAGGAGATGCCAGGCTCCTTTTTTCAGGAAGAATAGGGTAAGAACTCACTCATTACCTTGAGGATGGCACCAAGCCATTCATGAGGGATCTTCTCTCATAACCCAAACATCTCCCACCAGGTCCCACCTCCAACACTGGGAATCACATTTTAAAGTGAGATTTGGAGGGGTCAAACAAACCAAACTCTAGCATATACCAAGCACATGAGTTGAATGTTATCTTTACACCAAACAGACTAGTGTTGTGGGCAAGTCAATATAGCACATGATTTTGAGTGATTTTTTAAATATTTCAGAATCATTGAATATTTTTAGTTTTTTTTTTGGTCATAGCTTCATTCCCTCAACAAGTATTTACGGAATATTTGTAATGTACCAAGCATCTCTCGTAGCAGTGGAAGGTACTCTTCCTATTCTCCTTAAGTTCCCTGTCTAGTGAGTGAGGCAGAGATAAAACAAAGAATAATAGTATAACAGTGTCGTGATAGTTCACACCAGCATTGTAGAGCAGCATTATGTGAGCCATAGATTTTAGCTGCCAATGTAATTTAGAATTTTCTAGTTGCCGTGTTTAAAAAGGTAAAACAACAACAAACCCCATGTGAAATTAATTGTAACAGTATATTTTATTTTAATCCACTGTAGTCAAAATTATCCTTTCAATTTTTTTTTTTTTGAGACGGAGTTTTGCTTTTATTGCCCAGGCTAGAGTGCAGTGGCACAATCTCGGCTCACTGCAACCGCCTTCCAGTTTCAAGTGATTCTCCTGCGTCAGCCTCCCAGGTAGCTGGGATTACAGGCGCCCGCCACCACGCCCAGCTAGTTTTTTTTTTTTTTTTTGTATCTTTAGTAGAGATGAGATTTCACCATGCTGGTCAGGCTGGTCTCGAACTGCTGACCTCGTGATCCACCCGCCTTGGCCTCCCAAAGTGCTGGGATTACAGGTGTGAGCCACCGTGCCCGGCCTTATCCTTTCAATTTGTAATCAATCTAAAAAGGTGTTCGTGAGACATTTTGCTTTTTTAAAAATGCTAAGTGATAGAGGATATTTATCCCCTCCAAATCTCATGCTGAAATGTGACCCCCACTGTTGGAGGTGGGGCCTGGCAGGAGATGTTTGGGTCATGGGGGCAGATCCCTCATGCATGGCTCTGTGCTCTTCTCATGCTAATGAGTGAGTTCTTGCTTTATTAGTTCCCAAAAGATCTGACTGTGGAAAGAGCCTGGAAACTCCTCTTCTCTGTTGCTCCTTGTCTGTCCATGTAACATACCTGCTCCCCCTTCACTTTCCACGATGATTGGAAGCTTCCTGAGGCCTCACCAGAAGCAGATGCTGGCAAAATGCTTCTTGTATAGGCTTCAGAAGTGAGAGCCAAGTAAATCTTTCTTTGTAAATAACCCAGCCTCAAGTATTCCTTTATAGCAATGCAAAATGGACGAATACACTAAGTTATCAGAATCGGGTGTGCATTTTGCCCTTACAAAACATCTGAACTTGGACTAGCCATGATTCACACACTCAGTAGCCACACATCTGAGACAACTGCAGTAGTCAACCACAGTGCAGGTCTATACAGTGGAGTCGGGGACAACTGCCTTTGCTGTGGAAGCTGAGGGGTGGGTCAGGGAAAGAGGTAATCTACTGCACTGCAGAGAAGGGTGGGACGGTCACATCTGGCGGGGGTAGAGAAGAGATTCGAGAAGCTTCTGCTACCGGTCCCAAGGAATAGATGGGTGTGGTGGGGAGGTGGGTAGCCACTCCTGGATATAGTTGAGAGAGCAGGCTTGGTGCTTAGAAATGGGCTCAGGCAGAAACCTCAGTGCTCTTTCATCCTGCCTCGCTCAGCTTCTCTCTCATCGGTGGCTGGTTGAGAGACTGTTGTGTCCAGGGGTGCAGTGTTTCTGGCTTCTTGTTCTAGCCCAGTGAATCTATTCTGAAGGGGTTCTGAGCCCAGGATGGAGCTAAGCCTTGTGGCTTCTGTTCACTGAAGGGTGACTATCTTCTGTCTTCCTTCAGGGCAGGCTTGCTGTGACCCTGTCCTCCTGCCTGTTTTTCTCTTGCTCCTAGAGCTCCAGTGCTGCTCTGAGATGATGCCTCAGTGGAGCCTCTGGCCCTTCAGGAAAGGAAGTTGCTGCTCTCAGGAGCTCTTTCCAGTAGGCTCTCCCAGTCAGCTAGAGCAGTGGCCATAATCAAGGGGCACTCATTCTGGTTCTGACTCAGACCAGAAAGGTGAGGCACTGTGTCAGGCTTTTTACAAACATTCCCAACTTATCTCCCCACTTTTTTTTTTTTTGAGATACCACTCAGACTTATGTCCTCTCCCTCTCCCTCTGCCAGAGGAGGAGAAGGACAATCATCCATGGCAAAAGGTAGTTGCAGTGAAGCAACACCAAAAGCCGGCTTCACCTCAAGAGAGGATGCTGCACCACCACCCGGGGGTTTCCGGGGCTCTACACGTTCAGAGAAACTTCTCTAGTAGCAAACTATAGAAACAATCCCTGAAACTACAGTCTTGCAATTCATTCCTCTTAATAAACCAGTGGGCAGGTATTGTCGTGCCCATTTTACAGATGTGAAAACCACAATGTGATACCACCTCACTCCTGCAAGAATGGCTGTAATTAAAAACTGAAAAATTAATAGCTGTTGGCATGGATGCGGTAAAAAGGGAAGACTTCTATGCTGCTGGTGGGAATGTAAACTAGTACAACCACTATGGTAAAGAGTGTGGAGATTCCTTAAAGAACTAAAAGTAGAACTGCCATCTGATCCAGCAACCCCACTACTTGGTATGTACCCAGAGGAAAAGAAGTCATTATACAAAAAAAATACTTGGCTCACACATGTTTATAGCAGCACGATTTGCAATTGCGAAAATGTAGAACCAACACAAATGCCCATCAATCAATGAGTGGAAAAAGAAACTCTGATATATATACATATCCAGTGGAATACTACTCAGCCATAAAAAGGAACGAATTAGTGGCATTTGCAGCAACCTGGATGGGATTAGAGACTATTATTCTAAGTGAAGTAACCCAGGAATGAAAAACCAAATATCGTATGTTCTCACTCCTAAGTGGGAGCTAAGCTATGAGCATAAGGATGACACAATGGACTTTGGGAACTCAGGGGGAAAAAGGGTGGGAAGGGGGTGAGAGATAAAAGACTACTAATTGGGTTCAGTGTATATTGCTTGGGTAATGGGTGCACCAAAATCTCACAAATCACCACCAAAGAACTTACTCATGTAACCAAATGATACTTGTTCCCCGAAAACCTATGGAGATAAAAAATTAAAAAAATAAAAAATAAAAAAGAAAGAAAACTGGGGCTCAGGAGATGAAGGCACTGGTGGAAGATCCAATAAGTGATAAGTAGCCGAATCAGGATGGAAACCGAGGCGATTGTGCTTCCCAAGGCCCCTGCTTTCTCCACAGCACACTTCTGCAAACACATAGATCCCAGAGATGTGTGTCTTGTACTTTGTACAGTAATCAGTCAACAAGTGTTTATTTAAGACTGACAGATGGGGAAGAATGCTATGCCAGGTGTGCAGGATATTGTTCCCTCCTTAGTGGCTTACACTCTAGGATGACATGCAAAAGCCTGTGATAGGTGAACAAGCAGTGAAATAGCAAAGAAACAAACAAACAAAAATCAAAATAGCTTCAGGATTAATTTGTGAGTGAGCCTAGATCCAATCAGCATTTAAATTCATAAAAGCTTTAACCTTGGCTGGAGGAGTGTCAGGCAGCAGCTTGGACATAGGTGAGGCATATTTTGAGCTGAGGGCAAGTGGGCCTTCCTAGACTTCCTAGAATCACACTTATAATTTGCCCAGGATTTAAATCTTATTGTTTTCTAACTTTTCCAGGCAGCAGTGAGGATGCCAGAGTTCATGGGTTTCTAGAAGACAAGTTTTCAACTGCAGATACAAACATCAGGACGTCAATGTATCTGCTAGGAGACACCCGGACAGTGTTGAGAACACAGAACCTGGAGGCTAAACCCCCAGCTTTCTATGCCAGCTGAGAGTCTGTGGGCACATTACTCAGCGTCTCTGAACCTCATGCTCCTCCCCTGTGACATGTAGATTGCTAAACCCATCTCACAGGGCTATCTTCTGCATTTAAAGAATAAAATAACACATGAGGGGTCTATCAATGTTTCTGACCTATTTATTTATTGTTAATCCTTTCTCTACACCGAATACTCTAACTAACCTTTTGGATTCTCACTTAATGAGAAAAAGCAAAATTAACTTGAGCAGCTTTGCTATGAACATTTGCAAGTAGTTTCAGGTGGGAATTTGCCTTCATGGAGAAGAGTGAGTGGATCTACATGGCACAAACTATTTCTTGACAACTCAAAAGTCATTCCCAATCTCCTTTCCCCTCAGGACCTCTTGCTCAGAGGCCAGAGCACCAAACGCTTGCTTGTACGGACCATGCAAGTCACTTCCGCCCCATCCATTCTCTCATGCTTCTATGCATTACTCAACAGAGAGTATGAGGACATTTAGTATGTGCCAGGCACTATTTTGGTCACAGAGGAGACAGACAGAAAGGAGAAATAGGTACAGTCATGCTCCACATGAAGATGTTTTGGACAATGACAGATGGCATATACAATGGTGATCCCATAAGATTAGAAGCCCATATTTTTACTGTACTTTTTCTATGTTAGAATATGTTTAGATACAGAAACACTTACCATTGTGTTAAAATTGCCTATAGTATTCAGTACAGTAGCCTGCTGAATAGGTCTGTAGCCCAGGAGCAATAGGCCATACCATATAGCCTAGGTGTGTGCATGGTAGGCTATACCATCTAGGTTAGTGTAAGTAAAATCTAAGATGTCCACATAATGATGAAATTGGCTAACCACATATTTCTCAGAACATGTCCCTGTTAAGTGACACATGACTATATATGCGTTAGATAATGCTATGAAAAATAAAGCATAGAAGGGATGGGGGAAGGGAAGTTGGAATGATGAATAGGAGGGTCAGGGATGGTCTCACAGCAAAGCTGAAATGTGAGCAAAGGCTGAAGGAGGTGAGGGGGTAAACTGGGAGGTTACAGGTGGACATCATGCCAGACAGAGAGAATAGCAAGTGCAAAAGCCTACTTAGGGAGCGTGCCTGGCCTGCGATAAAGCAGTGGGAGCCCGGGCTGGAATGTGCAATAGGAAGAGACAGGAATATGCAGCAGGGGTGAAGTCAGTGCAGAGACGGGGCGGCCAGATCACGCAGTCCTCCTAAGCCCCTCCGAGGAGCCTGGACTTTACTCTTGAGTATGGTGGGAAGCTGTTGGAGGGTTTGGAGCAGAGGACTGGCACGGTCCCACTTTTCCTTCAATGTGCTCACTGTGGTTGCTGTATGGAGAATAGACAGAATCAGGGAAGGGAAGAAGGTGGGAGCCATCCTAGGCACTGGCTCATATGATGGCACCTAGGACCAAGGGTGGTAGTGGAGGTAAGCAGACATCAGCAGGAGGCTTCTCGAAAAGTTTTTGATTTCCTAATAAAAAGAGACAGACTGTGCTGAAATGGCCCTTCCGCCTTTCCTCTTCTTCATGGCCATGACACTCTGACTTGCAGCAGCCATTTTTGGCTAAAACACATGTAGAGACATCATCCAGATATCGTTGAACCATGTCATCCAGGTATCATTGAACCTCCGAACAAAGGGCAGTGACTGCCTAGCTGCAGAGTTGTTCTTTTGTGAATGAACAAACTCCTGCCTGGGAATGCTCTGCAGTCAGGCTTTCTGTGGCTTGCAGCTGAATGCATCATCTTCAGTGAAACCATGCTCTCAAAGACTCCCCGCTCTCCTGAACCCCTTCACCAAGACCACACCAACAAGAAAGGCCAGATTCGAAGCTGCCCATGAGGTACTCCAAAAAGCAAAAGGCCCCTGTGTGACTGCAGGGGGAGGGGATCTCAAACACATTCTCTCTTAATCCCCATTCATCTGAGCTAATCTCCAAATGGACAAAGTAATCAATTTAAGTAATAAATATGGCTTATTCCAAGGGCTGAATAAATGGCTGGAACAATTCCCCAAACTGTGGTTTCCATTGAATAATTGAAATTATGCAAGGGTATGGAAATTTTTCAACAAATAAAACATGTCTGAAAATCTATTAAAGATATGTCTGCAAAAATCATTTGAAAAGGCCCAACTCAGCAATAAAAAATAAATTACATTTCCATTCTTGCTGTTGCTCCCTTTGGGAAAGAGCCCATTACAATCCAGTTCGTGGACAAATGAAACAGGCACATTTCGGAATAAACGACTCCCCATGTTCTAACCAGGAGGTTTAGACCACGAGATAATGATTCTACACTGAAAATAGCAAAACATCCCTTCCCTTCTTGTTGCTCCGATAATATATCTGCTGTTGTGTCTCATCAGTGGGGCTTTTGGAATCTGAGTTTTCTACCTGTGAATTTGAGTGACAGACAGCTTTGCTCAGAGATGTTAGAGCTCGTGTGGGCCAAGTAGACCAGCCCTATAGGGACCAAAGAGTTCATTGGAATCTCTTATTTGTGTTTTCGTCTTATCCTGAGCAACAGGGCTCAGAGGAGAAAGGCTCTCCAAAGGCTACACTGGAAAGTTGACCAAAGGAATGTAATTTTTGAACTGTGAGTTTAAAGGCCTTCTGGGTAATTTGTTTCCAATGTGATGCAGCTTTGTGAGTTGGCTTCAAAAGTTGGTTGAGTTTGTGGCTCCATCAGCCTCCTACACTGTCCTCTTCATATTGGGTTCAAAGCTGCTTCCTTGACTCCTCTTCAAATAAAGACCACATAGCTTAAAGTCATAATCTTTTTTGCTTCTGTTTCTTCTCGTTGGTTTTTATTTTTGCTCTGAGAGCTGGCCTGCATTTTGCTAAATGCCTTGGGCAAGGCATGATTTGTGGCTTCCCCTCTCCAGATGGGCATCAGCATTTAGACGCTGCACATTTGTGCTGGATTGGGCTGGCCATCCATATTTACCTGCAAGCAGAGGTGATTCATTCTCTGGGAAACTTGGCATGGAGAAGAGACATAACTTCTCCTCACAAGAAGTCCAGACCTCCTCTCTACTGGGAAATAGCAGAGCCATGACTGCATTGCTTACAGAAAGCCAGTTGCCTCTAGCCCCAAATTAAAAAAAAAAAAATCATTTGCCCACATGAATGGCCTGCTGCATGGAAGGCAGGCTGTTCAGTGGGGGTGAGATGATAACTAGCGGTTGAAGTAGGGCTGCTTCCTCCAAATACAGAGAAAACTACAGCTGTGCTACTAGTGTTTATCTTGTAAGCAAGGGAAGTGGATCTCTTAAACAAGACCAAGGCTCTTGCTGGGCATGGGAAGGAAGGTGGAGAATGGTTGTCTTTTTTCTTCCATGGTGAGAGCAAGCCTACTGAAGATTAGAAACAGAAGGCTGAGATGAGATGATTGCTTGAGGCCAGAAGTTTGAGACCAGCCTGGATGACATAGTGAGATCTCATCTCTACTAAAAATAAAAAGATTAGGCCAGGCGTGGTGGCTCACGCATGTAACCCCAGCACTTTGGGAAGCTGAGGTGGGCAGATCACTTGCGCTCAGGAGTTTGAGACCAGCCTAGGCAACATGGCGAAACCCTGTCTCTACTAAAAATACAAAAATTAGCCGGGTGTGGTGGTGTGCCATGTGCCTGTAATCTCAGCTACTCGGGAGGCTGAGGTGGGAAGGTCACCTGAGCCTGGGGAGGTTGAGGGTCTGGTGAGCTGAGATGATGCCCCCGCACTCCAGCCAAGGCAACAGAGTGACACCTTGTCTCAAAAAAAAGCAACCCACAAAATTAGCTGGGCGTAGTGCTATGCACTTGTAGTTCCAGCTACTCAGGAGGTGGAGCTGGAAGGATTGTTTGAATCCAGGAGATCTAAGCTGCAGTGAGCTATGATTATGCCACTGCACTCCAGCCTGGGTGACAGAGCGAGAATCTGTCTCTAAAAACAAACAAACAAACAAAAAACAGAAACAGAGTGCCTTGGTAGTAGAGTTGTGAGCACTTTCTTTTTTTTAGACAGTCTCACACTATTGCCCGGGCTGGAGTGCAATGGCACAGTCTCGGCTCACTGCAACCTCTGCCTCCCGGGTTCAAGCAATTCTCCTGCCTCAGCCTCACAAGTAGCTGGGATTACAGGCGCCCGCCACCATGCCTGGCTTATTTTTTTTGTATTTTTTAACAGATAAGGGGTTTCACTATGTTGGCTGGGCTGGTCTCAAACTCCTGACCTTGTGATCCACCCACCTCGGCCTCCCAAAGTGCTGGGATTACAGGCGTGAGCCACCATGCCTGGCTGAGTTGTGAGCACTTTCTATCTGCCGGACACAGAGCCCAAAGACTTTATATATTTTAATTCATTCACTCAACAAAGCAATGTCATGAGGAACCTGCTCTTATTAGCCCCATTTTACAGGTGAGGAAAAGAAAGCTTAGGGAAGGCAAGTGCCCTGCTCTGGGTCCCCAGGTAGCAAGGAGGGTGGAAAGATTTGGAGGCAGGCAGTCAAAGCCATCAGTCAGCCTGTACAGGACTGCTTTAAGGGCTGCCAGCATGGCTTCTGTAGATGCTCAAGGTGTGTAGAATTGAGTTTCTATTTCTTAGTGACCTGAAATCTGCTCTTTTACTCAGGTGTGAGCACCTTCTCCCTTAAATTCTCTCTCGCTGCCTCTTCCTCAATCGCCCCTTTATAATCCAATAAAAGGACTAGCAATGGCTACCCTGAAAGGGGAAGTTGCTTTGGGAACTTTCGGCTTACAGTAGTTCTCTTTTATTCACAGGGGATCTTTCCCAAGACTGTCAGTAAATGCCTGAAATTGCACCGAACCCTATATATACCCTCTTTTTTCCTATACATATATATCTATGATAAAGATTAATTTATAAATTAGGCACAGTAAGAGATTAACAATAATAACAAAATAGAACAATTATAACAATAAGCCAGCATCAATACTCTTGTGCTTAAGGCCATTATTAAGTAAAATAAGGATCACTTGAACACAACCACTGTGATACTTGGACAGTCAATTCGATAATTGAGACAGCTATTAAATGACTAAGGGGTGGATGGCACAGACAGTGTGGAAATGCTGGGCAAAAAAAGGATTCCCATCCCTGGCAGGATGGAGGAAGACAGCCTGAGATTTCATCGTGCTACTCAGAAGGGCATTCAATTTAAAACCTATGCATTGCTTATTTCCAGGATTTTTCACTTAATGTTTTTGCTTGACCGTGGGTAACTGAAACCGCACATGAGGGGGGACTCCTGCGCTTGTAGTGGAGCAGTGGCAGGCTGCACAGCTGACCTTGGCAGCCCTGGACCCTGGGACAGTCCATCAGCCTCACTGATTTTTCTCCCCTCAGTGGCAACCTGAAAGTAGCTTCACCTGTGGCTTGAATAGCATCCGGTAATTTCACTGTGGATTGTTGAGTTCACTGGCATGGCTGGAGGGGATAGCAGTAGAAGCATCTGTCAGAAGCAAGGCAGAAGCAAGAGAACCAGTAGGGAATACAAGGGACCATTTGCCAGTGCCCTGCTGCCACAATATCTGGTCTCCCAGGGTAGTCGGGCTGTTGACTGGGAAGATAACTGAGATTAATGTGACTTCTGGACCCCAGGAGGGTCTCTTTCCCTACCATCCATGTGCCCCATTCCTATCCTGATTTTTGAAATGTTATAATTAAACATTTTCATTTAAGGCTCCTTATCTTAAAAATCAATGGTGGATTAGCCAATAAAATGAAAGAAAGGAGAAAAGATTTTTTTTCTCTTTTTTATTTTTTATTTATTTTATTTTATTTTATTATTATTACACTTTAAGTTTTAGGGTACATGTGCACATTGTGCAGGTTAGTTACATATGTATACATGTGCCAGTCTGGTGTGCTGCACCCATTACCTCGTCATTTAGCATTAGGTATATCTCCTAATGCTATCCCTCCCCCGACCCCTCACCCCAAAACAGTCCCCAGAGTGTGATGTTCCCCTTCCTGTGTCCATGTGTTCTCATTGTTCAATTCCTACCTATGAGTGAGAACATTCGATGTTTGGTTTTTTGTCCTTGCGATAGTTTACTGAGAATGATGTTTTCCAATTTCATCCATGTCCCTACAAAGGACATGAACTCATCCTTTTTTATGGCTGCATAGTATTCCATGGTATATATGTGCCACATTTTCTTTATCCAGTCTATCATTGTTGGACATTTGGCTTGGTTCCAAGTCTTTGCTATTGTGAATAGTGCCGCTATAAACATACGTGTGCATGTGTCTTTATAGCGGCATGATTTATAGTCCTTTGGGTATATACCCAGTAATGGGATGGCTGGGTCAAATGGTATTTCTAGTTCTAGATCCCTGAGGAATCGCCACACTGACTTCCACAATGGTTGAACTAGTTTACAGTCCCACCAACAGTGTAAAAGTGTTCCTATTTCTCCACATCCTCTCCAGCACCTGTTGTTTCCTGACTTTTTAAAGATTGCCATTCTAACTGGTGTGAGATGGTATCTCATTGTGGTTTTGATTTGCTTTTCTCTGATGGCAAGTGATGGTGAGCATTTTCTCATGTGTTTTTTGGCTGCATAAATGCCTTCATTTGAGAAGTGTCTGTTCATATCCTTTGCCCACTTTTTGATGGGGTTGTTTGTTTTTCTCTTGTAAATTTGTTTGAGTTCATTGTAGATTCTCGATATTAGCCCTTTCTCAGATGAGTAGGTTGTGGAAATTTTCTCCCATTTTGTAGGTTGCCTGTTCACTCTGATGGTAGTTTCTTTTGCTGTGCAGAAGCTCTTTAGTTTAATTAGATCCTGTTTGTCAGTTTTGGCTTTTGTTGCCATTGCTTTTGGTGTTTTAGACATGAAGTCCTTGCCCATGCCTATGTCCTGAATGGTAATGCCTAGGTTTTCTTCTACGGTTTTTAACGTTTTAGTCTAACATTTAAGTCTTTAATCCATCTTGAATTAATTTTTGTGTAAGGTGTAAAGAGGGGATTCAGTTTCAGCTTTCTACATATGGCTAGCCAGTTTTCCCAGCACCATTTATTAAATAGGGAATCCATTCCCCATTGCTTGTTTTTCTCAGGTTTGTCAAAGATCAGATAGTTGTAGATATGCAACATTATTTCTGAGGGCTCTGTTCTGTTCCATTGATCTATATCTCTGTTTTGGTACCAGTACCATGCTGTTTTGGTTACTGTAGCCTTGTAGTATAGTTTGAAGTCAGGTAGCGTGATGCCTCCAGCTTTGTTCTTTTGGCCCAGGATTGACTTGGCAATGCAGGCTCCTTTTTGGTTTCATATGAACTTTAAAGTAGTTTTTTCCAATTCTGTGAAGAAAGTCATTGGTAGCTTGATGGGGATGGCATTGAATCTATAAATTACCTTGGGCAGTATGGCCATTTTCACAATATTGATTCTTCCTATCAATGAGCATGGAATGTTCTTCCATTTGTTTGTATCCTCTTTTATTTCATTGAGCAGTGGTTTGTAGTGCTCCTTGAAGAGCTCCTTCACGTCCCTTGTAAGTTGGATTCCTAGGTATTTTATTCTCTTTGAAGCAATTGTGAATGGGAGTTCACTCATGATTTGGCTCTCTGTCTGTTATTGGTGTATAAGAATGCTTGTGATTTTTGTACATTGATTTTGTATCCTGAGACTTTGCTGAAGTTGCTTATCAGCTTAAGGAGATTTTGGGCTGAGACAATGGGGTTTTCTAGATATACAATCCTGTCATCTGCAAACAGGGACAATTTGACTTCCTCTTTTCCTAATTGAATACCTTTATTTCCTTCTAATGCCTAATTGCCCTGGCCAGAACTTCCAACACTATGTTGAATAGGAGTGGTGAGAGAGGGCATCCCTGTCTTGTGCCAGTTTTCAAAGGGAGTGCTTCCAGTTTTTGCCCATTCAGGATGATATTGGCTGTGGGTTTGTCATAGATAGCTCTTATTATTTTGAGATACGTCCCATCAATACCTAATTTATTGAGAGTTTTTAGCATGAAGGGTTGTTGAATTTTGTCAAAGGCCTTTTGTGCATCTATTGAGATAATCATGTGGTTTTTGTCTTTGGTTCTGTTTATATGCTGGATTACATTTATTGATTTGCGTATATTGAACCAGCCTTGCATCCCAGGGATGAAGCCCACTTGATCATGGTGGATAAGCTTTTTGATGTGCTGCTGGATTCGGTTTGCCAGTATTTTATTGAGGATTTTTGCATCAATGTTCATCAAGGATATTGGTCTGAAATTCTCGTTTTTGGTTGTGTCTCTGCCCGGCTTTGGTATCAGGATGATGCTGGCCTCATTAAATGAGTTAGGGAGGATTCCCTCTTTTTCTATTGATTGGAATAATTTCAGAAGGAATGGTAGCAGTTACTCCTTGTACCTCTGGTAGAATTCGGCTGTGAATCCATCTGGTCCTGGACTCTTTTTGGTTGGTAAGCTATTGATTATTGCCACAATTTCAGAGCCTGTTATTGGTCTATTCAGAGACTCAACTTCTTCCTGGTTTAGTCTTGGGAGGGTGTATGTGTCGAGGAATTTATCCATTTCTTCTAGATTTTCTAGTTTATTTGTGTAGAGGTGTTTGTAGTATTCTCTGATGGTAGTTTGTATTTCTGTGAGATCGGTGGTGATATCCCCTTTATCATTTTTTTTTGCATCTATTTGATTCTTCTCTCCTTTTTTTTTTTTATTAGTCTTGCTAGTGGTCTATCAATTTTGTTGTTCCTTTCAAAAAACCAGCTCCTGGATTCATTAATTTTTTGAAGGGTTTTTTGTGTCTCCATTTCCTTCAGTTCTGCTCTGATTTTAGTTATTTCTTGCCTTCTGCTAGCTTTTGAATGTGTTTGCTCTTCCTTTTCTAGTTCTTTTCATTGTGATGTTAAGTGTCAATTTCGGATCTTTTCTGCTTTTTCTTGTGGGCATTTAGTGCTATAAATTTCCCTCTACACACTGCTTTGAATGTGTCCCAGAGATTCTGGTATGTTGTGTCTTTGTTCTCGTTATTTCAAAGAACATCTTTATTTCTGCCTTCATTTCGTTACGTACCCAGTAGTCATTCAGGAGCAGGTTGTTCAGTTTCCATGTAGTTGAGTGGTTTTGAGTGAGTTTCTTAATCCTGAGTTCTAGTTTGATTGCACTGTGGTCTGAGAGACCATCTGTTATAATTTTTGTTCTTTTACATTTGCTGAGGAGAGCTTTACTTCCAACTATGTGGTCAATTTTGGAATCGGTGTGGTGTGGTGCTGAAAAAAATGTATATTCTGTTGATTTGGGGTGGAGAGTTCTGTAGATGTCTATTAAGTCCACGTGGTGCAGAGCTGAGTTCAATTCCTGGGTATCCTTGTTAACTTTCCGTGTCATTGATCTGTCTAATGTTGACAGCGGGGTGTTAAAGTGTCCAATTATTATTGTGTGGGAGTCTAAGTCTCTTTGTAGGTCACTCAGGACTTGCTTTATGAATCTGGGTGCTCCTGTATTGGGTGCATATATATTTAGGATAGTTAGCTCTTCTTGTTGAATTGATCCCTTTACCATTATGTAATGGCCTTCTTTCTCTCTTTTGATCTTTGTTGGTTTAAAGTCTGTTTTATCAGAGACTAGGTTTGCAACCCCTGCCTTTTTTTGTTTTCCATTTGCTTGGTAGATCTTCCTCCATCCTTTTATTTTGAGCCTATGTGTGTCTCTGCAAGTGAGATGGGTTTCCTGAATACAGCACACTGATGGGTCTTGAGTCTTTATCCAATTTGCCAGTCTGTGTCTTTTAATTGGAGCGTTTAGTCCATTTACATTTAAAGTTAATATTGTTATGTGTGAATTTGATCCTGTCATTATGATGTTAGCTGGCTATTTTGCTCGTTAGTTGATGCAGTTTCTTCCTAGTCTCGATGGTCTTTACATTTTGGCATGATTTTGCAGCGGCTGGTACCGGTTGTTCATTTCCATGTTTAGTGCTCCCTTCAGGAGCTCTTTTAGGGCAGGCCTGGTGGTGACAACATCTCTCAGCATTTGCTTGTCTGTAAAGTATTTTATTTCTCCTTCACTTATGAAACTTAGTTTGGCTGGATATGAAATTCTGGGTTGAAAATTCTTTTCTTTAAGAATGTTGAATATTGGCCCCCACTCTCTTCTGGCTTGTAGAGTTTCTGCTGAGAGATCCGCTGTTAGTCTGATGGGCTTCCCTTTGTGGGTAACCCGACCCTTCTCTCTGGCTGCCCTTAACATTTTTTCCTTCATTTCAACTTTGGTGAATCTGACAATTATGTGTCTTGGAGTTGCTCTTCTTGAGGAGTATCTTTGTGGCGTTCTCTGTATTTCCTAAATCTGAATGTTGGCCTGCCTTGCTAGACTGGGGAAGTTCTCCTGGATAATGTCCTGCAGAGTGTTTTCCAACTTGGTTCCATTCTTCTCGTCACTTTCAGATACACCAATCAGACGTAGATTTGGTCTTTTCACATAGTCCCATATTTCTTGGAGGCTTTGTTCATTTCTTTTTATTCTTTTTTCTCTAAACTTCCCTTCTCGCTTCATTTCATTCATTTCATCTTCCATCACTGATACCCTTTCTTCCAGTTGATCGCATCGGCTCCTGAGGCTTCTGCATTCTTCACGTAGTTCTCGAGCCTTGGCTTTCAGCTCCATCAGCTCCTTTAAGCACTTCTCTGTATTGGTTATTCTAGTTATACATTCATCTAAATTTTTTTCAAAGTTTTTAACTTCTTTGCTTTTGGTTTGAATTTCCTCCTGTAGCTCGGAGTAGTTTGATCGTCTGAAGCCTTCTTCTCTCAACTCATCAAAGTCATTCTCTGTCCAGCTTTGTTCCATTGCTGGTGAGGAACTGTGTTCCTTTGGAGGAGGAGAGGTGCTCTGCTTTTTAGAGTTTCCAGTTTTTCTGCTCTGTTTTGTCCCCATCTTTGTGGTTTTATCTACTTTTGGTCTTTGATGATGGTGATGTACAGATGGGTTTTTGGTGTGGATGTCCTTTCTGTTTGTTAGTTTTCCTTCTAACAGACAGGACCCTCAGCTGCAGGTCTGTTGGAGTTTGCTAGAGGTCCACTCCAGACCCTGTTTGGCCTGGGTATCAGCAGCGGTGTCTGCAGAACCGCAGATTTTCATGAACGGCAAATGCTGCTGTCTGATCGTTCCTCTGGAAGTTTTGTCTCAGAGGAGTACCCGGCCCTGTGAAGTGTCAGTCTGCCCCTACTGGGGGGTGCCTCCCAGTTAGGCTGGTCGGGGGTCAGGGGTCAGGGACCCACTTGAGGAGGCAGTCTGCCTGTTCTCAGATCTCCAGCTGCGTGCTGGGAGAACCACTGCTCTCTTCAAAGCTGTCAGACAGGGACATTTAAGTCTGCAGAGATTACTGCTGTCTTTTTGTCTGTGCCCTGCCCCCCAGAGGTAGAGCCTAGAGAGGCAGGCAGGCCTCCTTGAGCTGTGGTGGGCTCCACCCAGTTCGAGCTTCCCACCTCCTTTGTTTACCTAAGCAAGTCTGGGCAATGGCGGGTGCCCGTCCCCCAGCCTTGCTGCCGCCTTGCAGTTTGACCTCAGACTGCTGTGCTAGCAATCAGCGAGACTCTGTGGGCGTAGGACCCTCTGAGCCAGGTGCAGGATATAATCTCCTGGTGCACCATTTTTTAAGCCTGTTGGAAAAGTGCAGTATTAGGGTGGGAGTGACCCAATTTTCCAGGTGCCGTCTGTCACCCCCTTCTTTGACTAGGAAAGGGAACTCCCTGACCCCTTGTGCTTTCCGAGTGAGGCAATGCCTCGCCCTGCTTTGGCTTGCACATGGTGCGCTGCACCCACTGTTCTGCGCCCACTGTCTGGCACTCCCTAGTGAGATGAACCCAGTACCTCAGATGGAAATGCAGAAATCACCAGTCTTCTGTGTCGCTCACGCTGGGAGCTGTAGACCAGAGCTATTCCTATTCGGCCAATTTGGCTGCCCTCTGAAAAGTTTTATTTTAATGAGAAGATTCAGACTTTTGTAATCAGAAAATCTATAAGGAACTCATTTATATTACACCATACATGTAAGCTATGTGTAATTTCAAAAAATAACGTTATATTTTGAGTTACATACATAAGCACCTGTGGAATGCCAAGGTCTTTTTATAGCTTTTAGTGTCTATTAGTGCTTTAGGTCTTAATATGGGCCTAGTTAAAATATAAGCACTCTTGAAAGATCACAACTTTCCATTAGTTTTCTATTGCTATGTAACAAATTACTACATATTTAGTGGTTTAAAACTGCCCACAGCTGGGCACGGTGGCTCATGCCTGTAATCCCAGCACTTTGGGAGGCCGAGGCGGGCAGATCATGAGGTCAGGAGATCGAGACCATCGTGGCTAACACAGTGAAACCCCATCTCTACTAAAAAAATTACAAAAAAATTAGCTGGGCTTGGTAGCGGGTGCCTGTAGTCCCAGCTACTAGGGAGGCTGAGGCAGGAGAATGGCGTGAACCTGGGAGGCAGAGCTTGCAGTGAGCCGACATCCCGCCACTGCACTCCAGCCTGGGCAACAGAGCAAGACTCTGTCTCAAAAAAATAAATAAATAAAATAAAATGAAATACAATAAAATAAAACAATGCTCATGTATTTGCTTTGTAATTTTTGGCAAGTCATTTCCATTTTTGGACTTCAGGTTTCCCCTCTGCAATGTGAAGTGGGAAATTGGTGAGTTGGAAGCATTTGCTAAGGGCCTTGTCAGTTTAGACATTCTGAAACTTGGTTCCAAGATAACAGAATTCTCTAATTTTACAAATTTTTGTCATTAATGACAAGGAAGTGTGACAAAAGGAATGAGAATGGCTCAAGAAAATGGAAACCTATGGAATAGCTACTGCTAATGGATCCCTTAGGGTTGCCTTGGTGTATGAAAAGAACTTTCAAATTGTAGTTTATGTCAGAGAAGAAGCAGGCCAGGAGTGGCCAAACTTGTGTCTCACAAGTTAATTCATTCAGGCACTCTTATCCTCAAGCATCAGGAAAAAAACTCCGTAACACACAAGTTTCAAAAATTAAAATAAAACCCAAGGCCAGGTGTGGTGGCTCATGCCAGTAATCCTAGCAATTTGGGAGGCCGAGGGAGGTGGATCACTTGAGGTCAGGTGTTCGAGACCAGCCTGGCCAACATGGTAAAACCCCATCTTTACTAAAATACAAAAATTAGCTGGGCGTGGTGGTGCATGTCTGTAATCCCAGGTTCTTGAGAGGCTGAGGCAGGAGAATCCCTTGAACCTGGGAGGTGGAGGTTGTAGTGAGCCAAGACCATGCCACTGTACTCCAGCCTGGGTGATAGAGTGAGACTCCATCTCAAAAACAAACAAAGAAACAAAAAAACAAAAAAAAACCACCCCAATAATAGCAAGGCTTCTTATATTTAGGAGCAGAGAGTGAGAAAGACAGTATTTCCTCCTGTCCTCCTTTAGACACAGTAGGATTGTACTTCTCCCCTCTGAAGATGGACATTCTATGTGATTTTTCTGTTCAGTGGAATGTGAGTGGAGGAGGGGCAGGTCACTTCTGGTTGGAAGTATTTGAGAGCTGGTCCTGGTGTGTGCTTCTCTTCCCTCCTGCAGTGACCATGCAAGTAGGTGTTGTCTGGAAGGTGCAAGAACTTAGGTTATACTTTGCACGACTGAGACATAAACCATTGTTATTTTAAAGCTTCTAAGACTTGGGGGATGTTTGTTACTGCAGCATAACCCAGCATATCCTGACTGATACAGCAAGAAACAGACCACACAGTTGACAAATAGCAGAGATTATGATCTAGAGAAATATCAGTTTTTGGAAGAGGAATTTAAAAAAAAACTCTGATAATCCAAATTCCCGGACAAACTATTCAGATTTTGTTTTTCTGCTCCCTCCCAGGCTTGAGAGAGTTGCTGAAATGTTAGAAAGCAAATAGCAGAGATCTGAAAGAGACGGAAAATCAGTTTGGATTCACAGATTGAATTGCCAACCTCTGGCCAACTGAGAGTTGCCAGTTTGCAAGCTTGATTTTCTTAGGATACACCTTTTACAATATCTTCTAAAATCTTCTCCTGATCTGCTTGTTTTAGTTCTGATGGGCTGCATGCAGTAAAGACATTGGAGTCCTGTCTTTAAACTAAATAATTTAGGATTTCTTTTTACGCTGTTGCTATGTTTGGGCCAATGTGTTTCACCTGCTTTCTTAAAAAACTTTTCCTGCTGCTTCTGACTCAGATCGATTTCCTGGAATATTCCTCTGAGCTAACTCTTTGTTCTCTCTCTTTCTTTCCTTCCTCAAGAGGAGGCTCTGTTACAAGTCAAACATCAATCCCCAAATCTAAAATTTAAGTCTTCCCCCTACTGAAATTGAGCCTACATTAGTTTTCTCAATACCTCCCATCCCATGAGATGGTCATTCTCAAATCCCAGAAGAGATAACATAAAGTTCAAAAGTAGGTATAAGTAAGCTTAGAAAAAAATAACCAACTTATTTGCTTGTTTATTTTTAAATCAGGTACTAAACAAACTCATTTTCTTTCCTTCTTCAAATTTGATTTTTAATCAGCAGTATACTCATGTGGTTCAAAATTAAAAAGATGTAAGTGAACATTTAGTAAAATGTCTCAGTCCCACCTCCTTCTCCCAGATTCCCAGTGCCTCTCTCCAATATGATTTATTATGTACTTTTAGGAATATATATTATGCATAAAGGATACATTTATATCTTTTATATAGCCCTTCTTTTCTCTCTTTTATACAGCTAGTATCATTCTATCCTTGTTGTTATGCTCCTTGTTGTTTTTGCTTAACAGTATATCTATCTTGTAGATCTTTCCACAGCAGTATATAAAGAGCTTCTTCAGCCCTTCAAATTCTGTTGAGTTCATTTAGTCAAATTTCATATTGATGGACATTTAGGTTGTTTTGAACTTTTGTTTTACAAACCCTGTTGCAGTAAATAATCTTTTTTCTAAGCCAGTTTGCATTTGTGTGAGTATATCTGTGGAAATAATTTCTGGAAGTAGAGTAGCTGGGCTGTTGTGTTAGCTTAATGGTGAATTTAAGGCATGAATGGGTGAGACTTCAGTGTCTATGCTCAAAAATATACATATTCTCCCAAACCGCACTGGTCAAGCCTAGCATATATATTTGTTCATAATTTCCAAGTGTTATCCTACCATACATCCACTAAATATTTATTTTGTGACTATTGTGTGCCAGGTGCTAAATAGGTGCTTGAGAGAAAGCAATAAAGAAAAGGTGTAAGAATGATGCATTACTAATGACTCATAAGGCAGGAGGGCAGTGTGATGATTAACTTTATGTGTCAACTTGGTCGGACTATGATGACCAATCGTTTAGTCAAACACTAGTCTAGATGTTGTATAAAGATATTTTTAAAGAAGTGATTCACATTCGCAATCAGCTGACTTTAGCAAAGCAGATTACCCATGACCATGAGATTGGGCCTCATCCAATCAGTTGAAGGCCCAAACAAAGACTAAAGTTTCCCAAAGAATAACAAGGAATTTTCCTTACCACTGTAATATAGTAACCCTGCTTGAGCCTCCAGCCTGCTGCCCTGCAGAATTTGTACTCAAGACATCAACTCTGACTTGAATTTCTAGCCTGCTGATCTGCCCTACAAATTTCAGGCTTGCCAGTGGCCACAACCCCTTGAGCCAATTCCTTAACATAAATAGTTCTCCCTGTATATATCCCATTGGCTCAGTTTCTTTGGAGAGCCCTGACTAATACAGGCAGGAATGATGACCTCCACCCAACAGATGAGCAAGCAGAGGCTGAGAGGGTCCATCCACATCCTCCTAGGAGCCCAGACTCTAAAACCAAAGCTCTTTCCGTTGCCTTGCCTTGCAATATTATTAAAACTCAAGATAGGATATTCACAGTGGTAATTCCATTACAGAATGTTAAGCATGTCTAATAAAGTGGCCAAGAGATGATTATAAATATTTCACTTTTTTACTTGATTTCTTATTGAAATGGAAAAGAAGCTAGTTCTTTATTTTATTTCATTTTATTTTAAGTTCTGGGATACATGTGGTGAACTTGCAGGTTTTTTACATAGGTATACATGTGTCATGGTGGTTTGTTGCACCTATCAACCCATCATCTAGGTTTTAAGTCTCGCATGCATTAGGTATTTGTCCTAATGCTCTCCCTCCTCTTTTCCCCACCCTCTGACAGGCCCCGGTGTGTGATGTTCCCCTCCCTGTGTCCATGTGTTCTCATTGTTCAACTCCCACTTATAAGTGAGAACATGCAATGTTTGGTTTTCTGATCCTGTGTTAGTTTGCTGAGGATGATGGTTTCCAGCTTCATTCATGTCCCTGCAAAGGACATGAATTTATTCTCTTTTATGACTGCATAGCATTCCTCACATAGTGTATATGTGAGGCTAGTTCCTTCTTATTACACAGTCACCATCTTGAACATACTTTCCCCATCACTCCTCTTTTTAATGTCCTTTTCTAGGGTAGCAGATGTCTCTTGAAAGCCTTTGTCTTCTCCTTTCACTTCCTTATCCCTAAAAACTATCACCTGAAGCTTGAAAATGTATTTTTTCTCTCTCTTCTCCCTTTTGTCCTGTTCAGAATCTCTATACTTGCAGACCTGAAGCTGACCTGGCTTGAAGGAATTCTTCCTTCTTAGAGGTCATAGTGAATAGTTACACATGATTCTTCATTGTTCTTGTTTTACAATAATATTTTCATTCCTATGAACTACAGTTATTGAGAATGCTTACACTAAACAAAAGTTTCTTAACTTTGAATCTTTTCACTGAGTTTCTTCAGTTCTATTTTGGGATTGAGCTTGGTGTGGATTAAAGTATTATATAATCGCCAGGGGTTGGGGGATCAGAAGATCTGCTCCTATTGGATTCATCACCTTGGAAAAATCACTGAACACAAAGATTATTTAGTTGCTTGACCTGTAAAATAAGCAGGGATTAATTTCTGAGGCTAATTACTGAGAAGGTGATCTCTGAAGTGTCTGGCTTTGAAATTTTGAATAATTCTTTCTAGGCCTTAGGTGGAGGAGAGTGCTTGGCACCATCTGTGTTGCCTGAACAAGTCAACACCACTAAAGAAAGTTCCTTTTTCTAACATGATTTTTCAGTGCAAATGCAGAATGTTTGGTCTTATATTGAGTCATGAAACATGTCAAGGATGGTTTATCATCAGTCTATAACAAGCATAAAAACATTTTAACAGTTTTAAGGGATATTTCATTCGTCCTGCACTTCTCGATTGTCATAGCTTCCTTTTCTTCCTTCTTTCTTTCCTTCTCCTTTTGTTTAATCTTTTCCATGGCAACTACAACTTGTGATTCCTAACATTGGCTGACTTTACTGTAACATGTTCCCACACTGCATAACTTTTCATGAACTATTATGAAATATTTCCGTAACGACACGAAATATTCATGTGTACATCAAGCTTCTACCTTGAGGTAACTTTTGTGTTTCAGTGTCTCCACGGACTTTTTATTTTGGTGACAGATGTGTTGAGATAAAATTTACATATCTCACAATTCACCCATCTGAAGGATATAATACAATGGCTGTTAGTATATTCCCAGAGCTTTTAACTATCACCACAATCAATTCTAGAATATTTTCGTCTCCCCCAAAAAGCCTCTATGCCCCTTAGCAGTCACTCTCCTTTCCTCATTCCCCAACCCCAAGCAACCACTGATCTACCATCCATGTCTGGATTTGCCTACACTGGACCTTTCATAGAAATGAAATCTTACCATATATGTTTCTTTGTCACTGGCTTCTTTCACTTAGCATGTTATTAATGTTCATCCATGTTGTAATACTCATCAGTATTTCATTCCCACTTATGGCCAAATAATACTCTATTTTATGGATATAGCATATTTTGTTTTTCCTTTGATGGACCATAGCTTTCTTCCCCCCACCCCTATCTTCCCAAACTTAGTCTGAGAATTCTGCTAAGAAATGTCAACCTTTCAAAAGCCATCAGACCCGAAACCCACAGCTGTTTCCTTTACCAGAATCTGCCTTATCCGTAGGTTGGAAGAGCACCCCCAAGCTGTTTGTGTGAAGAATACATACAAGCCAGTTGACCCTTTGTTAAGAACAGGAGACTTCTCAGGTGGCACAGGCTGGAATTGGCTTTATCACATACTCTCAAGCAACACTTAGCCTCTTTAAGCCTCGGTGTTGTCATCTTCAAAATGGGAATTATACTGGTACCTTTCTATGGCAGAGACTGCTGGTCAGCCCTACTTACCGCTCTCACTTACAAAGTTGATAGAACCCCATTTTTTGACTAGGCATATGGCTGTCCAGGATGGAGACTGCATTTCTTAGCCCCTCTTTTAGTTAGGTATGGGGCCATGTCAATACCTTCTGGCCGATGATCTGTGAGCAAAAGCATCATTTAGCAGCTCATAAGATCCTTCTTTAAAAAGCATCTTGAACTTGCCCTTTTTTTCTTTTTGACTTTGTCTCTTCCTCTCTCCTCTGTGGAAGCTGATACTGTAATCTCAGATTATGAAATCAAGGTCAAGAATACAATAGCTATGAAATAGAATCTGATCCCTGAAGTGGAGGCTATAAGTCACAGAACCTTAGCTTGTGACATAGGATTAGTTGAAGTGGCAGGCAGTAGGTGTGAAGATACAGATATTGCAGGTTAACAAAAAGGAACCTGATTATGTCCTTTGTGGGGACATGGATGGAGCTGGAGGCCATTATCTTTAGTAAACTAACACAGGAATAGAAAACCAATTACTGCACGTTCTCACACGTAAGTGGGAGCTATAAGTTGGCACAAAAGCAATTGTGGTTTTTGCTATTAAAAGTAATGGCAAAAAACCTCAATTACTTTTGTATCAACCTAAATAAATGATGAGAACACATGGACACATAAAAGGGAACAACACAAACCGGGGCCTATCTGAGGATAGAGGGTGGGAAGAGGGAGAGGATTAGGAGCAGTAACTAATGGGTACTAGACTTAGTATCTTGCCAATGAAATAATCTCTGCAACAAACTCCTGCGACACACATTTACCCATGGAACAAACCTGCACGTGTACCTCTGAACTTAAAATAAAAGTTAAAAAAACACAGATATTGCAGGCCGGCCAGCTGCTGAACCTTGCTAGGTGGTGGCAAAACTTTTGATAAAAACTGTTCCTTGAGTGTGTGGGGAGCAGACCAGGACAGATTGGGTCTACAGCATTAGGAAACTGGTGGGAAAATTTTGGCATGCAGTGCTCGTCGGCTGGTTCTTGACACTTGACGTAACAGAGATGATCTCTGGCCAGAGTTGGTGGTGTCTGAAAATCTAAGTCAACTGAGAGTCCGATAACCGGGGGCCTGGCAGAGTGGAAAGCACTCATTCCATTTGCACTGCAAACTGAAGCAGTGGCTCACGACTGAGGGGGCAGCTTGACCAGGAGATAAGTTTATGGCTGCAGGCTTTTCTTAAGCATCTTCTATTGAGAGTTGACTGGCAAACACCACCATCGGCAAAGTAAAAAGGCAAAAGACAGCTGGGCGCTGTGGCTCACACCTGTAATCCCAGGACTTTGGGAGGCTGAGGCAGGTGGGTCACGAGGTCAGGAAATCGAGACCATCCTGGCTAACACGGCAAAACTCTGTGTCTACTAAAAATACAAAAAATTAGCTGGGCGTGGTGGCAGGAGCCTGTATTCCCAGCTACTTGGGAGGCTGAGGCAGAAGAAATGCTTGAACCTGGGAGGCGGAGGTTGCTGTGAGCCGAGATCATGCCACTGCACTCCAGCCTAGGTGACAGAGCGAGACTCCGTCTCAAAAAAAAAAAAAAAAAAAAAAGACAAAAGGCAGCACAGATGAGATTGGGTGCTGCCTTCCCTCTACAAGCCTGTAGTTCAGATGGTCTCATGGTGGCCAGTATGAAGATGAAAGAGAAGGGTATGGCATGCAGGAGCTGGTGAGTAACAGACCAGAGTGGGGTTGGCAACCCGGGCAAATCTACTGAACAAATCTAGCTTGCCACTTGTTTTTGTGTGACCCTGAGTTAAAAAATGATGAAAAAAAATTTGTGGACATTTGTTTTCTCTCTTATTACATAAGTACCTACATAATATCCTTGATTTTGCCTTTTGGCCCAGAAAGCCTAAAATATTTACTATTTGGCCCTTTACAGGAAGCATTTGCCAAACTCCAGACTAGGGTCTTAGGCGTAAATATTAGGTCTAGATAGGATCTTGCACACAGAGTGACTGACTGCAGGCAAATACATAGGTAAGAAGTTTGAGGGAATTTTATTGCTATAAGCAACCACTATCTTCCCTGCAAAAGCCTGTAATTGTTCCATCCTTCCAGCAATGCCCCTGATCCCCAACCTGTATGAGCAGAAAGTAGGCTATGCAAGCTGGCAGCCTCCAAGGACAGCACACTCTCCAAGGCCTTCCCCACTCTTCCAGCATGACACACACGGTGCCAGATGGGCCACCAAGCAACTTACTCCACAGCCTAGGAGGGGCCTTCTCAATCCTTGCCCTGTGGGATTTGAGAAACTACAATGGCCAGTGACTGCCATGTGCTTCCTGAGCCTCTCTGTTACTGACAGTAGTCTTATTTGCTGTTATTGAGTGTTACTCCATCATTGCACATTGAGTTTATGCATGTGTGTCCTTTAGTTGATAGGCCACTGAGCTATGGGCAGCCACATGTGTTCCTGATGGAAGGGACTGAGTATCTCCCAGAGATCCTGGACACGAGGAGACATGCTGTGAGTGGATGTCTGGAAGCCAGTCCTGAGAGAGAAGACTCTAAATCCAGAATTTCTTCAGGCATTTCAAACATTTCTATGTTGTGTGCATTATATAAACAACACCTATATAACTTGTCTTAAGAAAATAAAAGCAACAAGATTAACTGATCCCTTGGAGTGCATATTGGGCCATGGGCAATGTTCACGGGCTCCCTTCAAACTCTAGAAACACAGAGGATACAACTTTTACATTTTAACACACAAACCTCAGGGGCTCCATCTCAATCTATAATCACTCTTGGGAAAGGGGTGAATTTGGTCACACTGTTTTGTGCTTCTAAAGTTTTAGATTTTTTTCATTTTTCTCATGCAATATTTTAAGATAAAATATCTTTACTCTTACTTTTTCTCCTTTGAGGGACAGGTAATTCTCATTAATTAATTACACAATCATTAGAATTATATTTTAGTAAGTTTAGATATTAGAAAAATAGTACCATCAATATGGCATTATTGATAATACCACCAATAATAACCAAAAATAATACCATCACATTGGTTCTTACATGACCTAACATCATTGTTAGTAACATCAATGTTACTAACGTCACTGTTAGGTCCTGTAAGAACCACTGTGATTACTCAAGTCCTTTTTAATATTGATTTTTAATGGCTACAATCATAATATACACAACATTTTATGTATTTTTAAACTAAATATTATGAAAAATAAGCTATGTTTTTACATAGTCTTTTAAATTGAGTGTTTGAATGGCTGTACCTTGTTCTCTGCAGTAGAGATCTGTGCTCTAGGCATCTATTGCCATGCAACAAGCCACTCAGAACTTAGCAATTTAAAGCCACAACAATCATTGTATTATCTCTCCTGGTTTGTGTGTGTCAGAGGGTTAGGAAGAACTTGGCTGGATGGTTTGAGCTCACAGAGTTGCTGTCACAACTCTGGCTGGACCTGGGCAGCTGGGGGCTGGGGGTGCCTCCTCTCTTTTTATGTAATCTTAGAGCATCTCAGTGTGGACTTCCACATGGGCCAGTTTGGGCTTCCTCACAACATGGCAGCCTCAGGATGCTGGGACATCTTATGTGATGGCTCAGGGCTCCAGCACAAATATTCTAGCAAGCCAGGCAGATGGTGCATTGTCTTCTGTGACTTTCACATAGCACCCCTTTGGCTGTACCCCACTGGCTAACTAGCAATCAAGGTCAGCCTTGACAAAGGGAGGGGATATGTCTCAGTGGTAGAAGGAAGGAAGAGTTTGCAGATATTTTAAAATTGCCACAGTTCCATAACTAGTTTAGGTGTTCTTTTTTCATTGGACATTTTTTTACTTGTTTTCTGCTATTAAAAAGAATGTGACAAACATCTTCATGTATATAGCTTTTCCCATATTTTGTATGAAAGTAGAATTATTAAATCAAATGATATAATCTTTCATATGGTTCCTGAAATATATTGCTACATAATTTTCCAAAAGGATTATGTCAATTTATAATGCTATATGCAATGTAGATGACAATATTTTTGATACACAATTACTGGCAATATAAATTACCATTAGACTTTTATTTTGTTAATTTAATATGTACAACGTGTACCTTAATGTTTTTTTAATTTGCATATTTTTATAATTGACAATGTTTTCTTTTGTGTTTGTAAATTTATTTTCTTATTGTCTTCTGCTTTATTTATTCGGGTCTTAGCATTCATTGCAAGTTGCATTAACTTTTTTTTCACCAAGAATTCTGAAGACAATCAAAGCATTAACTTTTATGCCTCAAAAATATCAATCACTTCTATACTGTATTTGTCAAGTGTATTTTTTCTTTTGTTAATAATTTTCCTTTTAGTGTGGGTATTTTAATTTTTCTATCAAATCTGTTCATTGTTCTAATTTATTTTATCACATATATAGTACTTAGAAAGTCTTTTATCCTCCAAACTTTCCAGATGTACTAAACTGTCAATTATGAGCATCTATATTTGTATTTTCGTGATTGTAGCTTTACATTGAACTTCTTAATTCATGTAAAATTTATTTATTATATTAATTGTGTCTAAAGTCATTCTTCCCCTATTGCTAATCAGCAAAACCAATATTATTGAGTATTTCTACCTTTATGTTTATTGATTTATGTCTTTTTATATGTATTATGTTAAATTCTTATTTTCTAATATAATCTAATTCTGGACTGTATATTCTATATAAATTAGTCTTTAAGTTGTTTTTTTTTTTTACTATGCTTACCTGTTTTTTTTTCTCTTAGGTGAACTTTAGAATTAATATGTACTAAGTTTGAAGAAAAAATTTGAGAATATGATTGATATTGCCTTAAAGCTTGAAATTCATCTTGGGAGGACTTTGCAAAATTTAGTTTGCAAATACAGATGCATTGTGTATCTCCTCAATTATTAAGCTTGTAAAGAATGCTTTAATTTATAGTACTCTCTACCTGTGTCTACATGCTTGATTTAAAAACCAAGGTTTCTTCACTTCTTAAGGGCTACCTGTAATAGACAGATACTGGACCGGGCTTATGCGTGATAGTCTTTTGATTGATGTTCATGCAGTCAGGTTTCTCTTGAGTAATCCTTTCTTTCAGTTCTTTCTTTATTACTTCCTTCCTTTCTTTTTTTTTTTTTTTGCATTTTATTCAAAACACCTACATAATTTTTGTTTTAAAGTTTTTTTGTTACACCTGATGTTCAGAAGCCAAACAACAGTTAGAGTTGATGGGGCTGGGGAAGGAGGGTTTGCAGATTTCATTCTTAAGAAAGAAGAGAAGGCCAGGAGCGGTGGCTTACACCTGTAATCCCAGCACTTTGGGAGGCCAAAATGGGAGGATTGCTTGCATCCAGGAGTTCGAGACCACCCTGGGCAACAAAGCGAGACCCATATCTCTACAGAAAAATAAAAATAAAAATAAAAAAATTAGCTGGGCATGGTGGTGCACGACTGTAGTCCCAGCTACTCAGGAGGCTGAGATGGGAGGATTGCTTGAGCCTGGGAGATTGAGGCTGCTGTGAGCCGTGATTGTACCACTGCACTCACCCTGGGTGACAGAGCGAGATCCTGTCTTAAACAACAAACAAACAAACAAATAAACAAAAGAAAAAGGAAGTGAGGGAGCAGAGCTGGTAGAAGCTGAAATAGCGACAATTTTCTGAGATTATACTCATGGGGTTCAAGATGCATGTGCAATCCATGTCTCTGCTGGGGCCAACACAGTATGTCATAGAAAACGACCACAACAGACATGCCCCATCTGGAAATTCTTGACAAGCTTGGAAGCCTGGGCCCTTTCCTGCTGCCATCCAAACAGTGAGAAGGCATTGATGCCATCTGTTGGGCAGAGGGGCCCGTAGGCTGCCCACATCATGGGATGTCAGGGCACCAGGAAGGGGCCACTTCCTAGCCTGTCAAATTATTCCCCTTCTCCCTACTAGATCACATCTGAAATTTTTTTGAGGAGAACCTAAATATTTTACTCCATAGTCAGAAATGAGGGGCAAAATGTCTGGGAGAGAGGACCCTTAGATTGAAGTGTAGATAGTGAATAGCACATCCTCTTCTATCTCTGCAAGCAGGTGGGCATTCGGAGTGTGAGGACGGATCGGGTAAGTCAGGGTTATGATGACAGGCAAAGGGGAACAGAGCGAAACACAGGGAGGACATACATCCATCACTCCAGATACACATTTGCTCTCACTGGCTGGGTTTGTGGAACTGGGGCATCTGGAAAGATGTGTGGGCAGTCATGAAGGCATGCAATGGCTGATGGTCCGGCTGCATAAGCCCGTGTTCATTTTAAATGTCCGGATCTCTGAAAGGCAGACACATAACAGTCACGCCTCTCCTCCAGCAGGATGACCCCACGGTGGAGCCATTTGAATTGACAATCAGTTCCAGTAAGCACTGAGAGGGCTAGAAGCCTTATCCAGGAAAAGAGAGAGAGAGAGAGAGAAAAAAAAAGAGAGCCAGGAAAAAGGGACCAAAGTGGGAGGGAGGAAGAAAGGGGAGCATAAAAGTCTCAGAAGTTGCCAAACCAGCCATCATCGTTACTGTGCACTGAGGAAATGGGATTCACACTCCATGTCACCACCAAAGTCACCTCTGCTGAGTGTCACACTGAAGTCCGCGCTCCAGTGAAGGCCAGCCGAAGCCGATTCTTGTTTCAGGCAAAACCTCCCATTTAACGCTGAGGGAGCACATATATCACACACTATTAAAACTGCCAGTTTCCATCCCTTTCACACCATTAGTAGAATATATATATATCATTAAAGGAAGTGAGTTACAATATAAAAATATGGTAATTCAGACTGGCAGGTCACAACTGACAGCACATTCAGGAGGCTGCTTTCCCGAGCTGTCTCTAGAGACCCTATATTTAGCAAAAAGATGTTTCCCAGAAAAGTTTTCATAAATATTCTCCATGGGGGAAAATGTATATTTATCACTTCATATAAAAAGAAATCTAAAACAAATGTTTTAGTAGCTGACTTCTCAGAAATTGGATGGATATTTTTAATCCATAGCTGGGAGAATTTTTCTTATAAACTTGATAAGAGTCAAGAACTGCTGTAGCCTGGGTACCCACAGTGTTATTAGTGGAATTATCCTTATTTTTCCCCCTTCTTTGTCCTCTCTGCAGCCATACTGAATACCCCATGTTCTGATTCTGGTGTTGGAGAGTGCATTAATCATGTTTTTAATTCCATGTATTTTATGATGCTTTGATATCTTGGGGCTTTGCTGACTGGGGAGAGACTGCCCTCCTGGGGCTAGCTAATTCCTAGAGATAGCAAATGACTCCCCTGTGAGCACAACTTCCATATGCAAACCAATGAATCCAAAGCCCATATTCCCCAAACACCTACTTTATGAGGCAACTTTCCCTCTGACCTAATCAGCCCGGGGCCAGGTACAACTCAGACAACTCAAGACAGCCCTTAGGCCCCAGAGCCCGCTGAAACGATGCAAACTAGCCAGTCCTAAACCTGCAGAGCCTGGATACCCTGCCTTGCCCATTCCCTCCCTCAAAAACCTAAGTCTCTCACCCACACTTTCTGCTTGTCCCCTCCAGCCTCCGGACTGACCTAGGGCATCCCCTGCTGCCCCCAACCCCCATGGTGTGGCATGCCCCTTCTCTTAGGAACTGTGAGTAATAAGCTATCTTTTCCATTACAATCATCTCCTAATCTGTTTGCCTCACTAGAATGGAATAATGATAAAGCCGTTGTTTCAAAACAGAGAGGTGGAAAAAGATTTCACCAATCTGCTCTCCAATGGCTCACAGTATTGGATTGAAGGATTATCCCTTAAACTGCATATAAATAATCCCAGCTTGCCACTGCTGTGTCATATTTGGTCTCAGTTAAAATGAGACTTTTATGGCTCAGTGGGTCATCCTGCCTACTGTCTGAGGAGAAACATACATTGATGAAAAGCTTCAGAATCCAGCTGCTCCAGGAGAGAAGCATAAGGAAAATGAAATCCAAAAGGCTGACGTTAGATAAGGCAGGCCAGGCACTACGGGAAATTCAGTGAGAAGAGAAGACTACACAGAAAGAGGCAGATTGGGGGAAAAAAGAGTAGCACTTGCTGCAGGTGGAATAAGGTGGAGCAAATATGATTCAGCAGATTCCTTTTAGGCAGAGCACGGGGTTCTGATGAATGCCTTGCAAATGAGCTGGGCCATAGGTTCGTTCCCAAGTGTGGCAGGCCAGGTCTCACTAATGCAGGCCTCCATAACAACTGTTTTAGTACTCACTGAGCAGGTAAGTGAAATATTAAAAGTTAAAAGAGCTAGTGCCCTTATACAAAGGCTGGAATATAACAAAAGCTCGCCAAGAGTTTTGCCCAGATCTTTCCTGGGCCTTAAACCATGAAAAGATAATGAAGGAATTCTTAACGGGACTATTTAGGATTAAACAAGTTTTATTTGGGGGTCTGAAGAAACTCCCCAGGCCTCCACAAACAAGTTTATTGGGGGTCTGAAGGAACTCCTTAAACCTGCAGGTTAAGGGTAATCACCTAGCACCTGGACCCATTTAGATTAAGTAAATTTACTGAGGCTCCAGGGGAAGGTCTTCAAGACTCAGACCTTAGCTATTGTAGATTAAAAGAAGCTATCACTTATGTCTTTAGAGGAATGCATGCTTACATTTAGACATGTAGCTTAGAAGGTATATAAGCTCTGGAAAACTTGGTAATTTTGAGTTGGTCTGGCGATATTTTCTGAGCCTTCTCCTGGTAACTGGTTACAGAAATAAAAAAAGCTCTCTTCCTCCCTAGTTCATCTACATCTCGTTATCAGGCTGCAAGAAATAGCAGCCCGACCCTCAGTTTGGTCTGGGAGCACAGGGACACAGGTAAAAAATGCTGAAGTGGCTATGTTAGGATGTCACGGTTTTTAGGGTAAGCATACATGGAGAATGGGCTTCACTTCCTTAGTGTGAGTGCCCCATGGGGTACATTTAGGGGCTATGTGAGCCTCTCTTCCAGGAGGCACTGACAGAGGAGTCATCCCCTAGAACCTGGAGGCATTTGCCTGGAGCAGCATACGCTGGAAGGGAGGTATTTTGAAGCTGGTTCCAAGCAGAGCTGAGAGATTGTGCAAAGGCAAGAGAGAAAGGGAAGGGGAAGGGTTTACACAAGGCAATTATATGTACAGATTTTAATTAAATTTTTAAAAATTGTGGTAAACATATAACATCAAATTTACCATCTTTACCATTTTAAGTGCACAGTTCAGTAGTGTTCAGTATATTCATGCTGTTGTTACAACAGATCTCTAGAACCTTTTCATCTAGCAAAACTGAAACTCTGTACTCATTGAAAAACATTCTCCTTTGCTCAACCCTCCAGCCCCTGGGAACATTATTCTGCCTTTAGTGTTTACAGGTTTTACTGCTCTAGTTACCTCATATAAGTGGAATCACACAGTTGTCTTTTTGTAACTGGCTTATTTCACTTAACATAATGTCCAACTTGTAACGTGACAGCATTTCCTTTCTTTTTAAGGCTGAATAACATTCCTTTGTATGTGGACACTAAATTTCCTTTATTCATCCATAAATGGACACTTGAATTGCTTCCACCTCTTGGCTATTGTGAATAGTGCTGCAGTGAATGTGGGTGTGCAAATATCTCTTTCAGACCCTGCTTCCTATTCTTTTGGATAAATACCCAGAAGTAGGATTGCCAGATCATATGGCAGATTTTCATTTTAAAGATCATTCTAGTGACTGGGTATAAAATAAATGGGATGGGACAAACATTGGAGGTAGGGAGACTTGATTGAAGAGTTTAGGCAAAAAATAACAGCTTCTTTTTTATTGTTTTTATTTTTTATTTTTTTACTTCAATAGGTTTTTGGGGAACAGATGGGGTTTGGTTACATGAATAAGTTCTTTAGTGGTGATTTCTGAGATTTTGGTGCACCCATCACCCAAACAGTACACTGTATCTAGTGTATAGTCTTTTATCCCTCACCCCCCTCCCACCCTTTCTCCTGAGTCCCCAAAGTCCATTGTATCATTCTTATGCCTTTGCATCCTCATAGCTTAGCTCCCACTCACGAGTGAGAACATATGATGTTTGGTTTTCCATTCCTGAGTTACTTCACTTGGAATAATGGTCTCCAATTCCATCCAGATTGCTGCAAACGCCATTACTTTGTTCCTTTTTATGGCTGAATAGTAGTCCATGGGATATATATATATACCACATTTTCTTTATCCACTCTTTGTTTGATGGGCATTTGGGCTGGTTTCATATTTTTGCAATTGTGAATTGTTCTGCTATAAACATACATGTGCAAGTATCTTTTTTGTGTAATGACTTCTTTTCCCCTGGATAGATACCCAGGAGTGGGATTGCTGGATCAAATGGTAGATCTATTTTTAGTTCTTTTTATTGTTGTTGCCCAGGCTGGAGTGCAGTGGTGCAGTCTCAGCTCACTGTAACCTCTGCTTCCCAGGTTCAAGTGATTCTCCTGCCTCAACCTTCCCAGTAGCTGGGACTACGGGCATGGGCCACCACGCCTGGCTAATTTTTGTATTTTTAGTAGAGATAGGGTTTCACCATGTTGGCTAGGCTGGTCTTGAACTCCTGACCTCAAGTGATTTGCCCACCTTGGCCCCCCAAAGTGCTGGGATTACAGGCATAAGCCACCACACCTGGGCTACTTTTAGTTCTTTAAGGAATCTCCACAGTATTTTCCATAGTGGTTGTACTAGTTTACATTCCCATCAACAGTGTAAAAGTGTTCCCTTTTCACCTCATCCACACCAACATCTATTTTCGTTTTTATTTTTTTGATTATGGCCATTCTTGTAGGAGTAAGGTGGTATCACATCATGGTTTTGATTTGCATTTCCCTGATCATTAGTGATGTTGAGCATTTTTTCATATGTTTGATGGCCATTTGTATATCTTCTTTTGAGAATTGTCTATTCGTGTCCTTAGCCCACTTTTTGATGGGATTGTTTGTCTGTGTTCCTTGGATATTAGTTCTTGGATATTCGTCCTTTGTCGGATGTATAGATTGGATGTATAGATTGAGAAGATTTTTCTCCCACTCTGAGTAAACAAAGGGTTGTCTGTTTTCTCTGCTGATTATTTCGTTGTGCAGAAGCTTTTTAGTTTAAGTCCATCTACTTATCTTTGTTTTTTTGTTTGTTTTGTTTTGTTGCATTTGCTTTTGGGTTCTTGGTCATAAAGTCTTTGCCTAAGCCAATGTCTAGAAGGGTTTTTCCAATGTTATCGTCTAGAATTTTTATGGTTTCAGGTCTTAGGTTTAAATCTTTCATCCATCTTGAGTTGATTTTTCTATATGGTGAGAGATGAGGATCCAGTTTCATTCTTCTACATGTGGCTTGCCAATTATCCCAGCACCATTTGTTGAATAGGGTCTCCTTTTTCTACTTTATGTTTTTGTTTGCTTTGTTGGAGATCTGTTGACTGTAAGTATTTGGTTTTATTTCTGGCTTCTCTATTCTGTTCCATTGGTCTATATGCCTGTTTTTATACCAGTACCATGCTGTTTTGCTGACTATGGCCTTATAGTATAGTTTGAAGTTGGGTAATGTAATGCCTCCAGATTTGTTCTTTTTGCTTAGTCTTGCTTTGGCTATGTAGGCTCTTTTTTTTGGTTCCATATGAATTTTAGGATTTTTTTCTAGTTCTGTGAAGAATGATGGTGGTATTTTGATGGAAATTGCATTGAATTTCTAGATTGCTTTTAGCAGTATGGTCATTTTCACAATATTGATTCTACCCATCCATGAGCATGGGATGTGTTTCCATTTGTTTGTGTCATCTATGGTTTCTTTCAGCAATGTTTTTGTAGTTTTCCTTGTAAAAGCTTTCATGTTTTTTGTTAAATATATTCCTAAGTATTTTATTTTATTTTTTTTGCAGCTATTGTAAAAGGGGTTAAGTTCTTGATTTGATTCTCAACTTAGTTGCTGTTGGTGTATAGCAGTGCTACTGATTTGTGTACATTGATTTAGTATCCTGAAACTTTACTGAACTCATTTATCAGTTCTACAAACTTTTTGAATGACTCTTTAGGATTTTCTAGGCATATGATCATGTCATCACCAAATAGAGACAGTTTGACTTTCTCTTTACCAATTTGGATGCCCTTTATTTCTCTTGTCTGATTGCTCTGCCTAGAACTTCCAGTACTATGCTGAATAGAAAGGAAATAATAGCTTCTTAAGCTAAGGTAGGAAAGGTAGAAAGAGAGGAGTGAATGGATCGCCGGTAGAAAGATCCTGATTGTGCTGCCTCGTGGGTGAGTCAATAGTGGGGTTCAGGTTTCTGGTTTGGGTAGCTGGCTGGATCACCGAGTCTGTCACTGTGGTAAAAGCACAGGAGGAAGAGGTGGATTGGATGCTAACTGTGTTTTGGAAGGAGACTCAGGCAGCAGTGGGGGAAAGCCTGGAGATGTGGAGGCCAGCTTTGCAGTCCCAAAGAGTGTCTGGGCCTTGGTGGCAGCAGCAGAAATGGAGAGGAGAGCCCAGACCTGTGCCTGGTGACCTGTTGACTGAGGGGCCTTACAGGAGAGATATAATTTTGACAAGATTTCGAACAGATGGTTGGTGATAGGAGACTAAGCTGCCTAAAATATTTATAACAAAATTTTTATACTTTTAGATAATTTGGTTTTAAGATATCTGTGAAATATATACAGATATCTAGTTGAGAATAATAGAATACTAGTTTAGTACTTTTTTATACTTAAATAGTGTTTTAGTACTTAATTATAAGTTTTAATTAAAGCTTAGCGCAGGGGTCAGGGCTAAAGATACGGATTTAGAAATCAGTCATCAACATGTAGGTGAGAAATGAGGTCACAGGATAAGTACAACTCTTTTTGAGGCAGCATCTTTCTCCGTTGCCCAGGCTAGAGTGCAGTGGTGCAATCATAGCTTGCTGTAACCTCCAACTCCTGGGCTCAAGTAATTCTTCTGCCTTAGCTTCTTGAGTAGCTGGGACTACAGGTGCATACCACCATGTCCAGCAAATTGTTTTATTTTTATTTTTGTAGAGATGGGGTCTCACTATGTTGTTGAGGCTGGTCTTGAATTGCTGGCCTCAAGTGATCCTCCCACCTTGGTTTCCCAAAGTGCTGGAATTACAGGCATGAGCCACTATGCCCAGCCTGATAAGTGAAATTTAAACTTAGGAAGGCAGAATGGAGGGTTAAGGGTAAAGCTTGGTAGAACACCAAAGTTAGGAGCAAGTAAAGAAAAAAGAGCCAGAAAGGAGAATGGAAAGGGCCAGAAATGAAATAAAGGAGAGAGAGATGCTAGAGAATCAAAGGAAGGAAAACAAAAATACGGCAAATAAGACTTTTGGGGTTGTGGCCAATTCTGGGCTAAGAGTGTGTGAATAGAGCTGACATACAGGGAGTGCTGTCCTATCCCTACCTTGAACCATTTAATTAGCCTGTAAACACAAAGTTTTCCCAAGTTGATGATGTCATATTTCTGTTTCTCTGTATAGACTAGTGGTTCTCAATCGGGGGGAAGTGTGATTTTGTCCCCCTGGATGATACATTTTTGGTTTTCACAGTTTGGACAGTGGTGCTATTGGCATGTAGTGGGTAGAGGCCAAGAATGCTTCTGAACACCCTATCATGCGGGGGATAGCCCCCAAACAAAGAACCATCCAGCTTAGCGTATCAAGTGACAAAGCTGAGAAACCCTGTTCTAGACTTTGTTGGATACACTCGTTCCACACATCTTTTTAAGGCTTCAGGCATTGTGTTTACAGTGAGAACTGTCTGCCACCACATGGCATCTAGCTCTTTCTAGTCTGTGGTCCATCCACGGGGCCTTTTTTGAAAGTGAATATTTGAAAGATTCTAGCTACCAGTCCACCTTTTCAACCAACTCGATCTGTACATTAGTACAGTAATTTTAGAAATACTTTTTAATACACGCCATAACAGTATTAAGGAAAATTTATTCAAAGAATGTAACATCTGAACTCAGCAAGGTTGCTCTTTATATAGTAATCCCCCTCCCAACTGCTGCTGTAAGTGCACTCACTGTAGAGTCTAGGAGTGAAAATGAGTCTTCCTTGAACTCTCAGTATTCTTTGAAGCTTCAGTCCTGCTGATAGTCCCAGGCCTGTTGGTTACAGAGCCCTACGTTCTCTTTAGCTTAGCTTATTACACTAGAGGGTTTTTCTTTCTTTCTTTTTGAAAGCACTAGCTAATGACTCCATTTCCTAGAAACCAAATGGTATTAATTCCTACTGCTGGGTGGCCAAGCTTCCTGATTTTCCTACCTATTCCTGTGGGGCCTGTCCCCAGGACTCATTTCTGCTCCATCAGTGGCATGGAAGGGGTGCAGCAATGGGGGATGCTGTGTGTTCACACCATCTCTTGCCCATATGTTCATCTCCCAACTCTCAGAGCTTGAGGCTGGAGAGTCTGCGTGGGGCCTCTACAGCTGGGGTAGAGCCTGCTCTGCCACCTGTCTAGTGGATAAGACGTGGGCAAGTGACTCAGTATTGTTTTTTATGCTAATTTCCTCATGTAAGATGAGAATAACAGTACCTCTTGCAAAAGCTGTTTTTGGTAAATACATGTGAAGTGCTCAGAGCAGAGCCTTGCATGTTGCAAGTCCTCAAAATAATGGTAGTGACATTAGTTATTAGATACCGTTTTAGTTTCTTAGGGCTGCTTAAAAGTGCACTACAAGTTGGGAGGCTTAAAATAATAGAAATTTATTTTCTCATAGTTCTGGAGGCTAGAAGGTCAACATCAAGGTGATGGTGGGGACACGCTCCCTCTGAGAGCTCTAGGGAAGAATCCTTCCTGACTTCCTAGCTCTGCTGGTGGCTGGCAATCCTTGGCATTCTTTGGCTGGTAGCTGCATCCCTCCAACTTTTACATCTGTCTTCCTGTGGCTTTCTCACCTGTGTGTATCTGCGTAGCTCCATGATCCCCCTGCCCTTGTAAGGACCCCAGCTATTTAGCCTGAGGGCCTATCCCTTGTCCAGTGTAACCTCATCTTAACTAATTATATCTGAAAAGACCATATTTCTGAGTAGGTCATATTCTGAGGTTCTGGATGGACATGAATTTCAGGGGACATTATTCAACCCCCTATAGCACTATTAAGGTTAATCAACAAATTCATATTGGTTTAGCAATTGCTTCTGTTAAGAAAAACCTACTGAGATGTTTAAATTTTTTAGACACACTTTAAAAGCTGGTTCTTTGAAACACTCTGTCTGTGATAGCCTGCACACCATTCTGTAGAGATAATTTACAAAAAATCAAAAACAGTGTTTGATTCAGACTTTGTCTCGCATGAGAGCTGGCAAGGAGAGGTGGAGTGGGCAGAGGAGGCTTCCAATTCAGCCCACCACCTGTCTACTGACAAGGTGACAGACCTCCATGCAATCAGTTCAGGCCACAGCAGCTTCTGTAATGGAAGGAGTCACCTTTTTGGCTTATGCTAAACAGAGCTGGGCCTTTGCGTTCAGAACACTGAGCCCCACGGTGCCCCAGTGCGGCATCTGAAAGCATGTAGTAAGACAATGGTGCCTGCCAATACTCTATTTATGAGCAGAAAAGCCACACATAGATCTCGTTAGGCCGGGTGTTCCCTCCCCCAGGTTTCCCACGTGGGAGAGACTGCCAGGCACACAGACTTATCTGTGCATTCCCTAGCATATGCTGCCTAAAGTTTCTCCCTGGTCCCAGTCCAAGGCACGGGCTGATATCCTTTTCATTCTTGTCATGTGTGAGTCCCAGGTGATGCTAACAAGGCAATATCTGAACATAGTCAAATATATAAATACCCATTTAACTTTCACAGAACACACCTGAGAACATTCAACCTTTTTATATTTGTTGATGATGGTCCTAACAGGCACATCTTCAGGAAGGGTGGTTTGTGAACCTCTATGTGCAACACAAATCACCTGGGGATCTTGTTAAAATGTGGATTCAATTCAATATGTCCCGGATGGGTCCAAGATTTTGCATTTCTAGCAAGCTCCCAGGTGATGCTATGCTGCTTGTCTATGGCAGGAGCAATGGGTAGTTTAACTAGCAAGGCTCTATGCCAATGGCCCTACATAAAACCTTCCCCAACAGGTCTGTAGCCCAGTGAAAGGGTACTTTTGGAATAAAGCTTATGGAATCTGAGGGTGAGAAGTATACTCACTGTCTGAGGGCTGCATCTATGTGTAGAGGAAAGAATGCCAAGGCAGACACTGGGGAGCAGGTATTGTATTGTCCTTGCTTTGCTACTGACTAGCTACCTAATCTTGGATCCATCATTCTGCCTCTCTAACGCCTCAGTCTATGAACCCATGCAGTAAGTGTAATAGATGTAATATCATCTTTAACTACCTTTCATTTGGGGTTTTTGAAAATTAACTTAGGTGATGTATTTTCAAAAACATTGTGAAAAGTGCAAAGCACTATTAAAAACAAGTTATTATTTCCCTCTAGGCTGTCGAGAGAACAAGAAACTGGGATTGGTCCCAGCAGAAGAGAGCTGTGACCCAAACAGCTCCATTCCTGGTGTCATTACATGCCTCTTTGAGAAATGCACCCTTCAGAGTGCTCCAAGACAAAAACATGCTCAACCATAAAGATTTTATTAATAATTTCTAGCAATTTAATGTATCTAGCGTTCACTCAGCTCTTTGTATGCACAAGACATCATGCTTGGGTTGTGGATGTGTCAAGATAACTAAGGCAGAGCTCTGGCCCTGGAAGATTTTAAGCCTGTGGTAAGAGACAGAGTCCAGTGCAAGGTAGAGAGTGGACCCATGTGTAATGGGGGTGGCATCTCCACTGTCTAGTGCCACTGAAGTATCCTGCTGGCTTGCTTCTTCCACTTCCCACCACTGCTGCTTTTGTGCCCCAGCCCCCATTTCTGGGAGTCTTAGGTGCATCCTGGGTAATGAGAGGCAGTGTTGTACAGTGGTGGAAACCAGGGACCTGAAGCCAGACTGCCCACGTTTGAAGCTCAGCTCAGATTCTTTATTTATTTACAGGTTATTTAACCTCTTTGTGCCATGGTTTCCTCATCAGCACACTGGAGATGATATAGGAGTAAAACTGGCTCTTCACATTCATGGTATTCTGTATCCATGGATTCAACCGAGCATGGATCAAAAATATTTGGAAAAAAAAAAGCAATACAAAATAACAATATGACAGTAAAAATACAAATTTAAAAATACAGTAAACAACTATTTATGTAGCATTTACATTGTATTAGGTATTATAAGTAATCTAGAGATGATTTTAAGTATACGGGAAGGTGGGTGTAGGTTACATGCAAATACTGCACCATTTGATATAAGAAACTTGAACATCTGTGGATTTTGGTATGGGGTGGGGGGTCCCGGAACCAACCCTCCAAGGATACCAAGGGATGACTGTACTTACTGCTGAGGGTTGCTTTGAGGATTTAATAAGTACATTAACATAAACACACAGTTGCACACACAACACAGTAAGCTCTATGGTTAACTAGTATCTTAATGTTGAATATAAAGAAAATCCACACAAGACAATGAGGGTGGGGCTCAGCTGGTGATGAACACAGGCAGAGCACAGGCTGCTGAGGGTGGAAGGCTCCAATAACACCATGAGATAAACACCGAATGGGGCTTCTGATGTGGACAGCCTGGCACATTATGTGGTAATTCGTGACTCCAGGTGCTGGCTTGGCTTTCACCCTCTGGTGAGGCTCACCTGCCACCCCCTGGCACCAGCCATCTGGGGCCTGACTCCGGAGCTGCCCCTCCTCTCACCCTGAGCCCCCAGACTAGAAGGTGTATCTCTCCTCCTGATGTCTTTTAAGGTTGCTGTAAGAGGATGGGTCCTGAATGGCCTTGGCGTTTGCGGCTCCCCCCAGCCTCCTGCTTACAGTTATCAGAATAACTGTAGAATACACTTAGAATGCAACGTCCCGAGGCAAGGAAGAACTGTCTAAAACAGCTCAGGCTATATCCTCATTCCTCCTAGAACAGGATGTCTTGTACTGCTTGAGCTCAGTGATTCCAGTTATTCCTAGAGTATAAAATTCAGGGTGGAGCATTTTTGGAGTCCCTTAATTGCTATATAATGTGGGTGAGCACGGAAGAGACCTCATCCACCCTGGGCAGTTTTCCTGAGCTCTTGGGAACTGGTTCAGTGGATCCTAGGCTTTTGTTTATCATTGGTGCCTATCTGTGAGTAGTAAATTTGCTTTGCCTGACATGTTGTTGCTTTTCCTGACAGGTTGTATGAATGTTATTTCTTTCCAGACTCATGCAAGTGGCAGAGAACATTTGCACTCACATCTCATGGCCCTCCCTCTTGATGACCTTCTTCTTGTCTCCCCGAGGATAGAATGAGTTGGAAATAGGGTGGTCTTCTTTTCTCTCTATTCTCAGTCCAATTCTATGGTGGTGCATAATACCACAATATACTTATCTCAGACCTTCTTATCTTGGATCATCTGCTGTTTTAGCAGTAAAATTTATAGACATTCATTCTCTCTATATAACAACCCTATATCTCAGGCAAAGTGGAGGCCAGGGGAAAAGACACATGCACAGACATAGGGGCAAAACCACAAAATTCATATCAAGATATGAAGCCTGTACCTGTATGGCAGGAAAAGTACAAACACAGAAAAATTAGAGCAGAAGAGGGTGGCAGCAACCAACCAGCATGTATTTGTTAATTGTCATTTCCATGCAAGATGCTGTAGGGACAAGCAGGAGAAATTAGGTCTGCAAAGCCCAGGTCTCTCAGTGGTGTGTGACTAGGGACAGATCAACGTTCAGAGAATGTGAGAGTGAGGAATATGTTCACTAAGGGAAGGTCCAAGGTGTTGAAGAAAGAATGCCAGCTTCCTAATTGTCACCTCTTCCATAAGCCTTGTTAGCTCCACCCTGGAAGACTTCATTTATCCATCCATTCATTTACTCAACAAGGGTTTTTGGTAGACCTTGCTCTTTTCTATTATTTCAGGCCACCTAAAGCTATTACAATGGCTTATACATTTCTCATTATTATGTGATAAACAGCCTACCTCCTTTTTTGTAACAGTGTCAATCAACGTGAATGTGGCTTTCCATGAGAATTCCAAGCTTGACAAAATGAAGAGTGGCTCTACCACGTACTGGCTATATGATCTCGAGCAAGTTGCTTAATCTTCCTGAGTCCAGTTTTTTCACTCACCAAATAAGAATGATAATAGTTGTATTAGGCAATTCATATTTCCATAATAAAATACCATAGACTGAGTGGCTTAAACAACAGAAATCTATTTTCCCACAGTTCCGGAGGCTAGATGTCTCAGATCATGGTCCAGCAGGGTCAGGTTCTGGTATGGTGTCTTCCTGGTTAGCAGATAACCACCTTCTTTCTGTGTCCTTACATGGTAGAGAGAGAAGGAAAGAACTCTAATATCAGGTTAGGGCCACACCCTGTGATGTCATTTAATCTTTGTTACCTTTTTAATGCCCCAGTCTCCTAATATAGTCACATTGTGGAGTTAAGGCTTCAACATAAAAGCTGTGGGAGGGCATAATTTAGTCCACGACAGCATGCATGTGGCCGTTTTCTGCAAGTGTCTTTCCCAGTGATGGAGGCAGATCTGGAGGGAATCGACGAGTGCCAGCCCCAGCCCTCCTCAATGAGGGACAGGACCTAAGCTGATTAATGCTCCCGGTGATGGCACATTTCTTCTAGGGAGCCTCAACAGCTGCTACCCTAGTCCATGGACATGTTCAATGACTTTAAATGCAACAGGCAGGGGCCTGGGCCCTACTCCCCAGTCTACCAGAAGACTTCTGGGCCCTGGGTTAAATTAGCAGATCCAAATGTAAACACCAGGAAAGGACACAGACAGACTTCTACCTCTCATAGCAAAGTTCTGCTCCTTGCTAAGACAAAAACATCCAGTTATACTCTTCTTCCAGAATGAATGGGCTCTTGCCTTAACCTAAATAATTTTAGAGAGGCCACTGAAATGCTTCTTCACGAAACAACTATCTGCTCCAAAATGGGTTTTTTGCTGCCGAAATGTATTAAATAATGGAAGGGCTGAGACTTGAGAAAGTCAGTTTCCTTACTACTAATTAAAAGCATAAATTCATATGTGATGAAGTTCTGCTTTGCTGGCCATGCCATTAAAGTTCTTTTTTTCTTTTTCTTTTCAGCTTCCCAAGTAGCTGGGATTACAGGTGACCACCACATGCCTGGCTAATTTTTCTATTTTTAGTAGAGATGGGTTTTACCATGTTGGCCAGGCTGGTTTCAAACTCTTGACCTCAGGTGATCTGCCTGCCTTGGCCTTCCAAAGTGCTGGGATTACAGACGTGAGCCACCGTGCCCCGTCTATTTTATTCTCCAGTTTTATTGAGGCTATTTTTTCTCCAGCTATTATTGACAAATATAAATTGTATATATATATAAGGTGTAAAACCTAATTTTTTGAGACAGGGTCTTCGTATCACCTAGCTGAGTGCAGTGTAATGATCATAGCTCTTCACTGTGACCTCGACTTCCTGGCCTCAAGCGATCCTCCTGCCTCAGTCTCCCAAAGTGCTTAGATTACAGGCATGAGCCACCATGCCTGGCCTTGATGTTTTGATATATGTACACATTGTTAAATGATTACCACAACCAAGTTAGTTAACATGTACATCACCTCCCATAGTTGCCATTTCAAGATGAAATAAATTCAGCTTTTTTTTTTCATTTGTATTTATTGTACTTCTGATTGTTATCTGCAAGGCTTTTTGCTAGAAGGAAATATGGAGAATGTGAAGTGTGAAAAGCAAGTTCCCACTATTGGAAAGCTTCCAGTATAGCTTGAAAAACAAAATATACATATCTGAAAAGATTAATACAGTATGGGAGTTAATAATTCTTTAGGAAAACAAAGTGGGTATCCATCTGCGTTTCGTAGGGCCATGGTGAAATCCTAAATTCATGAGTAAAAGTGAGGTGTTAAGGGCCTCCAAAATACTGGTTCAATAGGTGAATAAATGCATGCATGATAGCCAATGGGGATGGGACAAGAAACTGTAGTAGCCAATGGGGGTGAGGCACAGGACACATGACAACCAATGGGATGGGACACGGGGGTCATTGCAGGCCACTGAGCCAAAGCCTTGGAGAACACAGGCACTCAGCATGGTTGAGCTGAAGCTGCAGTTGTCAGTCACTCAAGGATCTCAGCGAGGCTCAGCCCGGGGAGTATTTGGATCACCCATCAATTCACAGTGCTCATGGGCAAGAATGAATTGATTCAATTTTTTTTGGTCTTCCCACTTTTTGCTTTTCAATGGATAGAGCAGATGGAAATCTTGTTTCTCAATTATTCAGTGTCCCCATTTGATCTGAGTACATCTGGAAAGAGATTATTTGAATACATTTGCTTTTTAAAAATGAGAGTGAAAACAGACATGGAGTAGAAGGAGGGGGATTTTATCTTTTTCTCCCTGCCTGTCCCATCAGTATAGTTTCCCAAGAAAAACAAAGAAATAAACTCTTACAACATTAAGTCACAGCAGGGACTACTTCTGTTCCATTCCTCTCATCTCAAAATAAACTTAATTTATAAGGACTGGGAGGGCTACAGTGATATTCTGCAATGCAAATAAAACACAGCATGAGCACATACACAGGAAGAAAGTTTCTGGGCTCTGTAGAGAGGCATAAAAAGTTGGGGCAGGCATTAGAAATGATTACTTTGGAAATGAATTGCAATTTTCCATTTTTAAGGGAACATATGTTGCTACAGTTTTCTCTTCCTGGATTGACTAGAGGGTGGCCTTTAGCCAGTTTTTTACCCTGATCGATTTGGCTGACTGGATTGGGTTTGAAATACCCATGACGATGCTGTTCTTTCAGCATCTTCACTCCCACTTATTTCTCGTCTTGGAGCCCAAGGAGTTCAGAGCAATGTCATCACTGATTGTATTTCAACTATTTATTTTATCTGGCAATTAAAAAGTGTGCTAACCAAGCCACGGCTGACATACCAACTGAAGCATGTCCAACCATCACTTTTCTGACGCTCCAGTTACAAGGCAACAGCAAAGACTGAAGGACAAATCTTTTTCTGACCTTTTTATGAAGTTAGATGATGATATTGGACAAGGCAGGGATCTAAGACTAGCTCTCAGCAAAACAGTGAGGGCAGAAAATTTGTCTTGGGCACTGGCTACCTTTTTGCTCTGCTGCTGGCCTTTCAAGAACTCTCTGCAGGTTTCATCTCCCACCATCCTTGTTCTTCCAGTTAGGCGGAGGGCAATCTGATGACTGCTCATGCCAAGGTATCAGAGACACAGTGAGCTACCCATTTTGAAACTATTCAAATGTATTAAATAATGTCTGCAAAGGGCGAGGCTTAACTGCAAAACAAGTTAACAGTGGAATTTCAGGCACAGTAAATCTTAGATTGGGGAAAATATTAGAGAACATAAAAGCTTTCTTGATATTTAAAAAGACACATATCTGTCCATGCATCCATCCATCCGTCCGTCCGTCCGTCCGTCCATCCATCCTCCATCCATCCGTCCATCCATCCATCTATCCAGACTTCATCTCAGTTTGTTATTTATGATACTAGCTGGCTATGCTCAGACATTTATGAGCTTGAGGTCTCTTTTAAGGTGAGGGCAGAGTACTCCTATCATATGCTCTACATTACACCTGTGGAATCTGACCCCTCCTCCCTGCACATAGGGAAGGGTCTGGTTATGGGCACAGTTTGAAGGAACAACATTTGTTGCATTTGCTCTCTGTTTCCAACTCTTCTCTTCCCCAAGGGCTATTTGGGGACCCTAGGATGCCCTTTATTTCTTATATTTGAGACAAAATTAAGGTTACTAAGTGAGACTAATCACTAGAACGTGAAAAGTTTTAAATGGTAGCTGAATCCCAAAAGTAAATGGAGAGAAACTTACCATTATTGAACAAAATCAGTGAAAGGGACACTCAATGATTTAATTTAATGCTTTAAAATTATTTAGATTTATTTTAATGGCACATAAAAAGTGTTATTGACACTCAGTATTTAAAGCAGAGTCATTGCCCCAGTGACCGTGGAGTAGTTTCTTAGACACTATGATCAAAGGAGCCAGTTTGTCAGGAGGCAAGAGCAATCTGGCTCTAGGGGTCTCCCTTTTGGCAAGGATCATACACTATTGACCATGGGGTCTGTTTAACAAGGAGATTGGACTGGTCACCACCTTCTTTTATGTCTCTTTGATCCTCCCTTGGGTCACTCCTTCCCCCCAACACATCATGTATTTTATGTCTAGTACTGTTTTGAGTGCGTTCCATAGATCAACTCATTTAGTCATCATAACAACCCTAGATGTAGACACTCTCATTATCCTGACCCTAGAGGAAACTGAGGCACAGAGAGATTAAATGACTTGCTCATGGCCACAGATTTTGTGAGCAGCAGTGAAGGAATTTGAGCCAAGGCAGTGCCTGGCTTCGGAGTCCGGGCTGTTGACCACTCCACACCTCTGTCTCTTGTCACACTCTCTCAGAACTGATTTATGTGTTTCGTGTAGCAGTTACCCCACTCTCTCCTCTATTGTGGTTGTATCATCATGTCCTCTTTTCCACCACAACACTATGGTCTTCCTGGGATTAGGAATTGCATCTTATATTATTCTCTGTGATGTGTTGCTGGCACATAGTGGATAAAACACACGTGTTTGCTAACTTTATCACAAAGTAACGTTAGAGTAATTCTCTGGAAATATACCAAGTGAAAAAGCATGCTTGTGTATGCCCTGGGATTTTCTGCCTCTGTTGTCCTCAGCCCAAGGGACTGGGAGAGGAGCCAGCTTGGGCCTTTCTCCTAGGTTCCAGTGGGGAACTTGCTGAGACCCGGAGAGGGGTTCTTGGTGGGCTGGGATCAAGGTGGGCTTCTTGGGTTGATTATCTCTGTCCTAAATAATCTTACTGTTGCCACAATGCCATGGGTACAGATGGAGTGAGAGAATCTCCGAGTTGAAAGAGGCCCCTGGAAGGTAACTCCGGGTAGATGACTGTCTGGCCTGCGGGGCAGGTGTCTGTTTCCTTCTGGAAGATCTTCAGGGTGAATGATGGTGCAGTTTTCCTCAGTTACTCATCTCTGATTTCACCTTAATTTGGACTCCTCCTTGTGAAATAATGTGAGCTTTCATATAAAATTCAATATAATGTAGAAGAGTTGGGTTAAAAATAGCAGTAGAACTCACGCTTTAAAAGGAACAACAGGAATAGATGTTCCCAGGCACCTAGGATGTGCTAATTTAACAGTTTTTCATTGATCTTGGCTTCAAGCTTTCTACATCAAAACCAAAAAGTGAACTAAAATTACATAATTTTCCTTGTCAGATAAAAGAAATCCTTCAAAAATTTTGATAAATAATAAATGTTCCTTTGGATTAAACTCAAGGTGGAATTTACCCACAAGTTGCTTTAAAAGGAGCATTTAGTCATTAGTGAGCAATGTCTTTAAATATGAATGACAGCACGTTGCATCAGGCCTATCCCTGAGGCATACCTTACCAAAGATGTTTCCATAGGTATTTGGAGGTTTATGTTATGGTAGCAAGTTGGAGAGCAAGCATGCAAGGGTGTTAGCATGTGCACACACACGTGATCACCCTGACTCATCATAAGAACCCTGTGGAGGTCAGCAGCACAGGTATTAATGTCTTTATGTTTCATGGCAAATAAGTGGTAGGTCTGGGACTTGGAGCCAGGGCTTCTAACCTGAACCCCTTGCACTGTCTATGTAAGGTCCAAATCCTTGGCTTTCTGATGACTTAATAATAAGACAACCTAAAGATCCTAGGAAATCATGTGGTTGGTTGTCTATTACAGTGGCTCCCTCAATATTCAGTCTATTGACAATCAACTTATCTAGCAAATGTCTACAGCACTGATCTTTAGTATTATGAAAATTCTTCATTGTTGATTAAAGTGATTAGGGAGGACAGGTGTGGTGGTTCACACCTGTAATCTCAGTGCTTTGGGAGGCCAGGGTGGGAGGAGCACTTGGGGCCAGGAGTTCAAAGACCAGCCATGGCAACATAGTGAGACCTTGTCTCTACCAAAAAAAAAAAAAAAAAAAAAAAAAAAGCCAGTCATGGTGACACAGACCTGTAGTCCCAGCTACTTGGGAGGCTGAGGCAGGAGGATACGTTGAGCCCAGGAGTTTGAAGCTGTGATGAACTATGATTGCACCACTGCTCTTCAAGCTGGGTAACAGAGCAAGACTCTGTCTCAAAAAATAAAATAAAATAATTTAAAAAATTTAAAAAGTGATTGGGGAGACAAGCTCACCATTCTGTTGAAAAAGTAACAAGCTTTAGGTCTTCACCCTGACAAAAGTTACCCTACATGGCAAATGGGTCTTACATCCACTAGTTTTAAAAAGGCACAGGGAGGCTGTCTTCCTCTGGGCTGAGATAGGTCTGAGGTTGCACGTGAACTTGGCAGAGATGGTTGGTGACGGATGGTTGGGGAAAAGCAGTGCTGGCACGTGGGCCATGTATTAGTCAAACCAGAGACAGAAACATTTCTGTTAAAAGAAAAAATACTGCAGATGTAAAAATCATTGGCAAATGTATATGGTTTAGGCTCAAAGGTCTGTATTATTTATTATGAAAACATTGAGGGCACACATTACCGGCCAAACGCTTCACTCACCAAAGAAGGATCTTAGAATAATCTCCGTGAAACTTCTGACTTTAAATTTAGCTGCGTCGTTGGAATAGGCCCACTAGGATGAGTTTTCCATGAAGTGCACTCTTAAGTGCACTTATGAATGAAATTACTTTATGGGCAAGCTTGTTTATGGGAAATTGGATATAATGTGCCAAATGCAACTATCTGAGCCCTTGTGCAATGAGAAGCTGAGCTGCTTTTTTGGACAATAACCAGCCAAAATGTTCGAGTACTTCTGATACTATTAGCGACATTATTTGAGCTTTCCACATGCTCCGGACAGTGTCCTAAGCGCCTTGTGAGTCTTAGGTTAATCTTCATAATCCCTATCTGGTGGGTGTTACTGTCATTCCCATTTTACGGATGAAGAAGATGAGTCAAAATGAAGTTAATTATCTTGGCCAAGGTTACACAGTTGGTAAACGGGAGAGTCAAAATTCAATCCTGGGTAATCTAACATTATAGACTCTATGGTGCAAAGTGTAGCAAGAGGGGGCTTTGGAAGATTAATTGTATGACAGTTGTTTGATGCCCACACAACACCTTCCTCACCAAGGATGTCTGACTTGGGGTGGGAATCACACAACAGGTGAGTTCAGGGTGGGGTTTTTATAAACCTGACTCTCTACTTCTAGGGTTGAGAGCTACAGAGTCTGATACTGCTTCACTTGTCTCTTTCCATGACAGAGACATTACAGAGATACTGATATTTGTGTCACGTCTAAAGTTCTGAGGTGAGATGGAACTTGTAAGTTTAGGAGAGATTCCTTATCCAGTTCCTCAAAATAAACTGCAGTGATGCTACCCAAAGAAGTGGAAAGATGCTGCTAGTTGGGAAACAGCACCTGTCTGCTACAGCATGCATCCAACTTGCCCAGCAGCTTAGCGTACCAGGAAAGCAGCTCATTAAATCGTCTCAGACATGGCCACGTTTAGCACCATTTACATGTGAGATTATTTCTGCCCTGGGACTATCACTCACTCCCTACTCAGATTTCAGCACCAAAATGTCAAACTGGCCTTTTCCCCTCCTATTTCAATTACCACTGTCCTAGATGGATCCCTCATTACTCCTTTCTCAGGTTATTGCAGTTGCTTTCTATCTGCTGTCCCTGTCTCCAGTCCCCTTACTCTTTGATTTTGTCCTAAGTACTCATTTAATAATTAGCCTCTATAGCACAGATTCTATCCTGTTACCCTCAGCTGAAATTTAAGAATTTCTTTACTTCTTTTGAATGGTTTTAATGATTCTCTAAAACCTTTCCTTTGTCTATTTATCTAATTTTCTTTCTGGTGACTTCTCTTGACACATTAGGCCTCTCAGCTAAATGTTGAATGTTCTCTACCCCCTTGCTATTGCTTATACTATTTTCTCTAACTGGAATATTTTCAATTTCATCTCATAACAATTCTACTCATCTTCTGAGGCTTACACCAGATAATGAGTCTCTGAGATGCCTTCAGTAATCAACTATATTTGCCCATATGGTGTTGCTGTGTTCTCAACTCCCTTTTATGTATTGTTTCTGTATTGTTTAGGATATTTTGGATTGCAGAAACAGAAACTAACTTTAGTTAATCTAAGGAAAAAGATAATTTGTGTACAGATATAGAGAGTGTCATAAGCCACAAGGGCAGGGATGCAGTTAGTCAATTGGAAGATAACCAGGAAGCAGAACATTTACAGAATCCCTCTCTGTCCATGTCTTTGTATTTACCCCATTCTCTCTCTTTCTCTGCAGAATGATTTTCTCTGCTTCTCTATTCAACATGCCAACGTTTCCAAATACAGCTTTTGATAGGATTTTCAGTCCAATCCTTGATTCTCAGGAGAGTAATACAACTGGCCTGTCTTGAGGAATATGTCAGGCATAGGTCCAGTGGGCTGTGGCTAGTGAGGGGCGTTATCATGCAAACGTAGCTGTTGAGGACCATCTGAAAAGTGGGGGGGGGGTGAGTTTCTGAAGAGATGGGGCATCAGACAATTGGGGCGGATCAATAATTTAAAAAAGTTTCTGCTACAGTCTCTACTAGGTTTTCTTAACCTCAAGAATACAAACGATATTCTCTTTCTTATTTGTTTAATCATCTCCAAACTCTCATCTTCCCAAGGTCTAAATATGGCTGGTCATATAGTGACACTCTGCAAAATAAGGCAATTTTGTTAAGGATGATACATGTAGGAGAGTAACAAGTTGTTAAATGTTATTCTTACCCTCATCTCAGATTTTCAGTGAAGATTCCAAAGGCTGAGAACAAACCATCTACTGCCAAATATCCACACTCATAAGACAGTGTGCTAGACAAGACCACCTGAGCAGAATGTGCAAGGAGGCTGTGAAGTTGCTTCTGTGCTCACTGGCCTACCACCCACTTTCAGCAATTGTAGGGGGAGAGACAGAAGAAGAGTGGAAAGAGGATTTCTTCAGAGAGACCTGAGAGGGTTCTGTGCATTTCTTCCACCCTCATTAATACTTTTCACTGATTTTAAGCCAATGAAGAAGGGATTCAAGGAAATTACTCAGAAAGCCCGTCCACATTCCTTCTAATTTGGGATACTTAGAGATTGACATCTTATTCTCACCCAAAATGAATACAGGCAGGTGGCTGGGGCTGTGTCCGGTCAGCAGTCCAGATTCAGCAAAAATCTAGATAGAGATAGCTGAAGTGAGAGTGAGCTGAAATTCTGCCAATGGTGGGATAAAGGAATATATCATCTGGGAAGGTAAGTCTTAGTGGGGAGATGGCTTAGATGAATCCTTTTGGTCACCCAGGAAGGTCACCTGGAAGGTTGATACGACCCTAACTGAGAGATGAGTCCCTGGAAGCAGAAGTGAAAGTTCAAAGCAGAAAAACATTGCATGAGGCAACAAAACTGGAGTCAAAAGAAGAAAATCTCTGGAAAACAGCAAAGCACATCAGGAGAGGAAGAGTCCACTTCAGACACCTGCAGTGGCCGAACGGCACAATCTCCAGATCTCAACTATGCCAGCAGCTGGTGAGTAGAAGAGGAGGTGGAGCAGAGAAGAGAAGAAAGGTAGAGTTAACCACTGCCTCTTCTCCATGGCAGGCTTCCAAGCCTGAGGAAGGTGCCAGATGAGGGAGAGGAAAGGGCTACGTTAAATAGGAGTTTCCACATTGTATGGCCCTATATGGAATTTATGTGATTATACGATTAGACCTGGCTCATGTTCTGCTCCTATTACCCTTCATTGGACATTTTTATATCTGAAAGTGACCAAAGCAATGGGAATGTGCAGCAAAATTTCATCAAAGAGGTGGTAAAGTATAACTGTGTTGATCAAACTTATGGGGAAAAGTGATGAAAAATAAAACTAGTTTTTGCTTGTTCCTGATTAAGTCTGGTTTAGTCAATAAAACATTATTGAAGTTCAAAAGGAAGAGGGAATCACTGTGGGTGAGGATAATCAGAGAAAGTACCATGGAATAGGAAGGGCTTGAGCTGAGTTTTAAAAGCCTGGGTTGGATGCAGATAGATGTCCGACCTTGTTCTTACCTATGAAGTATTTATGACAAAAACTCATTTTCTGTGCTCATTGGTTCTTGGAAGCTCTGAAGATTCTGACACTAGTCAAATTGAGATGGAGCAAATGGACTGTGCAAATCTTATGCTATTTACTGACCACTGGACAGGAGCTAAGCTTGACAGAGGCTTAGCAGTGAGTCAGGAATGTTACTTGAAAGGCTTAGGCTGCATCTTGAAAAGTCTTGTTAAAAGGCAATGTTTGGGGAAACTTCAGTGAGAGGCCAACACCCAAGGCAGCATATCTCTATTAAATGACTTGGCATTGATTCAAAATATTCACATTATTTGAGCTCAGATAACTCAAATTTGGCTAGTCTAATACATATGCCACTGAAAGACTGAGATTGTATTTCTTCCAAAGAATTTTCACATCTGATCTCATAACATCTGTGTGAGAAAAGGAAGGATGAGGATTACTTTTCTTTTTTCATAAGAAGATTGCATGACTTGTTCATATTGACATCGTAACAAGCCATAGTCCATTAATATGAATTACATTATACTGGGAAGTTCTGTTTCTGGCAAGAGGTATCCGAACTTAACCTCTACTCAGAAGAAATTCTTCAACAGCTAGAACAGGCAAATTCTTATCTATTTCTATCACGACATGTAATAGACTACAAAAATGGCTGCAAATTATCCCCCTCCCTCCATCTGCATCCCTTGGTAGTGTTACCCCACACTGACTCTGGCCTTGAGACTAGCTTTGGCCAATGGAAATTAAGCAAATGAAATACAAGTAGAAGTTCAAAAAACACTTGTGTATTGGAACTTTTTCTCTTGATGTGCCTGGAACACAGGTAAATGAGCCCATGGCAAACTGCTATGTGATGAATCATGTCCTCTATACATTCATACATTTAAATCTTAACCTCCAGTATGTTAGAATGTGACTGCATTTGGAGATAGGGTCTTTAAAGAGGTAATTAATGTTAAGTGAAGTCACGAAGATGGTTCCTAATCCAATAAGAATGATGTCTTTATAAGAAGAGTAGATGGGACACAAACACACACTGAAGAAAGATCATCTGAGGACACAGGGAGAAGATGGCACCTGCAAGTGAAGGAGAGAGGCCCTCAGAAGAAACAATCTTTATGACACCCGGATCTTGGACTTCTAGTCTTCAGAACTGCAAGGAAAGAAATTTCTATTGTTTAAGCCACTCAGTGCCTGGTACTTTTTTGTGAGAGCCGTAGCAGGCCTAGCACCAGCTTACTGGAGGATGAGATATCAGTAGAAGAGAACTGAGGCACCCTAGTGAAAAGCCAGCCAACTGCCGGACTCATGGTGAGCCAGGCTAGCCCACCCAGCTGCAAGCTGACCTTAGGCATCTGAGGAAGCCTAGATGAGATGAACTGACGTCAGTGAGAGAAGACAGAGATCCCTGGATGCTTCTTTCATTTCATAGAGAGGCTTGCTGGGCACATGTTTGTGTTACAGGAAAGGGACATTGCCCCCCCTTTGTGTCCTCTTTTTATAAGTAACTGGGATAGTCACTTTGTCAGGGAAGGGAAAAATAGTCTACTTGGATGCTAGCTAGTCCAGAAATAGGTGCCAGATTTTCTTTTAGGAACTCTTCTAGAAAGTTGGCTGCCAAGCACCTGGTGACCTCCGGCCCATGGGAGCATGATGCCCCTTCTGCCAGGGGCACTATTGTTGTGGGAAGCTGAACTTGAGTGCATGTCCCCCACTGTGAGAAGGGAGGAGCCCTCAGTGTATACTGGCTCCTTGTCTGGGAAACCCCATGTGAACTCCAAGGACGTTTTCGGACAGTCCTTGTCATACCACACTTTGATGGTCTGTGAAAACCCAAACAAAGTCAAAGAGAAAGAAGAAGCAGGTTGCATCTTAGATTCTCACTGGACTTTCCATTGTAGAAAGGCAAATTCTTGGTTTTCTCGCTAACAGATGGAAGAACCAAAGATAATGCTATGGAACTGTGTCATTCCTCATATATAAAGGTGATTTATTTTTCCAGTTAGTGGGATAGATCTGCCCTGAGCCATTTACTGATTCTTGCTAAATTTCCCTATTGTTCAGATGAGCACATTTTCTTAAATGGCTGGTTGGATTCAGGAGTGCTGTCTGTGACTGGAGAATAGATGGAAATGAGCTGAGTTAAATGGAGATCTTAGTCACCTTTATCGTATTGTTGTTAGCTTTCAGTAAGTTAAGCTAACCCACAAGGCTTTCTCCCAATGTCCTATCCTTATAGTGCCTGTTCCGTGTGGACTGTGAAATCTGAAGGAAAAAAAAATTCATGTTTTAATTTGTCCTTTCACCTTTAGACTCAGATTTAGACATTGGTGCTCATAAAACTACTCATAAAAAATTCATGTTTTAATTTTTCCTTTCACTGTTAGACTCAGATTTAGACATTGGTGCTCATAAAAACTACTCTTCTGGACTATTTCTGCTCAAAATCAGCTCACAGAAAAAAAAGTACAGTATTATTTCAAAGGAGCTCACTGTTCTCCCTCCCTCCTTCCCTCCCTTCCTCCCTCCCTCTCCTTCCTTCCTTCCTTCCCTTCTTCCTTCCTTCCTTCCTTCCCTTCTTTCCTTCCTTCCCTTGAGTCTTCCCTTCCTTCTTCCCTTCCTCCCTTCCTTCCTCTCTTCCTTCCTTCTTCCTTCCTTCTTCCCTTCCTTCCCTTCCTTCTTTCCTTCCTTCCTTTATATTTTAAAGCACCATAGGATCAATAGGTAATTCTGACACTTCAAGAATAGTTCTTCATATCAGTTTTATTCTGATATCTGCTGGGACCAACATTTCAATTTCAGTGGGAGTCTTTTGAAACCTGCTTACAGATAATCTGTCTGAAGTCTTTGATTTGGAAAAGTGAAAAGGGGAAAGAGAAGTGACTAGGTTTTTTAGAAGTTTTTGAGATCAAAGGATTTGGTTAATCCTTTATGATGTTTGCTATAACTTTATAAGTTTGGGTTTGCAAGATTAGTCTCCACAAGTCATTTCCCGCTGCTATTCTACCACTACGTGGATGATGTTTCCTGGGTTATAGGTTCATGGAGCCCACAAGATCTCTTAGGTTTGGTTAAATTCATCGGTTCTCACCCTGGGCTGCATATTAGAATCACCTGGGGAGGCTTAACATTTACAGCCACTCAGAACACATCATTAAAGTAATAAAATCATATTCTCTAGGGGTGGGACTAGGAATCCGTACTTTTAAAACTCTCCAGGTTATAATGTGCAGCCAGGATTGTGAACCATTTAGACAACGAAATCAAAGAAAATATAATAACCATCCCCACGGAATTAATCTTTTTTAAAAAACCCCCAAAGCATTGAAGTGAACTACTAAAAGCCAGCATACACATTACCTTTAAATAGGATGTATAAATTAGGTTAGATTGTAAAATTCAAAGAAACAGAAAGACCTTTGTATAATTAGGTGCCAATTTAATGGAATGGTCTATGTTTTTCAATTATTGTTTGACCTTCTCTAAAATTTTGTGATTTTTCACTCTGATTTCCTCAGTTTTGAACAGGTATTATACACTTAGAATCTTTCTGCTTATAGTCAAACATCTTCCTTCTCTGTAAATGCGCACGTATGTTCAAGATCTGCCAGTGAGCTTAAGTGTCTGCAGGACTTTTTTCTCTGTCACATGGTCAGTTTACTCTCTTATCAGATAATGTTAACTAAAGTGTTGTTACCGGAGGTTGTGAACCAGCAACATTAGCGCACCTGGGAGCTTGATAAAAATTCAGAAATCCAGATCCTACTACAGATCTTATTGAATCAGAATCTGCATTTAACAAGATTTCACAAAATTCATCTGCACCTTAAGTTTGAGGAACATTGCCCTAGAAGAAAACCTAGGCATTACCATTCAGGTCATAGGCATGGGCAAGGACTTCATGTCTAAAACACCAAAAGCAATGGCAACAAAAGCCAAAATTGACAAATGGGATTTAATTAAACTAAAGAGCTTCTGCACAGCAAAAGAAACTACCATCAGAGTGAACAGGCAACCTACAGAATGGGAGAAAATTTTCACAACCTACTCATCTGACAAAGGGCTAATATCGAGAATCTACAATGAACTCAAACAAATTTACAAGAAAAAAACAAACAACCCCATCAAAAAGTGGGCAAAGGATATGAACAGACACTTCTCAAAAGAAGACATTTATGCAGCCAAAAGACACATGAAAGAATGCTCACCATCACTGGCCATCAGAGAAATGCAAATCAAAACCACAATGAGATACCATCTCACACCAGTTAGAATGGCAATCATTAAAAAGTCAGGAAACAACAGGTGCTGGAGAGGATGTGGAGAAATAGGAACACTTTTACACTGTTGGTGGGACTGTAAACTAGTTCAACCATTGTGGAAGTCAGTGTGGTGATTCCTCAAGGATCTAGAACTAGAAATACCATTTGACCCAGCCATCCCATTACTGGGTATATACCCAAAGGGCTATAAATCATGCTGCTATAAAGACACATGCACACGTATGTTTATTGCAGCACTATTCCCAATAACAAAGACTTGGAACCAAGCCAAATGTCCAACAATGATAGACTGGATAAAGAAAATGTGGCACATATACACCACGGAATACTATGCAGCCATAAAAAAGGATGAGTTCATGTCCTTTGTAGGGACATGGATGAAATTGGAAATCATCATTCTCAGTAAACTATCGCAAGGACAAAAAACCAAACACTGCGTGTTCTTACTCATGGGTGGGAATTGAACAATGAGAACACATGGACACAGGAAGGGGAACATCACACATCGGGTCCTGTTGTGGGGTGGGGGGAGGGGGGAGGGATAGCATTAGGAGATATACCTAATGCTAAATGACGAGTTAATGGCTGCAGCAAACCAGCATGGCACGTGTATACATATGTAACAAACCTGCACATTGTGCACATGTACCCTAAAACTTAAAGTATAATAATAATAAAATAAAATAAAATAAAATAAAATTAGAAAAAAAAAGAAACTCTTTTCCTATTTTTGCACATGCGTTTGCATCTGGCTTTTTCCTTCCTAATGCAGGCATATAAAGAAAAATAAAGTTTTCTATTAAGAACTCATATGTACATGTGTGATTCCTGCCTTTGTATTTTAACTGGAATGAATTCGCAGAGCTCCACAGTCACTTTTCTTAATGTTAATTTTTTGTTCATTGAAAGTAGAAGCCATGTCATTTTCAGGTGATCTACAACTTAAGTTTCTTTTTAGTGACAACAAAAATTAAACTGTGACTTGATTGACAAAGGTTGTTTCAATGAAGATTAGGGGATCTATTCTGGGCATGAATTTTTAAGGAAGAGTACCTTGGGTCCAGAGTCAAATCTTGGTTGATTAATATTGCTGTTCTTTGTTTCCCAGCATGAGGTACTGTTGCAGTCTGAAGTGCTTTGTAAACCTGAATTGCCTTGTTTAGTAAACAGGATGATGATCTCAGTCCCTTCTGTCTTGGTATATTTCTTATTTACCTTCCCCAGTTAACAGGTCTGTTAACATGTTTTGGGCTTTGGGTTGATCTGTCAATCCTCGACATCAGAAGGACCACGGTGTCTAGTAAAGGCTGGTTCCAAGTAGAAATAATTTACTTTTCATGCTGACAGTCCAAGAGAAAGATAATATGAGACTTTTGAGAGCAAGCATCTCAAATTGAGGTGAAGTCCCCACTGATCGTCTAACCCACCTGTCTCTTCTGATAACACCCCTGTTTATCACAGAGAATGGTTGTCATCGTTAAGAGAGTGGTACGATGACCACAAGGGGACAGTGCATTGTTACAATGAATGCCCCAAGGTTTGGTCCTTGGACATCTTTTCTTCTCTTTTTACACTCACTCTTCCCTGCAACTCATGGCTTTATATACTATTCATTCATGTGCTGATGACTTTAAATTTATGTCTCAATCTCAGACCTCTCGCAGAAGTCTAGGCTCATATATTCCACTGTCTTGACGTCTCTACTTGACTGTCCAAAATGCATCTCAATTGTCACAAGTCAGAAATCAAACTCTTAATCTTCTCCAGCAAACTCACTTCCTCCACATCTTCTCCACCTCAGTAAAGGGCAACTCTGCTCCTCCTGTCACACAGTCTAAAACCGAGAAGTCATCCTTGACATGTCTCTTCCTTCTTACTCTACATCCAATTCATCAGCAAGTGCTGATATATTCCTTCAGAATATCCCCAGAGTCCCCCTAATTCTCATCACCCTCTCCCCCATCACCACTGCTTGATCCGATCCATCCTCTTACCTGGATTAGTGCTGTCCCCTGCCTGCTTTCACCTTTGTCCTCCTCCCTTCTATTCCCAACAAAGCAGCTGGAGGATCCTTTTAAGTATAAATCAGATCAAGCCAGCTGTCTGCTCCTAACCATCTACAGCCCTCTGTCAGAGCCAAAGCCAAAGTCAAGGTTGGGTGCGGTGGCTCACGCCTGTAATCCCAGCACTTTGGAAGGCTGAGGCAGGTGGATCACCTTATGTCAGGAGTTTGAGACCAGCCTGGCCAACATGGTAAAACCCTGTCTCTACTAAAAATACAAAAATTAGCCAGGCATGGTGGTGGGTGCCTGTAATCCCAGCTACTCAGGAGGCTGAGACAGGAGAATCGCTTGAACCCAGGAGGTGGAGGTTGCAGTGAGCCGAGATTGCACCACTGCACTCCAGCCTGGCCCACAGAGTGAGACTCTCAAAAAAAAAAAAAAAAAAAAGCCAAAGTCAAGGGTGTACATACCTTTCCGAACTAATCTCCAACTGCTTCCTCATTTGCTCATTGTATGGCAGGTTGGGTTTTCCAGAAGCAGACACTGAGAGGGAATTTGTTGTGCTGGATATTTATTAAAGATCAACACTTGTTTGCAGAAGTGGGGTAAGGCAGGATGGGGAAGAGGAGATGTGAACTTTGAAGTCAGTCCAATAAATCTGGAGGCAGCTCTGCAAGGAGCGTGGGTGCATATATGGTCTTTCAGGGTTGTCGCCCATCAGTCCCAAAGTTACACCTTTTCAGCCTGTCATCAGCCATGGGATGAGCGATGTCCTGAGAAGAGTGTGACATGGCACGAGGCAGCTCTCTGCAGCTTAGGCACCTCTTGAAGGACCAGACCAGTAGATACTGTTGCTGACCACCCTGAGCAGTGCATGCCCATGTCCACTGCGTGGTTGGCTTCCTCAAGCAAATCCAGGCCACTCTGCCCCAGGGCCTTTGCACTTGCTGAAATGTGCTTCCATTAGGTACTCTTCATATGTCTTGCTCCTTCATCTCCTCAGGCCTCTGCTTAAATGCTATTTTTGAATAAAACCTCCCTCCCCCAACCATCCTATTAACAATGAAGACTGTCCCCTAACACTCATATTCCTAATACCCCTTTCCTTCTTTACTTTTTCCTTAGAATTTATTGCCATTTGATATACTGCATATTTAATCTCTGGCTTGTTATTTTCTGTTTCTCCAGGTAGAATGTAGGCCTCAAGAAGGGCTTGTCACATGCTACTACATTTAGTAAAAGGTGTTTCTGGTATTGGTTTCACGAATTTGGACCTCCTGAAATTTAGAATTGATAATATTTTGAGATGCTTATATTTTCTCCCTAAAAGTAACAAGTGTCTAAGATAAATAATGTAGAATTATACATTATAAAGAGATTAATGTTTAAACTGTTAAGAAAAGTAAATGTTCTAGAAACACTTACTTGTATCTCCACTTTGATGTGTTGATTAAAAATAATTCTCTTTTATTAACTAAAGCAAATTTTGCAACTCTTCTTGGTAAATAACCTGGTAAATAATGTGGGCCTCTTGGATGTTTTTTGTTGTTGTTGGGAAGAAAGATAAATGTATTTAAATTTTTTAATTTATATTTTTCCTTAGTCAAGACAAGTCATTCTATAATTAGTTCTTTGTTTTCTTGTTGTTTTACCAAACTTAATGTTGTATGGGGACAGGGAGACACCAGCCTGCAGTGTTGGGATGAGCTGAGGCATTTGATGGTGGGCTGTGGCATGCTGTTTGTTAATATTGTCTTTTTTTCTTTTCTTTTTGCATTTGATACACACAGGAAAAAATAATCAGCAGCTTTGGTTAAACAATTTCAAAATTCCTTTCAACTTGGCCCTGATTGTTTTCCTCTTCGAACTTCCCCTCCTTTCATCCACACTCCTTCCTGCTGCTTTCTCCTTAGATGACCCAAACTATTCTGCTCCATACCCAAGTCATTCTTTCTAGGGGAAAAAAATACAGTTTGGCCAGGCACAGTGGCTCACTCTGCTACTGAAAAGGGGTCCCCATCAGGACCCCAAGGGAGGGTTCTCGGATCTCCTGTGAGCAAGAATTTGGGATGACTCTACAGAGTAAAGTGAAAGAACGTCTACTAGAGAAGTAAAGAAACAAAAGATTGGCTACTCCATAAACAGAGCAGCACTGAGGGCTGGTGGTTGGCTATTTTTATGGTTGTTTCTTGATTACACGCTAAATATGGGGTGGATTGTTCATGAGTTTTCTGGGGTTTCCTGGAACTGAAGTTTCCTCTTCCTTTCAGACCATATAGGGTAACTTTTGGACATTGCCATGGCATTTGTAAACTGTCATAGTACTGGTGGGAGTGTCTTTTTAGCATGCCAATGCATTATATTTAGCATATAACGAGCAATGAGAATGACCATGTTGCTTTCGTCACTATCTTGGATTTGGTGGGTTTTGGCTGGATTCTTTACCATATCCTGTTTTATCAGCAGGGTCTTTCTGACCTGTATCTTATGATACCAGTCCTGCAATCTCCTATCTCATCCTGTGACTGAGAATGCCTGACCTCTTGGGAATGCAACCCAGCAGGTCTCACCCTATTCAAGGTGGGGTCGCTCTGGTTCAAATGGCTCTGACAATGCCTGTAATCCCAGCACTATGGGAGGCCAAAGTGGGAGAATCATTTGATGACAGGAATTCAAAGACCAGCCTGGGCAACACAGTGGGATCTGGTCTCTATGTTTTATAAATAATAAAAAATAAGACTTGAAAAAGAGAAAAAAATCAATTCCGAATGCTTGGAAAACAGCCTTCCTGCTGGTCACCCCTGATTCTGATTGCAAGGTGATTCAGCATGTCTCTGTCCGTTGCTAATCATGTTATTGCTAGCATGACTTTTTCTATGAACTTTATCAAGAAGATCTTTTAAATATTAAGATGCCTTAAGATTTTCTAACTGGTCCAATTCTAGCTACACATCCATTATTAAAAACAAAAATAGAGACAACTTTGGAAGAACCCAGTGCTTTTCCAACAACCCCTCAAAAGACATTGAGTATGGATGTTGCAACGGGGAACAGGGGAATCCAAGGACCTGAATGCTCTAAATGCTGCCTGTGGCATGGTTTGAAAACCACTGAAATAATTTTTATGTTTCTTTCGTCTTAATCTGGCAGTCATTTATACACACACACACACACACACACACACACACACACACACACACACGCAGACACACACACATTTGAAAGTATGATAGGCCTGGGGCAGTGGCTCATGCTTGTAATCCCAGGACTTTGGGAAGCTGAGGTGGGTGGATCACCTGAGGTCAGGAGTTCGAGACCACTGTGGTCAACATGGCGAAACCCCATCTCTACTAAATATACAAAAATAAAAATAAAAATAAAAATTAGCCAGGTGTGGTGGTAGGCACCTGTAATCCCAGCTACTTGAGAGGCTGAGGTAGGAGAAATGTTTGAACCCAGGAGACGGAGGTTGTGAGGTTGCAGTGAGCTGAGATGGCGCCATTGCACTCCAGCCTGGGAGAAAAGAGCAAAACTCCATCTAAAAGAAAGAAAAAAAAAAAAAAGAAAGAAAAAAAAGAAAAAAAAAAGCAAGTATGAGAAAGAATAGAAGGAACTGACTGTAAGCTTTTTAAAAGTCCTGTTCATTATTGTTCTCTCATCTATGTGGTGCCTGGCACATAAAGGCAGTTAATAAAAGTGCTTACAACACCAAGGCAAATCATCAACACCAGCATTACAGTCTTTATTTAATGCAATCCTTAGATATCTTTAATATCATGTTACATTAAAATGTTCAGAATTTAAGAAACACAGAAGAACATTTAAACCAAATATGTAACTAATTTCAAATATGAAAATGTGTAAATATATTATAAAACACAAAGTAAAAATATAATAAAATGTAAATGATAAACATATGTCCATTCTAATTTGAATTATTAACAGTTAAAACTAATGCAATAAGGTAGCATAAAAAGGGAACCAAAATTACATAAAAAGCAAGAAAATTTATTTTAAAATAAAAAATTAGATGATTAAAATATTTTTGGAAAGTAACAACTTAAAAAAAAAACAGCAAAGTGTATTAATAGGGTCATCACTGAGTCATTGACAAGTGAATTTTGTGCAAAATTTTCCACCTGATGAAATGACCCTTTTTGGACCCCATACTAGATAAAGGTGTGGAGAGGAGAAAGTTACGAGTTAACTTCAGATATTTTCTTCTGATTCCTTCAATTTCAAATAATTCTTTCCTTTTTGTAAATATGTTGAGATCTTTCTGAACTTTTCTTTTTTAGGAAATGCACTGTGTTTTATTTTTACTAAGCTGTAGTTTTGTTTCAAAGAAGGGTACTCTGGTCTTTGTTTTCGTATGTATAGATGGAGATTCCTCCGCAGAGGGACTCGTATCAATTTTAACACCATCACACTGTATATATTCTATTTACACAGAGAGTTTTTGATCCAGAATGGGAAATACTCTTACAGTAAGTCTTGTGTTGTTCTTTGTCATTTTTTTCCACTTATGGGGGGAAGAGAAGTATGTTTTCTGATTTGTTCAAATTAAAATGTTAATGCTGTATATAACTTTTCAGATATATTTTACATTATAATTTTTAAATTTTTTTAAATTAAAGTTTTTGGTATCTAACCAACAAAATACCACATTTTGGGTACAAAAATAGCATAGAAATTAAGCATGCCAGATACCAACCACAATCACTAATCAATATGAATTTGTTGCTTGAATTTGGTAAGTGCTTAACCAATAGCCTGGGGCTTTAACTCTCAGAAAATGTTACTTCTATTTTACAGAGGAGAAAAAAAGAGGTTCTCACAAATTATGGAATTTTCTAACGGTCATAGAGCTATTAGAGAAAATGGTGCACTTGATGTTGAAACCTGGTTTAGCGTTCTGAGTCCAAGGACTTGTTTTCCTTGGCAGTGAGGGTGACCCTGTATAAAGTCCCGCTGCCTGTAGGGCAGGTGTTCCCAGTGACTAGGCGTTCCTAATGACTCGCTCTCTTACCAGGAGGCAGTCACAAACACTTAGAGGAGGGGCTTCACAGGGGTGTCGGGACTCCTTCTTCCTTGGGCTCTCTCCTTCCTTCCCTCTATACCCTCCATTCTTACTGACTTTATTATGCCAAATTACTCCAAGTGCTCAAAGCTGAAGACCACTGTCCATTGCCCAAGAGGTTGAAGGTGGGGATCAGTTCTTCTGTGATCAATATTGGCCTTTCAAATGTCTCAGATGGACCATCTAAATAACAACACTTTATTGTGCTAATAATGTGTCCCCTGTGGCATAACTTTGAGGAGTTACTATGCTAATATCCACACACACAGAGACACACACACACACATACGGTGGGGGTGGCAGAGAAAGAAGGGCATAAACCCTGACCTGCCTCACAGCTGACCTTGCTAGTGACCATCTTTTCCCTTGCTCTTGACCCAGGCTCCTGTAGTTGGCCCATGTGAGTGATGAAACAGCCCAGAAGGCCTTATTCTCCAGATTTTATCAACTAGCACATCTCTGCATATCACACAGGATTTGAATGAGAAGGCTGCAGGTGTCTAATATTGATTACTGTTTTAAGAGAGATGATAACAGCTTTGGCCAAACAGGCTGGAAATTCACATTGCTTAGCTGTCTCTGCAGCTGCATTTATTAGGAGGTGATGCTTGATGCTGCTCCATTCAGTCACTCTTCAATTCGAACCTAAGTCCCTCTGGTGAGGGAGAAAAAAATTCTCTGGGGTCCATATTTAAGAGATTTTTAAGCCATCGGCCTCTCAGAGACATGCCAGGAAGATTTCTCTCTCTGAATGTAAAGCCCCACATTTGGGTGCCATGGAGTTTGCAATCCCACTCACTGGGTTCCACGTTGCCTCTGCTTAGTGGGTGCTTGTTTTTAAAAACCAACTTCTCTGTAAGGCTGAGCATATTAAAGTCTCTAATGCCTTTATTTGAAATAATTTTCCAGATTTCTTTCCTCTGTGACAGGGAGAACTGGAAGCAAGGGGTGCAAGATTCTGAGGGGAAGGATGTAGTTGAAGTGAGGAAATGCCTGTGAAAAGGGACAAGTGAGAGCACCAAGGGGGGCTTTTTGCCTGCCTCCTGGATTTGCGAAGGGCCAGTGCTGACCTTTGGGGAGCACCCAGAATGCGCCACTGACTGGGGAGTCATTTGATGTATTGCCAATGAGTTTTTCTTCTTACCAATAGTATCCATTCTACAGATGAAGAAATCGATGCTCAGAGACCCTAAGTGATTTCTTTTTCAAGTGACTATGCAGAGTATTCTGGAGCAGAACCAGGCTTGTTAATTGCCTATTTCAATGCTGTCTTCATGATAACACCCTATTCATTATGCTCAATTTATGTGAAGGCATTTTAATGTAATCAGTGGCTTCTATAGATAGGAAAACACCAAAGCCTGAATCAGATTCCCTAAGAATTAGAAATAATGTTTCTGAGATATCTGGGTTTTAAATCTCAGCATTGGAAGCACCTGAACAGTCATCCAATCCAATCCAGTCTCCTAGGCAATGTGCAAATCACATTCTGGCCATCACGGACACAGAGCCATTTTTTATGGTTTCAACCCTTCCAGGAATGGACAGCCCACTCCTTTGTCAGACTGGGAATGATCAGAACCTCTTCATCCTGTGTTTAAAACTGTCTCTCCATAAACTCTTCCAAAGACTCAAGTTCTTCTCTGGGTACTGGTGAAAAAAGGCAATTAATTTTCCCTCTGATAGTCCTTTAAATATTAACAGAGAGTTACCATGTCTTCTCGTTTTTAAGGTTGAAGGTGCAGAGAACCTTTGATCACTCCTTACCTGGGTATTCTCTCAGCTTGGTCACCACTCTGTGGACATATTTTGGTTTTCAACATCCTGCTTAATACATGAAGCAGAACTAAAGGCAAGGACAGTAAATGTTGTCCAAACAGCATCTTTACTGGCCGGTATACAGGAGCCATGTCAACAATATTCTCTTCCTGTTCAAACAGAATCTTCCCTTCTGTATGTTTAAGGTGTTTCTTTTGTACCATGTGAACATACTGATGTATTCACGAATCTCTACATCTGGAAGCCTCGTTGACACAGGCACCGAGCTCCTTTTCTCCTACGCTGATTTCTACTGGTCAGTTTCCTCCACCAGCTCACCTGAAGATGCTGTTGATGGTGTCCATTTCAAGAACACTGGTGACCCTGCTAAGGGTGCTTCTTCTCGGTGTTTCTGAAGCAGTGGTCTCCAGTGGTCTGGGGGCAGGACTGGGCTGTGTGAGAGGATGGTGAGAGAAAAGCTTCTCCTGAGGGTGGGCTACGGGTTTTCTATTCTGTTGATGTCAGAGTCCCAGAAAGGTTCCCTTCAAAATTGGTTCTCCAGCAATTGGGCTTCACCCTCTAACAAAAAGAGCCTCAGTTCCAATGAGAGAGGCCATGTAGGGGGGGCTATTAGGCAACCTTCACCCCTGTATCATGTCTTCTCTCTCCCCTTAGCCTCCTTCTTCTTCTCGATCTTCTCTCTCCTTTCCAATTAGAAAAGAGTAATCAGATTTCAGGGCGGAGGCAGACAGAGGACTTCAGGAATTGACTGCAAAGGGGCAGATGTGTACCGTGATGGGGAAGTAGTGAGAGAGAAAGGGACAGGGGAGAGGGTGCTGTCCACCCCTACAGTGCTGAAGCCCCTGATCTGCCTGTAAAAGGACAGTGATTATAACTGTTTAAACATTAAAATAATGCTAATTTAAATAACTATCTCTTAATGTTATTTGGGGGATTAAACTAGTATGTTAAGGACTTTGAACAGTGCCTGGTGTATGACAAACTCTCAGAGTTTTCTGGGCAATGATGGTGGTGATCGGCATTATTCCTGGTGCTTTTGAAACAGCAAACTTTGGGGAAAGAAACTTCCAAAACAAAAAACATCCTCAAATTCATATTCTTTCATGGCTGCAATAAACATATAAAGATTGCTATAATTTCTGAAAACTTTTTCTCGGTTTAAAGTTTTCAGTCAGTCTTCTATGATTTTCTATTGTGCTTGGTAGGTTTGTTTTACTTCTCCTGGCCACTTATTCCCTAAACAATGCTTCAGTCAAGCTTTGCAAAAATAATAGAATACTCACTTGGCTGAATATTCCAACAGACAGAGAAAGAAGATATTTTTCATTTTTAGTAAAAATTCAACTTTCATATTCTTTGTGTGTATTTATTTTCTTTATGCATACTTAGATTCAAATTTGAGCCTGTCTCCCATAGGTTTGTAGGAAATAGAATAGTATATATTTTGTTAAGACATATATATATATGTCTTAACATATATATATGTCTTAACACATATATATATATATACACACACACACATAAAGACAAATGAGATTTGAGATTACATTTACATATTTTCTGGTAACTTGTTTTTCACATTAATAATTTATCTCTTTATGTGTTATCAAATACTTTTTATTTATTTTTTTGGTGGTTACATAATATTCTTTAGTATGGATGTTTTTAATATTTCAGATTTTCAAGTAGTTTGGTATAATCAGATCTGAGCCTGTGCAGGCAGGGCAAATGGGAAACACTAGGAGCCAGAGGTGGATCTAGTGCATCCTTTGTGGGCAGGTGACCCTCACAAGTGATTTGAATTTCAGCAAGCCCTTCCCAAGGGTTCAGCTCTATCCCAGTCATGGCTGTGAGTTTCTCCCCGAAACTTCTGTACTAATGGTTTAAAAACAGATGGGAAGGGGGAACACTGCAGATTCCTCATTGCAGCTGCATCCACTTGGCACAGGGTGCAGGGTTGAAATAGCACATCCTCACTAACTTCCTGGCTCTGCAGTTTTTTGTTTTTGTGATTAATGTCCAGTGCAAAGGTGAGTAATGGAGCAATTCATTGTAGTAATTCGAGTTATGGAGAATATATGGACTCCTTCGCTCAGCATCCCTTTCTTCAACTCCTTGTCGCATAAAAAGAATCATTACATTGGAGAATAGGATGCCATCAGCCACAGGACCAAGCAGAGATACAATTCATGCGACCCAGGTGCTTCCACTCCCTCAGATTAATAATTAACACTTACAGCCTTCCTTTGCAGGACTGGAGGATGCTAACTGGATGGAGAGGGTGAGGAGAAGAGCTACCAATGCCTTCTCTTGGGCCCTATTTTTTTTTTTTTTGGCTGTGGCCCAAGGAGGACAGGTCAAGTATAAATGATCCACAACTGCTTCTAAATCAGTTTCACTCTTATGACCTATACCATCATCATTATTCCAAAGTAACCTTTGAGCCCTGGAAGAAGTTTGGGAGGGGGTTCAGGGAAAGAAACCACCTGATTGGCATAGAAGAGGGACCTCCTCCTCCAGTGGGTCCAGGAAAGTGTGGCCACTGCCCCTTTGCAGAGTGTGGGAGAGTGCAGGAGGAGCAGGTGTAATAGCATATGAGGGTGTTTGTGCTGCCTCCCCGATTCAAAGAAATTGGTGGGACATCTGTGCACCTATCAGAGCCTGAGGCTGAGGACCCCTAACTCCACCAGCTTTGGAATGAAGTGATAGTGCATTGCCCTAGTGTTCCCATAACTGTATGGGTAACCACGTGGGGTGGAGGTGGTGGGGAATGCATTAAGGCTGGATTTCTTGCTATGGCCTATGGGGATGCAGTTATACTGTTTTGGGTGTTGATGTTAATTGAAGTATTTCTGAACCAATTAGACCTTAGGTTCCTCTTTTATTTATCTAAAGTAGATATCTCAAAGTTAAATGGATTGAAGTGCACCTTGATGGGGCTGAACAGTATTACAATCTTTCTTGAAAAAATTCTCCACTGGGGGAGAAGGTGTGCAAAGGTAAGCGAATAAAGGAACTGGCTCAGCCTGTAGTGTTTACTTGCATTTTGGCAAATAACTTTCTCCTGGTGTGCTGTATGAGCATGTCCCTCTGTGCTTGGGTGTGAGAAAGGAGAGAGGAGGACAGGAGAGGAGAAGCGGACATGCCCATCAAACCTACAGCACCACAGGGATTTCCTGCCATATTTGAGTGTTGGCCATTCCTGTCTCATCACTATAACTTCTTGGTGGGAAGGGGTTTAGGCCAGGGTGTGGAAGAAGCCCACATCCTAGCTCTCTCCTTCATTGACCTTTCTGTCTTAGCACCTGGGGCCTGTCTACACAAATAAACCCAATACATTGGATCCTGACGCCAGATTTTTATTCCCGAAGATATGTAAACAACATTATCCAACTCCAAGGAATGGCAGCTTATGTTATCTTTACAAAGTCTCTGTTCCATTTTGCAACGCCTAAATTTCAGAAAGAAACTTCATGTGCAATCTGTCTTTTCTGCTTCATATATTCCAACTCTAACCACACTGAGGCTCTCTCTCCATCCAGCATGTGTCTGATTGAAAATTCCATTCAACTCACTTCAAATATGTATTGAGCACTTTTATGTTGACAGTAAAGTGGTAAAAGCCATAGGGGATACAAAATAAACATAAAGCACAGTCTCCAGCTTCAAAAAGTCTGCTGTGCTATTGGGACCAACATGGAGAAACAGCAAGATACCAACATGAGACAGAATATGTTTACTCATCAGAATGTGTTGTTCTGACATCAAGTGCATTGGATGTTCCAGAAAGGAGTTCTCAGTGAGAGCCAGAGTTGTCAGAACAGAAAGGTTTCTTGGAGAGGCCAGGGCTGATGTGGGGCTTTGAAGGATTGGGAGTGTTGGAAGATGTAGCAAGATCACATGCAAAACATTTTCTGTTATTTCAGATTCTCTACAGAAGCCTTAAAGTTGAAAACAACATGACCTAATTACTCCTACAGTCTAAAGAGCTCACCAAGCTGCTGTCAGACATAGACAGGGCTTACTCAGAGGTGGCCAGGACATCCTGTGATCCTCGCTGCCCACTCCCCACTTCTGTACCCCCTACATACTCCTACCTGTTTATAAAAGCAGAAGATTATGAATGCTGCAAGAAGAGGCCCTTGCTGGGAGTTTTAGAAGTACACTGTCTGCCTAGTGAAAGTGGTGGGGCATGTCCTCTCCCATCTGAAAGAGGGAGGGGAACTACCCCTCCCCCAAGATGAGAGAGAAGAGCCCCATAGCCTCCTCCTGGGCTTGATACTTGCTAAGAAATTGAAACTGTAGGCCTGGTCCAAAGTTGCCCCCAAAAAAGAACATAATGAGAGAGTTCTTGTGTGAACTTGGTACAAACCCCTGGAAGCGAGAAGGTATTATGAGCATAAAGACTGGTACCTGCTTCTTGCAGGGGTAATTTTGAAGGTGGGTGCCAGTGGGAGCAGCCTGTGATGTCAGGACTATGAGACTGCCTGCATTCCCACCACTTGGACTGCCAGGGATTGGTCAGTTTCCTGGGGACCACCTGGATGCTGTGGCACATAGGTGGTCCTGGGCCATCACTGGGACAGACTGAAAAGGGTGGTCTGGCAGGTGAGGACTCAGCCACCAAAAGCTGTGGATGTATGAAGGGGTGAGAGGAGAGGGGAGGGAGAATACAGGAAGTCAGGAGGGGTTTCTCCTCCTTGTCCAGGTATTGTGTTGTGTAGAAGCCGTAGGAATTGAAATGGAGTCAGTTGTGCCAAGCCTTAAAAAAATGGAGTGGGGAGGCCGTAAAGGAGGGGCTCTCACGCACACATTCCTATGATAACAACTATTACGAGGAGTTTCTGAAAACCATAACCTTGAAGAAAGGCCACCACAACCTTACACAAAAAATACCTCTGAGAGGACGCCTGCCCCAGCAACTGCCTGTTTGATGTCGGACTGGTGCCACCCTTGCTATTGATCCTTGTAGCCAAGAATAATTATTTCAAAACAACTTATGCAACCTTCTCCATTTTGCCTCTCAAAATCCTTTCCTTCCCTTGCCTCTCTGGGTACAGCCACGGTCCCCCACGGGCTGCCATGGCACACATATTCCTGGATTGCAATCCTTCTTTCCATTCTGGAATAAACTCATTATCTTTGGCAATTCTCTCTCTGTTGTTACTTTAGGTTGACAGCAGCATAGAGTCCCCTGGGATCACCCCCAAAGTTCATATGTAGCCCCAAAGTGGAACAGTTGTCACGTCGAGGTGCTGCTGGTAAAGAATGACACCAGGTAGGCAAAGTGTCCTGACTTTCTCTCACCTCCTCCTGGGCTCCTGATCTTGAGAGGAAGGGCGACCAGGTGGAGAGAGATGGAGGTGGAGGAAGAGTGAAGGGCCAGGCCAGGCCCTTTCCCTCCAAAGCTGTAAGTCAGGCATGGACTGGGGGAATGAGAAAGCCTTTACATTGCGGGTGAGATTTGATTTTAATTGATACTGGTCAGGGCTTTTCAGTTCCTGAAAGGTGAGTCTGAATGATTCAGATGGCACTTTTCTTATGCCTGAGAGGCCCTGGACAGCTGCGGTCCTAAGATGTCAAGGGGCATGGAAGGGAGAGGCTGCAGAGTTCCACCAAAGGGTGTTTTCCTGGCACCCAACAAGGGCCAGTAAGCAGTTACAGAGACACAAGGATACTAGGAAGGGGAGTCTGGGAAGAGGGAGGAGCAGCAGGGAGAACGGGATAGGGTGGGCCTGAAGTGTTTGTGAACCTCCCCGAGTCCACCTGTGGAAGGAGAGAGGATGGTGGGGAACAAGGCTGAGAGGAAAACAGCATCTCACTGCAGAGGTCTTGATCTAGGACTTCAGCATTCTTTTTTTACTTTTTTTTTGAGGCGGAGTCTCGCTCTGTCGCCCAGGCTGGAGTGCAGTGGCACCATCTGGGCTCACTGCAAGCTCCACCTCCTGGGTTCACGCCATTCTCCTGCCTCAGCCTCCCGAGTAGCTGGGACTACAGGCGCCCACCACCACGCCCGGCTAATGTTTTGAATTTTTAGTAGAGACGGGGTTTCACCGCGTTAGCCAGGATGGTCTCGATCTCCTGACCTCGTGATCTGCCCTCCTCAGCCTCCCAAAGTGCTGGGATTACAGGCGTGAGCCACCGCGCCTGGCCGACTTCAACATTGTTGAGGGAATAAGCAGCAACAGGAGATTCAAGCAAATGAACACAAAGCAACATTCTACAACTCAAGCAGATTCCCTGGGAGGGGCTCATTCTCTGCAAAACAACCCTTCCTCCTGACTCCATTTTTTTAAGGCTTGGCACAAGTGACTCCATTTCAATTCCTATGGCTTATCTTCCTCCTGTCCTGGGCATTCCCTGCAGCCAGCCAGCATCTCTCCCTGACAGTGCTGATTGGGTTTGTTGTACCAGGTGGGTTTCAGAGTCTGTCTTCTCATGACATTATCCAATAGCTGTTTGGAAACAGAGACGCAGATAAGGGGGATTTTTGGGAGGAGGGACACTCTATTCCTATTTTTCCAGTCACCATGAGGGTGGGAAAGACCTGCTGATCTTGCCTTTGTGTATCACATTCCGGGGATTTGTACCAAGTATCTACTGTGTATCCAAATTGATTTAAATCAATTTGGACCCAGAGATGGCAGTTTAATTTTCAGTTTACAAAACAAATGAGGAACAAGTAGGAGAGACGAAGGTATTCTTGTTTGCAGGGTACTGAGAAGGATGATCCAGCAAAGTTCCTTTATGAATGGATTTCCAGAGGGCGTTAATTATGATCAGTAGGCTGGAGCTTGGGGAGACACACACTGCTCAAATCAGCAATCAATAGCTGTCTTGTTTATGTACTTCTGTATGCCTGGCTTGCATTTGCCTCTATAGAAGTTAAACATTTGATCTGCACTCTTGGTGGGGGGTGGTGGTAAGAAGTGCCTTGTTTTTATAAATCAAATTTATCCTGACTTTAATTCTCCAGTGGGTGAGAAATTAGATCTCAGCCTTTTTTGGAAGACCACTCCATTTCCATGCAGGTACAGAAGGATCAGGGAAGTGGGAATGGCAGAAAGGCCTCTGGTCTGTGGAGCATCATTGTGATGGTTAAGATTCTTGTGGTTCAAGCTTATGTGGTCCATTTGGAGGTGGTTGGCTTCACTGCTTTCCTGTCGAGCATTGGCATGGCATCTTGGGCTGCTGTCCCCAAAGACAGCTCTATTGATGTGTAATCTCCCAGCATCCCTGAGCTAACTCTAGCACCTCTTCCAGCACTTTAAGAGGCCACAAACATAGTCTGCTTTTCAGACTCCCTTAAAAAAATGCCAGCTGCTCTTGATGTGGCTGCTTCCACTTGCACTACCTAACCCAACTCCATTGCTCTAGGATCATTCAGTCTCATTGCTTTCATGAGCCGTGGGTCTTGGCTACAGAAGCCTTCATGGGGGAAGAGAGTGTTTCCTCCCTAGTGCACATCAACTTTTGCTCCCTGCAACCCAAAAGCACACAAGAAAAGCTGACACGAGGCTTGAATTCCTTTTTGCATTTCTTAAGGTGGGGGTGGGGGTGGGGTGGGAGGGATACCTATAGTTAGAAGTGATAAGCCACACATATATCATTCTGTCACATCTGTCTAGTCCTTAGAGCACTAACAGTGAGTAGATGGAGGCACTTCCCAGTGAGGAATATAGCTGTGAGCCATCAGCAGTTGACATTCTCAGCAATGCCAGGGTGAGTGTGGTGGTCCTCTGGAGGGTTCTGGACTGAGCACCTTGGTATTTACTACAGTGTATGCCAGGCAGCATCTACTGTTGACCCTCACTGCCCACCTCCGGATTGTTACTCAAACTACATGGGAGCATCTGGCTTTGACAGCCTACCCTGTCAAAGAAGATAACTGAACAAGTAAGGAGACTGATTTTATTCCGGTTATTGCAATAGGGAGAGCACCCAGATCCAGAGATTAAAGTGTCTGAGCAAGGTGTTTTGCCTTAGACTTTTATGAGGAGGGGTAAGCATATTGCAAGAGAGATGGTTTATAGCTGGGATTGCTTTGCAAACAGGAAAGGTCTCAGTTATCTGGGCAGGATTTTTTTTTTCCTTATGGTTGGCTAGTCTCAGAGGCACAAACAGGTCTAATCTCAGCTAATAACTCATGAGATAAGGAATGTGAAGTTGGCAGGTCTGTGTTATAAGTCAAATTGTGTCTCTCAATATATATGTTGAAGTTCTAACTCCCAGTACCTGTGCATGTGACCTTATTTGGAAATAGGGTCTTTGTAGATGTAATCAAATTAAGATGAAGTCATGGGCCAGGCGCAGTGGCTCATGCCTGTAATCCCAGCACTTTGGGAGGCCGAAGTGGGTGGATCATGAGGTCAGGAGTTTGAGATTACCCTGGCCAACATAGTGAAACCCTGTCTCTACTAAAATACAAAAATTAGCCCGGCTTGGTGGCATGTGCCTGTAATCCTAGCTACTTGGGAGGCTGAGGCAAGAGAATTGCTTGAATCCAGGAGGTGGAGGTTGTAGTGAGCCAAGATTGCACCACTGTACTCTAGCCTGGGTGACAGAGTGAGACTCCATCTCCACAAAAAAAAAAAAAAAAAGATAAGGTCATCAGGATGGGTACTAATCCAATACGATGGGTCCATATATAAGATAAGGAGAAGGCAGAGTTGCACAGGGAGAGGAATGCTGTGTGATAACAGAGGCAGAGACTGGAGTTACAGTTACAAGCCAAGGGATGTCAAAGATTGCTGGTGACACCAGAAGCCAGAGGAAAGCATGAAATAGATTCTCCCCTAGAGCCTGGAAAAAGCATGGTCCTTTCAGACTTCAAGCCTTCAGAACTGGGAGATCATAAGCTTCAGTTGATTTAAAACCACCCATTTGTGGTGCTTTGTTGCAGCAACTCTAGGAAACTAGCACAATCTATATCTGGCCTTAGAAACAGGGTCAAGCGAAAGGGCAAAGGACTATTCAGCCATGGCATAGGTAAATAAAACAGGCACCCAAGAGTCTTACGAGAGTCTTGAGAAAGAGTGGATGGCAAGTCTTGCTTAAGTCACGTGGAAGAGGATGCTTTTTTTATGGGAAGCCATTTCAGGAACACAAAAAGATGGGGGTTTCCTTAACCATCACTGTTTCCTGGGAGCACAGGGCTCAACATCGTCAACCCACATAAATCCATATATGGATTTCCACACCTACAAGTTAAATTCTAACCTGCCTGGTCTGATGTCCAGGAGTCAGACCTCCCAACCTCATCAGCATTCTCTGCTTTGCTTGTCATTCTGGCGATGCTCACATACCTCATATCCGACCCTCTGTGTCACTCCGCAAACACACCTTGCTGTTTACTGACTGTGCCTTTGTGAATGTCATTCCTTCTGCCTCAAACGTTCTCTCTTTGTTTCCCCTTTTTTGGTTTCACTTGTCCTTCCATACCCGTCTTTCCGAGGAACCCACCCTCACATCCTCCCTCCCAGACCTCTCTGGGACTTCATGGAAACTAGTTTGGTGCTCACCTTCACGATGTGCTTCTCCCACGGCATCAACGTTCTCATTTCTCCTCTCTCCTTGTGGGCTCTAGCTTCATCCAGGGGTCGGTTCATGCATGTTCTGATTCTCTATCTTGCTGTGAAGCTCAATGCTTAGTATAGAACAGGTGATAAATAGGTATTTGCTGAGCTGAAACAAACTCTTTCTCCTTCACACACCTCTCCCTGACCCTTAGAAATGTTCCCTCTTTAACACTTCATGTTATCTTTTCTTTTATTTTTCCTTGAGAGCTCCTTCACTGCTGTAAGTTCAGCTCTATCAGGTAGGTCAGGTCTGTACTTTCAGGTTTCACTGCCTTCTCAATGTAAGCATTCCGTTTACAGCTTTAGTATTCTAGCCATAGCCAGAAAAAAAAAATCCTTTTTATTTGCATAGGCTTCATAAATACTTTTTTCTCATCACAAAAGGTATCGCATGCTCATTGCAAAAAAAAAAAAAGTTTTGGCAAATAAGAAAAGCAAAACACAAACTCTAAGAACATATAAAATCATTTATACTTCTGCAACCCAGAGGAAACTATATATTAATGTCATATCACTGTACAAAATGAGCATCGTGCTGTGCATTCTATTTTGTAACCTGATTTTTCTCATTTAACATTTCAAGATGAATTTTCCATGTTAATAAACACTCATTTGAAATACCACAAATGCTTTTCAAGAAGGAGTATTGTTAGCATAGAGACAATTTTTTTTTTCTGGTAAGAAGGTCTCTCTGTCCCCTCCTTTTTTTTGGAGGCCAAACCTATTTGACTAAAAAAATTTACAAGTTTGAAGATGCGACAAGTATCTCTCATCAAGGTGATGTAGAGATTGGTGCTAAAAATAATAACTAAAAAGTAAAAGGGCAACATGTTTAATGTGGAGATGTAGCTTACCTTTTCCATCCCAAAGATGGACTTTTTAAGGGACTCAGGTATGTTCAGAATCTGAATGGTAGTGGTAGTGATTAAGGCAAAAAGGGACCCATCATCTTCCTATCACCTTCACCATCATCATCTCTCCATCACCATCGCCATCATCTTCACTATCATCAGCATCACTATCATAACCACCAATACCACTACCATTTTCTCCTCTCCTCCTCCACCTCTTTCTTCTTTTTCTTCTTCACCTTCATCATTTTGTATCATTATCATCAATATTCCCTTTCCAACTTTAATTTCTTAGAGATTTCAAAGTTATATGAATGTGAGGCACACAAGAGCTGAAGAGACAATTTAAAAAATTAGTGGAATATATTTAGGAGTTTTTCCTAAACTATTCTCACCTCTAGGGCTGATTGAATTCTTGTATGTGGAAATATGACCTGTGAGATAATTCTGATATAAGAAGTTTTCTTTCAGTCCTATGAGTTTTTTTAAAAAAATTCCAAAATAATATCCATAAAAACAAGCCAAAGAGAGTATTTTTTACTAGTCTATATTTATATTTATCAAACTCACCCATCTGCTTAATGCTTTAAGGTCAGGCTTTTAGGCAGAAATCTCACATGGAGTTCCCTGCATTATGTAGCAGTTTATCTGGCTAGATAATTTATATGATTTTTTTTTTTTACAGAAATTGTAGGGAATGCATTCCAAATCGTAATATACAAATGGATGTTTACATTTTCTTCTTCAAAGAGGGAAGTAACCCTGAGAAAGATGTCAGAATACCACAGAGCAGACCCTAAGTAAGAGCACCTGGTGTCTCCAGTGGTTGAAATGATGTATTAATGAGTTCTCATTCTCAGTGACATTTTACCAGGAACCAATTAACCGTAGTAATTACATCTCTTCCACTGCGTGCTCTGAAATGTGGAGTGCACGGGTATGGGGTTGCTGTGTTTGCTGAATTGTTTTTTTCTGTATGACAACAATTTAAACAAGTGTGAGTTGTTTATTATGTTCCCTTTACCTTCCTTTTTTGTTTTGTTGTTGTTGTTATTTCTGTTTTTGTTTTTGTTTTTTTGAGATGGAGTCTCTCTCAGTCACCGAGGCCGGAGTACAGTGGTGCCATCTTGGCTCACTGCAACCTCCGGTCCCCAGGTTCAAGCAATTCTCCTGTCTCAGCCTTGTGAGTAGCTAGGTACAGGCACACACCACCACACCCAACTAATTTTTGTATTTTTAGTAGAGATGGGTGTTTCATCATGTCGGCTGGGCTGGCCTTGAACTCCTGACCTCAAGTGATTTGCCCGCCTCGGCCTCCCAAAGTGCTGGGGTTACAGGCGTGAGCTACTGCGCTCAACCCCGTTTACCTTCTGAGTATCTCAGCATAAAAGAAAATTTTGCAAATAATCATTTTTAGAATCACACAGAATACTGGTGCATGCAAATGACAACAACCAAGTACAACCAGAAAGCTGCACCACAGTGTGCTTTAAAAGGTGGCAGAAAACACACTGGGGAGAGAGCACCTAGTTAAGAACGGAGAGATAAAAGCTGCATACCAGATTGCTTAGGAAATGAAAGACTGAGTAAGAGGTCCCGGACAATGGTCTCTTGTTGATAATGAGGTGAGTGCTGTTAAACAGAAAACTTTGTTGTTGTGTCAGAACTGCTGAAGATCTTTCTAAAGTTTCAGTTTTCTAAAGTAAGGGACCTTTCTATGCTTCAACTCCTTTCCTGCAAAATGGGAAACATGCCTCATAGGTTTGTTGTGAGGATACGTTAATATATGCAAAAGTACTTAGGATGCTGTCTGGTATATTGCAAATGCTTAGTAAATACCAGTTGTTATTTTATTAAGTCTAGTAAACATAATTTGGCATTCTAAAATTAGGAACTTACAGAGCTATGGTCTCCTTTTTAGAAAAGAGCACTATTTTTTTTGTGAAACATAATATATCATGGGTAAAAATTAAAATAGTATACGTCTTAGTGTGTTCAGGTTGTTATAAGAAAATATCATAAACTGTGTCGCTCATGAACAACTAACTTATTTCTCACAGTTCTGGAGGTTGCTATGTCCAAGATGAAGGCACCAGCAGATTTGGCATCTGGTGAGGGCCCTTTTCCTGTTTCATAGATGGTAGCTTCTCACTGTGTCATCACATGGTGGAAGGGACAAGGCAGTTCCCTGGGGCCTCTTTTATAAGAATGTTAACCCCATTTATGAGGGCTCCACGCTTACTACCTAATCACCTCCCAAAGGCCCCACCTCCTAATACCATAGCCTTGGGAATTAGTATACTCAAATAAAGAAGGAAAAGACACTAAAACTAGCTCAAATCTGAAAAAGATATGCACTGTTAAAATGCTTTACAGAATCCTTTTAGCACCAATCTCTCTATAAATAAATATGGATATATCACAGATAGATCTAATTTTATAGTGGATCATAATATATTCTGTAACTGATTTTTATCACTTACGCAGCAAATATGTCCTAGATATTTTTTATGTTTAATATGACCTCCATCATCATTTTTAATGGCTGCATAATATTCTGGCAAGCATTTGAATCATACCCCAATTGTCTAATCCTCCAGCAACGAATATTTAGATTGCTTTCATCTTTTTTTGCTCAATAAAATTCCTTATGTATGCCTCATGTGCCACTTATGCATTTAATTCCTAATTGTAAATTCACAGATATAAGATTTCTAGGTCAAATGGTTATACATTTTATATTTTGAATCATATTTTTCTTCTGTTCTTTTAAAAAGGTTAAACTAATTTGTACTCAACAAGGATAAGATTTGCTAGACAGAGATAGGAGACAGCAGAGAGGAAGGATATTTTAAGTGGAAGGAACAGTGTGAGAAAAAGCAGGGAGTTGGGGAAATATATACTTTCTTGGGAGAGTCTTCATGTTTTTTTATTGAGCTTGCTATTTTTCACTCAAGAACATCTTATGGAAACCTCTTCATACAACTGATATTCATTCTTTTAAAAGGCGTGGTGTGGGTGAGCCCTAATTTATTCAGCCTTTTCACCGCTATTAGTCATTCACTTTTTTAAACACCAGGTAACACCATCTCTCTTTCCTCCAGGATCAGTTGTTCCTTGTGTTCATCTCCATCTTTCCCTCTTGTAGGGGAGCCCAAGACCTTCCCTGGAAGACTGTTCAATTTTGTTGGCAAATGTTTATCCAGCTTTATTCTGGAGTCCGTATTTCTGTTGCCATTTATTCTGAGTGCAGCATGTGGAGCCACCCTCAGTGGCTGCTTTGGACTATTGCATGTAAAGCCTTGTTTCTTCTCTTGCTTCTCACTTCACTCTTGGTGCCTCCTTACCGAGTGTGGTCGACAGAATAATGACCCCCAAAGATATCTGCATCCTAATCTCTGGAACCTGTGAATATGTTACCCTACAAGGCTAAAGGGACTTCACGAAGTATTATGTTAAGGATCTTGAGATCAGGAGATTTTCCTAGATTACCTGGGTGGACCCAATCCAATCACAAAGGTTCTTAAGGCAGCAAGGTCAGAGTCAGAAGAGATGTGACAATGAATACAGAGGTAGGAGTGATGTGGCCACAAACCAAGGAATATGGGCGGCTTTTAGAAACTGGCAAAGGCATGGAAACAGATGTTTCTCTAGAGCCTCCAGAGGGGATGCAGGCTTTGATTTTGGTGTTGGGGCCTCATTTTAGACTTCTGAACTCCAAAATTGTTAGAAAATAAATTGGCCTTGTTTTAAGCCACTGGGTTTGTGGTAATTTGTTACAACTGTAATAGGAAACTAACACGGCAAGTCATGGAAGAACTGTGCAAAGGTGAAGGGAGGATTGCTTCCCACCCGCATAGCCTTTCTCCTCAGCATACTCTGTGCTGTGGCTTCCTCCATCTAATGATCAACAAGGACACACTCCCTTCTCCTTTTCACCTTCTGGAAGGCTGCACACATGTGTTCTCGATCAGTGATCCACCCTTCCTATCCTTAGTGCTCCTGTGAGCTTGCTCTCTTTTCTATCTTTTTATCATCGCAGTAAATTTGGGGAAGGATAAGAGGTTCTCTTCATATTAGTGGTATCAGAATGTTTCAAAAAGTCGCATTATTTTCGGCTGGGCACAGTGGCTCATACCTGTAATCCCAGCACTTTGGGAGGCTGAGGTGGGGGTGGGGGGATCAACTGAGGTCGGGAGTTCGAGACCAGCCTGGCCAATGTGGTGAAACCCCATCTCTACTAAAAATACAAAAATTAGCCAGGCATGGTGGCGTGTGCCTGTAATCTAATCCCAGCTACTTGGGAGGCTGAGGCAGGAGAATCGCTTGAACCTGAGAGGTGGAGGTTGCAGTGAGCTGAGATTGTGCCACCGCACTCTAGCGTGGGTGACAGAAAAAAAAAGTCTTTTTATTTTAAAGTCACAGTTGACAAAAATGGCCCATCACAAGTAATGCTTCTGGCTTTCCCTCAGCCTCCCTGAAGCCCAACACAGGCATTTGTGAGACAGCTGGTAGAGATTAGCAGTGCAGACTCTGCAAATTGTGCGAAGATCTTCTTCATAGAAAGATAACAGAAATGAAACAGCAACCTTGGCCTTATAAGCTCCAGTCTCCTATCCACTGTACCAGTTGTGCAGCCATCTGATGCGGATTCCAGCCAAATCCTGCCTCACTCTTGGCCCTGGGCATGGCCCTGCAGTCTTGCAATGAGAGAAAACATTGTTTTTCTCTAGGAATCTCTGGGAAGATAGTGGAAAGCTGAGCAGGCCTTCGTGGGAGCCCGCGTTGCAGAGCAGTGACTGACTGCTGGGTCTTGGTCTGTTCTGTGGCTGCAGGCAGGGAGCTTATTTCCCTGCAATGGCTCCTTACTTGATTACTGGGCTCTGCTTGCACATTTCCTCAAGTTCTGAAGCTTTCTTGTACTCCATAGAGAGGAGCAGGGCATCCAGTGGATTGGCAGTCTTGGCTTTAATAAGAGGCAAACATTGACTTCCTCCCTAGCCTGGGCATAGTCCACAAAACATGGACTATTTTTTTTTTTTTTTGTTTAAACAATCATATCTGCGACTTGGAAGGCGAAAACACCAACTTTAATCATTTCACTGTTTGACTATTTCTACTATATGAGAAAGTGTCCAGGTTGTAGAAGTCAGATAGATCAGATAGATAGATCGGAGACTAAAATTCAGCACTGCTGCTTTCTATTCAGGTGATTATGGGATTAAATTGCCATAAGTCTCAGAGAATTTTTCTTTCCACTATAAAGGTGGATAATATCTATATCATAGACCTGCTGTGAAGATTAAATGAAATCATAAGCATGAAGCTTTTAGCAAAGGAATGTTCCTTCCCTTGTCTTCCTCTATGGTAAGAACCAACAGTTGTATTTGGAGTTGCTAGCAAGAGCTGATAGTTCTCACATACTTTTTATATCATGTACTCTTTTCTGATTATGAACATTAAAAATGTATGCTTATATAGGTAATTTGAAAAAAAACCAGTGAATATTATAAATGAAACTCTCAATCTCTCTAGAGATAACTACTATTAGCATTTTGGTATTTTTTTCTACTTTTTTTTATAAATAGTGATGGAGCAATTACTTATTTTGCAAGCAAAACTGCAACCTGCTTTTCTCACTTAATGTCACATTGACACTCATCTTGAGAGAGGGATTTCCCCTCTCATCAGCAGTGGAAAAGAGCCACGTTCTTTGTATATAGACTTGTTAGAATTGGATACAAGGAAGGTTAGACTGGTGGTTTGGGGGTGGGATAAACCAGGGCCAGGAGATAATTTGGCCCCCAAAAGGCACCATTTTAGGAGTATGAAACGTGGCAAGTTCTGCAGTTTGTGCAACCCTACTAAGTAATGATTTTCGTGTTTGAAGTTGTCATGGTTGGGCTCTGAGAAGTTCCATAAAGCAGTTTCCTCTGAGCTGCTTGGACTTTACCCTAGACAGGCAGAAGACGGCACCATCACTTGGGCTAAATCGCACCCACCAAATGTCCTACTGCCTGACACCTCTCCATAGACTTTGCAGAGAATACATCAGTTGGTCCTATCTAAATAAACCACAGCTTCTATAAGATGCCAACGCACCCACCAAATGTCCTACTGCCTGACACCTCTCCATAGACTTTGCAGAGAATACATCAGTTGGTCCTATCATCTAAATAAACCACAGCTTCTATAAGATGCCAACGCACCCACCAAATGTCCTACTGCCTGACACCTCTCCATAGACTTTGCAGAGAATACATCAGTTGGTCCTATCTAAATAAACCACAGCTTCTATAAGATGCCAACGCACCCACCAAATGTCCTACTGCCTGACACCTCTCCATAGACTTTGCAGAGAATACATCAGTTGGTCCTATCATCTAAATAAACCACAGCTTCTATAAGATGCCAACGCACCCACCAAATGTCCTACTGCCTGACACCTCTCCATAGACTTTGCAGAGAATACATCAGTTGGTCCTATCATCTAAATAAACCACAGCTTCTATAAGATGCCAACGCACCCACCAAATGTCCTACTGCCTGACACCTCTCCATAGACTTTGCAGAGAATACATCAGTTGGTCCTATCTAAATAAACCACAGCTTCTATAAGATGCCAACGCACCCACCAAATGTCCTACTGCCTGACACCTCTCCATAGACTTTGCAGAGAATACATCAGTTGGTCCTATCTAAATAAACCACAGCTTCTATAAGATGCCAACGCACCCACCAAATGTCCTACTGCCTGACACCTCTCCATAGACTTTGCAGAGAATACATCAGTTGGTCCTATCTAAATAAACCACAGCTTCTATAAGATGCCAACGCACCCACCAAATGTCCTACTGCCTGACACCTCTCCATAGACTTTGCAGAGAATACATCAGTTGGTCCTATCTAAATAAACCACAGCTTCTATAAGATGCCAAGGCCTCTGCAGTAGCACAAGGGCCCAGCATGTGATTAGGATTATGGTTAGTCACTAGAAAAAAGCCATTTAGAAACCATAGTCGGCCAGAGAATCCATATTGGGGCTGAAAGGACTGTCTGAGGATCTTCTGAAATTTTGTGTACTTACATTTTTCTAGGAAAAGGGTACAAAGATTTCATAAGATTTATAAGGAGGTCTATGCCCTCTCCCTAATTATTAACAGCTATTGATCTCAAAGAAAGGGTAGAGTGCATGTTCTTTAGGCAGTCATCCAGGAAAAATGATTTCTTATCATTGAGCTTCAGATAAACAGAGAATTTGAAATGATGTTCTTTGGCAAGAACCTGGAATGCAAATATTCAGTATTACCAAATAAGAAAAGACTTATAGACTTTATATCTACAACTATATTATTCCCCCAATCTTCCTCTCTTCCACCTCTCAATTTATCTGTCATCTGTGTATTTACTACTATTTCTATTGAGACACCAGTTTGGCCAGACAGACCTAAAAGTAACCAACACATTACTTATCTTTTTGTTGCCTTCTTTATCATCCATGTAAAATTGAAATAGCTTTTTACATTATAAGGTTATCGTAAGGATTAAACAGGATATCATATTTGAGGTAAAATACTTACTACAATACTTACTAAACATGTAGTAAGTTCTCATTAAATATTTGCAATTATTATGATAATCCTTATTGACTCTTGATATATTATAGCTTTTAGGCCACTAGGTGCCCAAAAGAATTTCCAACATGTCTCACTCTGGTCTGTCTTCCCTGGCATTGTGCTGTATTTCAGAATACTGAGTGTTAATGATTTCTCTATCATCAAATAGCAAAGCAATTTTCCATGCTTTATTTCTTTAAAAATCTGCTGTTTCTTAAGGATAATTCGTTGGCTGATTGTATATTAATTACCGATAACAGTTGAGTGAAAATCTACCTTGTTTTGTTTGTGCAGCTCTAAGTATAAGCTGTGTTCTGCCGCATTAACAAAAGATCCCAAAAATCTTAGTGACTTAAAATGACAGGGGTTTATTCTGTGCTTCTGCCATATAATGTATAATGAAGTGTCACGGGTTCTGGTTGTGTAGCTTCACCCTGGTTGTCAGAGCAGCCACCATCTTGAATGTTGCAGGTCACTATATTAGTGGAGAGAAAGAGCTCTGGAAGGTTTCCCACTGGCTTTTAAATCCCCCAGCATGGGAATGCATGTGAGACTGCCAATTACCAATAATTGGTAAGAGCCAGTCACATAGCCACACCCAACCACAGGAGATGGAGTAAGAAGAACCATCCTGCCATGCACCTTGAAGAGTAGAAAACCAGACATATTTGGTGAATTTATCCATGACTAAAAAAGTTGATAATGATATTTTAGGTCGTATATGGTGATCAGTTTTGAATGTACAGGCTATTTGGCCATCCCCAATCATACTACATGGATTACTACATCGTGCCACTTCCAGCTAAAAAATGTAACTACTTTGGAGGCCTATGGTGATATCCTGGGATGTTAAAGAAACAGAGAGAGAAGCAGTTGAATCTCTGCTTTGTTTTAGTCACCTTGCGTTTGGGTTGAATGTGTCAAGACTGATGTTTATTATGTGTACAGAAAAGTCATCTTTGAGGCATAATATTCTCTTTGTATGGTGTTTGAAAAGACACTGGGAAGAGCCTTTTGCCCACAGACATGAAAAGTACCTGTTCGGGGAGGGGTTTTTTAGCATCCACCTGTGGTAGTGTCTTCTGAGGGGGAGATGTAGTAAATTTGTTTTTCTTTAGGTGACCAAAAGACATCCTATGTGAAGTATTACAAGGTAGCAACATATCAAGATAGCCTGGACTAGTTTTAGTTACACCAAGTCTTCCATGAGTTGAGAGTTTTCCATTTCACGAGGCATCTTTTTCATTCATTATCTCTTGGATCTTCATAGTTATCATGTAAATTTGATAGGGGTTTTTTCATTCAAGAGAAGAAAGGAGAAAAAAGATGCAAGCTATTTAGTGAGTGCCTGTGTGTTCCAGGCATTGTATGAGACAATTTTGTATATGTGATTTCATTTTACTCTCCCAATAATTTTGTAAATCGTGTATTATTATTGTATAATAAGGAAACGAGGGCTCAGAGTGTTGAAAGGGGTTGCATTCAAAGTGCATTCAAACCAAGTTTTCCTGATTGCTAACATCTACTTCTTGGGCTTGCGTTAATTGGGGTTGAAGGCATGTTTTTGAATTAGTGCTGCCTCTATTCATAGTATTTCTACTTGACACATTCAATTTGACTAAAATGATTAAAGTAACTCTTCCATTTTGTTTGGTGAAGTTATTACTAGAGTCTCATAGAGAGGGCTCTGCGTCAAGAGGGCTGACTGCACTGACATTCTAAACATGTCAATATAGCCTTAAGATTTTCTACACCACTGGATAAAGATTTAAAAAATTATCAATGAATCCAGCCTGATACTCAAAAGCTGTTACTTTCATCTGTCTCTTTTTTTTTTCCAATTTCAACTGGATTTAATACAGATGACTTGAGTAATTTGTCAAAAAATTCCAAGATCTCTGTTTACAGATCAATCAGGAGACACATTGTGTTTAACACACAGCAGACAATAACATCTTTTTTTTTGAGATGGAATCTCACTCTGTCATCCAGACTGGAGTGCAGTGGCACAGTCTTGACTCACTGCAGCCTCTGCCTCCCAGGTTCAAGCAATTCTCCTGCCTCAGCCTCCGGAGTAGATGGGATTACAAGTGCCTGCCACCACACCCAGCTAATTTTTGTATTTTTAGTAGAGATGGGATATCATCATGTTGGTCAGGCTGGTCTCGAACTCCTGATCTCAGGTGATCCACCCGCCTCGGCCTCCCAAAGTGCTGGGATTACAGGCAACAATAATATTTTTAAATATCAAGATGACAATATTTGTTTAACCAACACACACATACACATGCACGCCCACACACACCCTCTCACCCTCACAGAGATCTTAGGGCTTTAGCTGGAGTTTTATTTTCCATTAGTTAGAAGTGCCTTCGGATTTTCTAATTTGATATGTATGTCTTTGATTATTTGGCAGAATCTCCAAAGGTTCAAAACACATAGTAATTTGACATTTTGTTGAAGTGTGAATTCGAACCACAGAGTTGTTGAGAAATATAACTGACTTGTGTAGTAAGATAATATAATTTGTTGAGTAAATTCTATAGCTAGAAGTGAGCTCAGCCCACAGCTCAGCATTTGTATGCCATCCTAGCTGTGTTTTGTCCCCTCTGTCTCATATATAGAAATAACAGAACAAATTATGCTCTGTAGTAGCAATGAAGAATTGGAAAATAAAGAAAGGTCTTTGGTCATATTCCTTCTTCTATTCTTGGGCAGTGACCTCCAAGAGGGTATGGGAAAATAGTTAGGACTTTTAGCAATGTTTATGTTTTAATTCAGAGGTTGGCAAACTATGGCCCCTGGGCTGAATCCACTCTAACCCCCGTCTTTGTAAATAAGGTCTTAGTGGAACACAGCCATGTCCATGGGTTTATATGTCGTGAATGGATAATTTCACACTGCAAAGCAGAGTTAAGTAGTATGTTAAAGACACATGGCCTGCAAAGCCTAAAATATTCACTATCTGGTACTCTAAAAAGGTTTGCTGACCCCCACTTTAATCTTGTCTTTTAAATTTTTTGAATGTTTCATACTGTAATTTTTATAGTATATAATGATAGTACATGTATATAATTTGTAAATAAAACATATATACATGTTGGAAATACATTTTAAAAATCATTTACTTGTATAAGGATACATTCAAAAAGGTTCAGAGACCACAGTTTCAGGACCTGCCGTTTAAGGAATACTTCCAAATGATTGCCTTTGTTGTGGTTAGTGTTCCTAAAGACACACATCTTTTCTTTTTTTTTTAATGCATTGTTTGTAGTTTTGTCATCCAAATTCTGTGGAGAAAGAATAAGCACAGTAGCACATTAGGGTAGCACATTATGACCATATATATATAATATATATACATATATATGTATATACACACATATATATATGAGAGAGAGAGAGAACAAGACAATAAAAGAGGAAAGGAAGAGTGGAAGAAAAAGAAAAGAGAAGAGAAGAGGCAGGCTACCATGTAGCCAGTAGTGCCTGCTCATAGCTAGCCTACAATCTTGAGTGAGATTTGACGGTAAGACCAGCTCTAATCTGATTGCAATAGACAGTGGCCTGCATCTGAAGCATTTGAAAAGCTCCACCCTATGACCAAAAAAGAAAAAAATTCCTCTCAATTTTTCTCAAGGCTAAAAATTCTCCCATTAACCAATCCCTCACATTATGGGATTTGAGGCCCTCTTTAAAATATATTTCTACCCTGATACTCAGAGGGCAACACATTAAGCCAGCTTCAGCCATTAACTCATTTTATTAATTCGCTCATTAGATTACTTGGTGCTCAGTTGCTTGTTCGAAAAGTAGCTGAGAAAAATCTGAAAACAAAATCATTCTTTAGTTTTGGTAAGAATAAATCAACTGAAGCAATCCCTGCCTGCCTCAGGGATGGCAAATACCTGAGATGACAGTGGCTGGGAAAGACAGTGTGACAGGAAGTTTGTCCCAGGCAGCTCTGATCCTGGCCTATCTGCAAGACGGCTAGTCTGACTATGGATGATCAGAAGTCGCTCCTCCTGGGCTTGAAGGTTCATTAGTCAGCAAGGTAATAAGGACTATATATTACCAAGGACCCAAGGCCCACTGAGAATTTCTTGTGTGTGTATTAATCTCGGCAGATCAAAGCCATTCCAAGCTTAAAACTAATCGGCATTAATGAACAGCCTCCTCAATTTCCATTTTTATGATGTGTGCAGCATGGTGATTTGTTTCTCCACTGCCTGAAATGGGATGGCTGACTGATGAATCACTTTCCCCGAGAAGCTTGTCTGTGAGCAGTAATGTTGCAAATGGGTGCAAACCAAAAAATCTGTTCTTACTTCATTAAAATTATGACATAGGCTCCTACTTTCCAAAATTATGCCCTCTCCTCAAACGACTGACTGAAGTTTCAGTTTTGTTGTGTAGGTGGGGTGTCGAGCCAGTCTCTGTGCTAGTGCTGCGTGTCAGAAGATGCGGCTACTTGGGAAAATTTTGAGACACATTCACTTTGCAGGTCAAGCAAGAGAGAAGGCTGTAACAATTACCAGGAGTAGATACTGTTATCTGGATTGAGCTAAATAACAGGGTTTGAAAGGAGGACCAGATCCAGAAAGGCTGGATCAGCAGGGAAGGGGGTTTGGGGAAAAAGAGTAGTGGGGACGAACAAGGTAGAGGGCAGATGGATCACTTTGGTGTTTGAAATTTAGGCTTTAAACCTGTGAACACAATTCATTCCCCAGGATGACACCACTACTACCACCACTACCACCATCATCATCATCAGTCTCATCTTCTAGGCTGGCACGATGTTGATTGCCTTATATATCTTTTCTTATTTTTAATATTCACAGAAACATTTGGAGAGAGATGCTACAATTATTCTCATCTCTTTACATGAAAAAATTAAGATACAATTCAGGAATCATAAAATTCATCCTTTAAAAATGTACATTTCAGTATATTCACGGAGTTGGGCAATCATCACCACTATCTAATTCTAGAACATTTTCATCAGCCCTCCCCAAAGAAATCCAATGAGTTACTCCTCATTCCTTTTTACTCCATAGTTTTGGCAGCTACTAATCTACTTTCTCTGCAGATTTGCTTGTTCTGGACTTTTCATATAAATGGAACTATTCAGTATGTGGCCTTTTGTTACTGTCTTTTTTCACTTAGCATGATGTTTTCAAGCTTCTTCCATTTTGTAGCATGTATCATGTATCAGTACTTCATTCCTTTTCATGGCTGAATAACATTCTATTGTACACATATATCACATTTTATTTATCCATTTATCAGTCGATGGCCTTGGGTTTTTCTACTCTTTTGCTATTGTGAATAATGCTGATATAAGCATTCATGTACAAAATTTTGTGTGGACATAAGCTTTCATTTATTTTGGATATAAACCTAGAAGACAAATTGCTGGTATTAATAATTATATATTTAACTTTTTGAGGAACTGTCAAACTGTTTTTCATAGTGACCACCATTTTGCATTTCTGCCAGCAATGTATGAGGATTCCACATTCTCCACATCATTGCCAAGATTTGTTATGGTCCCTTTTTGATTATAGCCATCTGAGTGGATGTGAAGTGGCATATTATTGTAATTTCTATTTGCATTTTTCTAGTTACTAATCATGTTGAATATCTTTTCATGAGCTTATTGGCCATTTACACATCTTCTTTGGAGAAATGTCTATTGAATTCTTTACCCAGTTTTTAATTGGGTTATTTGACTTTTTATTGTTGAATCATAACAGTACTTTATATATTCTGGGTATTTGATTCTTATCAGATATGTGACTTACAAATATTTCCTTCTTTTTTGTGGGTTGTGTTTTCATTTTCTTTTTTCGTTTCCTTTTTTTTTTTTTTGAGACGGAGTCTCACTTTGTTGCCAGGCTGGAGTGCAGTGGTGTGATATCAGCTCACTGCAAACTCCGCCTCTTGGGTTCAAGTGATTCTCCTGCCTCAGCCTCCCGACTAGCTGGGACTACAGGTGCACACCACCACATTTGGCTAATTTTTGTATTTTTAGTAGAGACCGGCTTTCACCATGTTTTCTTTATAGTGTTCTTTAAACACAAATGTTTTTAATTTTAATCACATCAATTTATCTATTTTTTCTTTTGTTGCTTGTGCCTTTGGTGTCATATCCAAAAAACACTGTCTAATCCAAGGTCACAAAGACTCACTCCTATGTTTTCTTCTAAGTGTTTTACAGTTTTAGTACTTACATTTAGATCATTCATCCATTTCGAGTTAATTTTTGTGTATGGTATAAAATAAGGGTCCAACTTAATTTTTTTGAAAGTGGATATTTTGATATTCAGAAGTCCCAGCCCTATTTGTTAAAAAGACTATTTTTTCTCCATTGAATTTCTTGGTTCCCTTCTTGAAAATCAATTGACCATAAATATATGCATTTATTTCTGGATTATGAATTCTATTCTATTAATATGTGTCTGTCATTATGCAGTGTTAAGCAGTCTTGATTATTGTATTAAGTTTTCAACTTGGGAAGTGTGAGCTCTTCAAATTTGTTCTTTTTCCAGGTTGTTTTGGCCATTTTAAATCCATAGTATTCCTATATGAGTTTTAAGATCAACTTGTCAATTTCTTCGAAAAAGCAGCTGGGAGTTTGATAGGGGTAATGCTCAATTTTCACATCAAATTGGAAAGTATTGCTATCTTGACAATATTGTCTTCTACTCCATGAATATGGGATATGTTTCTATTTTTTTAGGTGATCCTTAATTTTTTTAATTAATAAAATTTATTTTTAGAGGAGTTTTAGATTAATACCAAAAGTGAGCAGAAAGTGAGCTTTTCCGTATAGCCCCTTTTCCCACACATACACAACTGTCCATACTATTGACATCCTCCACTAGAGTGGTGTGTTTGTGGCAATGTATGAATCTACACTGATACATCATTACCAGCAAAAGTCCCTGGTTTCCATGAGGGTTCACTCTTGATGCTGTACATTCTATGGGTTTTGACAAATGTATGGCAACAAGTATCTACCATTGTAGTATCATGCAAAATAGTTTCATTGCCCTCAAAATGCTCTCTGCTCTGCCTATTTATCCCTCCCTCACCTAAACTCTTGGTAACTACTAACTTTTTACTGTCTTTGTAGATTGCTTTTTCACAACATCATACAGTTGGAATCATACAGTATGTTGTTTTTTCAGATTGGCTTCCTTCACTTAATATACATTTAATCTTTCTTCATATCTTTTTGTGGCTTGATAGCTCTTTTCTTTACAGTGCTGAATAACATTCCATTGTCTGAATGTACCACAGTTTATTTATCCATCCACCTACTGAAGGACATCTTGGTTGCTTTCAAGCTTCTTTGGCAATTATGAATAAAGCAACTCTGTTCAGGTTTTTTTTTGGGCAAGTTTTCAGCTCCTTTGGGTAAATATCAAGGAACATGATTGCTGGATCACATGGCAAGAATATTATTTGGTTTTATAAGAAATTACCAAACTGTCTTCCCAAAGTGACTATACAATTTTGTATTCCCACTAGTAGTGAATGAGAGTTTCTGTTTTTCCACATCCTGCCAGCATTTGATGTTTTCAGTGTTTTGAATTTTGACTATCCTAATAGGTATGCTGTGGTATCTCATTGTTTTAATTTGCAATTCCCTAATGACATGTGATTTTTTTTATGTGCTTATTTATCATCTGTATATCTTCTTTGGTGAGGTGTCTGTTCAGTATCTTCTGCCCATTTTAAAATCAAGTTTTTTGTTTTCTTATTATTGAGTTTTAAGAGTTATTTGCTTATTTAGGATGACAATTCTTTGTCAGTTATGTTCTGTAGTAATTTAGTAGTAAGAAGTGGGAGGAGGGGAATATTTCTATAGTCCTGTTCTTAGTTCTGAGTCTTCTGGTGGGCTTGTGCCTCTGGACTGTGAACTTCACCAGTGTTTCTCAGTCCCCAGCACTGCTACCTTTAGGAGGGGCAGAATGACTAGAGAGGCCTGGAATTGGGTATTTTCCTTCCCCCATGTGGAAGGACAGATGAAACTGGAGTTGAGTACTTTCATTCCCTCTGGTAGGTTAGGTTCTAATAAAACTCTAGAAGGTTCAGCTCTGGTAAAATTGTTTCTCCTGAGGGCAGAGTTGTTAGGAATAGAATGCTCTGGCATGTTTCAAAATGGTTTCTTTCCCCTTCCCCTGCCAGAAACTTTAGGAGATATTTCTCCTATATTCACTCTGAAGACCTGGTAGAGCTTCTGGAGGTAAACTCACAAAAGTGTGGGGGCCCCGGTGACTACATCCCCTGGGGTTTTTAACTCCCTGAGTTGTTCACACTGAGCCTCCAGCAATATACCAATTACAGTTCAGGTTTTCCTACCCCAGCACTGGTTCCCAAGGAAGTTTCTGACTGTGGATTTCTCCTTCAGCAAGTTGTGATTCTCTGTATCTGCCTGTTCTTCTCTCCAATTTGAGGGGCAGTGGTTTGCCCTGTGACCTCACTTCTTGTATGCATTTAAGAAGGTTGTTGATTTTTCAGTTTGCTTAGCTTTTTCTTGTTGTTAGAATGAAATGGTGGCTCTAAACTAAACTAGAAGCTGGAAGTATTCCTTAATTTTTTTCAATAATGTTTTGCAGTTTTTGATGTGCTAATTTTCCACTTTTTGGTTAGATTTATTCGTAAGTATTTTATTCCTTTGATGCTATTCAAAATAGAATTATTTTATTAACTTCATTTTTGGATTGTTCATTGCTGAAATACAATTGATTTTTATGCATTAATTTTGTATCCTGTAACCATGCTGAATTAATTTGTTAGTTGCAGTAGTCTGTTTATTTTGTGGGTTTCTTAGGATTTTCTACATACAAAATCATGTTATATGCAAATAGAGATAGTTTTACTTCCTCTTTTTTTTTTTTTTTTGAGACAGAGTCTCGCTGTATTGCCCAGGCTGGAGTGCAGTGGTGTGATCTCAGCTCACTGCAAGCTCTGCCTCCTGGGTTCACACCATTCTTCTGCCTCAGCCTCCAGAGTAGCTGGGACTACAGGTGCCCGCCACCACACCTGGCTAATTTTCTGAATTTTTAATAGAGACGGGGTTTCACCATGTTAGACAGGATCGTCTCGATCTCCTGACCTCGTGATCCACCTGCCTCAGCCTCCCAAAATACTGGGATTGCAGGCATAAGCCACCACGCCCGGCCCCTCTTTTCTAATATGGATGCCTTTTATTTCTATTTCCTGTCTCACAGTCTTGGCTAGAACTCCTAGTACAATGTCGAATAGAAGTGATGAGAACTACTGCCTTTATCTTTTTCCTGATCTTACAGGAAAAACTTTCAGTGTTCCATCATTAAGTATGATGTTAGCTATGGGTTTTCATAGATGTCGTTTATCAGGTTAAGGAAGTTCACATCTGTTTTAGTTTCCTATTGCTGTTACAGAGTACCACAAATTTAATGATCCAAAACATTGTAAATTTTTTTACAGTTCTTGAAGTCGGAGGTACAAAGTGGATTTTAAGAGCTAAAATTATGGTGCTAGCAGAACTGCATATTTTTCTGGAATTTCTATGGAAGAATCCATTTCCTTTCCTTTTTTAGCTTCTAGAGTTTGGTTGTATTTCTTAATTCATGACTCCTTCCTCTATCTTCAAGATATATTACTCCAATCTCTGATTCCACCATCTTATCTCCTTTTTCTGACTTTGACCTACTTGCGTCTCTCTACAACGGGCCTGGCCAAATAATACAGGATTATTTCCTAATCTGAAAACCTTTAATTTAATCATATCTACTATTTTCTAATACATTATTGAAAGTGGTGTATTAAATTCTCCAATTACTATTATTTAATTGTTTTTCTCTCTTTAATTCTGTACAAATTTTCTTTATGTATTTTGTGTCTCTGTTGTTGGGTGCATACATGTTTATAATTATTTTGTCTTCTTTATGGATAGACTCTTTTATTGTTATAAAATGCCCTTCTTTGTCCTTAGTATTATTTTTTGACTTAAAGTCTATTTTGTCTCCCTTTGGTCATGTAAGGTAACATATTTCAGGTTCTGCAATAGGATGGACATCAATGTAGGGGCATTATTCTGCTTACTTCACCTTCTATTTCTGGTTTGTTTTGCATTTTCATCATAAAAGAGTGTTGGGTTTTGTCAAATTTTTTTTCCTGTATCTGTTGAGATGATTATATGGTTTTTGTCCTTTATTTTATTAAATTGATTGATTTTGTGTGTTGAAGCCAACTTGCATTTCTGGGATAAATTCCACTTGGTCATGTGCGTAGTGATTTTTAAATGTTGTTGGACTTAGTTTGCCAGTATTTTGTTTAGGCTTTTTGTATCTATATTCATAAAGATTATTGACCTGTGATTTTCTTTTGTGTGATGTTTTTGTCTAGTTTTTTTTTTATTATTTTATTTTATTATTATTACACTTTAAGTTTTAGGGTACATGTGCACAATGTGCAGGTTAGTTACATATGTATACAGTGCCATGCTGGTGTGCTGCACCCATTACCTCGTCATTTAGCATTAGGTATATCTCCTAATGCTATCCCTCCCCCCACCCCTCACCCCACAACAGTCCCCAGAGTGTGATGTTCCCCTTCCTGTGTCCATGTGTTCTCATTGTTCAATTCCCACCTATGAGTGAGAACATGCGGTGTTTGGTTTTTTGTCCTTGTGATAGTTTACTGAGAATGATGATTTCCAATTTCATCCATGTCCCTATAAAGGACATGAACTCATCATTTTTTATGGCTGCATAGTATTCCATGGTGTATATGTGCCACATTTTCTTAATCCAGTCTATCATTGTTGGACATTTGGGTTGGTTCCAAGTCTTTGCTGTTGTGAATAGTGCCGCAATAAACATACGTGTGCATGTGTCTTTATAGCAGCATGATTTATAGTCCTTTGGGTATCTACCCAGTAATGGGATGGCTGGGTCAAATGGTATTTCTAGTTCTAGATCCCTGAGGAATCACCACACTGACTTCCACAATGCTCAAACTAGTTTACAGTCCCACCAACAGTGTAAAAGTGTTCCTATTTCTCCACATCCTCTCCAGCACCTGTTCTTTCCTGACTTTTTAATGATTGTCATTCTAACTGGTGTGAGATGGTATCTCATAGTGGTTTTGATTTGCATTTCTCTAATGGCCAGTGATGATGAGCATTTTTTCATGTGTTTGTTGGCTGCATAAATGTCTTCTTTTGAGAAGTGTCTGTTCATGTCCTTCGCCCACTTTTTGATGGGGTTCTTTGTTTTTTTCTTGTAAATCTGTTTGAGTTCATTGTAGATTCTGGATATTAGCCCTTTGTCAGATGAGTAGGTTGCGAAAATTTTCTCCCATTTTGTAGGTTGCCTGTTTGCTCTGATGGTAGTTTCTTTTGCTGTGCAGAAGCTCTTTAGTTTAATTAGATCCCATTTGTCAATTTTGGCTTTTGTTGCCATTGCTTTTGGTGTTTAGACATGAAGTCATTGCCCATGCCTATGTCCTGAATGGTAATGCCTAGGTTTTCTTCTAGGGTTTTTATGGTTTTAGGTCTAACGTTTAAGTCTTTAATCCATCTTGAATTAATTTTTGTATAAGGTGTAAGGAAGGGATCCAGTTTCAGCTTCCTACATATGGCTAGCCAGTTTTCCCAGCACCATTTATTAAATAGGGAATCCTTTCCCCATTGCTTGTTTTTCTCAGGTTTGTCAAAGATCAGATAGTTGTAGATATGTGGCGTTATATCTGAGGGCTCTGTTCTGTTCCACAGATCTATATCTCTGTTTTGGTACCAGTACCATGCTGTTTTGGTTACTGTAGCCTTGTAGTATAGTTTGAAGTCAGGTAGTGTGATGCCTCCAGCTTTGTTCTTTTGGCTTAGGATTGACTTGGCGACGCGGGCTCTTTTTTGGCTCCATATGAACTTTGAAGTAGTTTTTTCCAATTCTGTGAAGAAAGTCATTGGTAGCTTGATGGGGATGGCATTGAATCTATAAATTACCTTGGGCAGTATGGCCATTTTCACGCTATTGATTCTTCCTACCCATGAGCGTGGAATATTCTTCCATTTGTTTGTATCCTCTTTTATTTCATTGAGCAGTGGTTTGTAGTTCTCCTTGAAGAGGTCCTTCATGTCCCTTGTAAGTTGGATTCCTAGGTATTTTATTCTCTTTGAAGCAATTGTGAATGGGAGTTCACTCATGATTTGGCTCTCTGTTTGTCTGTTATTGGTGTATAAGAATGCTTGTGATTTTTGTACATTGATTTTGTATCCTGAGACTTTGCTGAAGTTGCTTATCAGCTTAAGGAGATTTTGGGCTGAGACAATGGGGTTTTCTAGATATACAATCATGTCATCTGCAAACAGGGACAATTTGACTTCCTCTTTTCCTAATTGAATACCCTTTATTTCCTTCTCCTGCCTAATTGCCCTGGCCAGAACTTCCAACACTATGTTGAATAGGAGTGGTGAGAGAGGACATCCCTGTCTTGTGCCAGTTTTCAAAGGGAATGCTTCCAGTTTTCGTCCATTCAGGATGATATTGGCTGTGGGTTTGTCATAGATAGCTCTTATTATTTTGAGATACGTCCCATGAATACCTAATTTCTTGAGAGTTTTTAGCATGAAGGTTGTTGAATTTTGTCAAAGGCCTTTTCTGCATCTATTGAGATAATCATGTGGTTTTTGTCTTTGGTTCGGTTTATATGCTGGATTATATTTATTGATTTGCATATATTGAACCAGCCTTGCATCCCAGGGATGAAGCCCACTTGATCATGGTGGATAAGCTTTTTGATGTGCTGCTGGATTTTGTTTGCCAGTGTTTTATTGAGGATTTTTACATCAATGTTCATCAAAGATATTGGTCTAAAATTCTCTTTTTTGGTTGTGTCTCTGCCCGGCTTTGGTATCAGGATGATGCTGGCCTCATAAAATGAGTTAGGGAGGATTCCCTCTTTTTCTATTGATTGGAATAATTTCAGAAGGAATGGTACCAGTTCCTTCTTGTACCTCTGGTAGAATTCGGCTGTGAATCCATCTGGTCCTGGACTCTTTTTGGTTGGTAAGCTATTGATTATTGCCACAATTTCAGAGCCTGTTATTGGTCTATTCAGAGATTCAACTTCTTCCTGGTTTAGTCTTGAGAGGGTGTATGTGTCGAGGAATTTATCCATTTCTTCTAGATTTTCTAGTTTATTTGCGTAGAGGTCGTTTGTAGTATTCTCTGATGGTGGTTTGTATTTCTGTGGGATTGGTGGTGATATCCCCTTTATCATTGTTTATTGCATCTATTTGATTCTTCTCTCATTTTTTCTTTATTAGTCTTGCTAGCGGTCTATCAATTTTGTTGATCTTTTCAAAAAACCAGCTCCTGGATTCATTAATTTTTTGAAGGGTTTTTTGTGTCTCTATTTCCTTCAGTTCTGCTCTGATTTTAGTTATTTCTTGCCTTCTGCTAGCTTTTGAATGTGTTTGCTCTTGCTTTTCTAGTTCTTTTAATTGTGATGTTAGGGTGTCAATTTTGGATCTTTCCTGCTTTCTGTTGTGGGCATTTAGTGCTATAAATTTCCCTCTACACACTGCTTTGAATGTGTCCCAGAGATTCTGGTATGTTGAGTCTTTGTTCTCGTTGGTTTCAAAGAACATCTTCATTTCTGCCTTCATTTCATTATGTACCCAGTAGTCATTCAGGAGCAGGTTGTTCAGTTTCCATGTAGTTGAGCAGTTTTGAGTGAGTTTCTTAATGCTGAGTTTTAGTTTGATTGCACTGTCGTCTGTGAGACAGTTTGTTATAATTTCTGTTCTTTTACATTTGCTGAGGAGAGCTTTACTTCCAACTATGTGGTCAATTTTGGAATTGGTGTGGTGTGGTGCTGAAAGAAATGTATATTCTGTTGCTTTGGGGTGGAGAGTTCTGTAGATGTCTATTAGGTCCGCTTGGTGCAGAGCTGAGTTCAATTCCTGGGTATCCTTGTTAACTTTCTGTGTCGTTGATTTGTCTAATGTTGACAGTGGGGTGTTAAAGTCTCCCATTATTATTGTGTGGGAATCTAAGTCTCTTTGTAGGTCACTCAGGACTTGCTTTATGAATCTGGGTGCTCCTGTATTGGGTGCATATATATTTAGGATAGTTAGCTCTTCTTGTTGAATTGCTCCCTTTACCATTATGTAATGGCCTTCTTTGTCTCTTTTGATCTTTGTTGGTTTAAAGTCTGTTTTATCAGAGACTAGGATTGCAACCCCTGCCTTTTTTTGTTTTCCATTTGCTTGGTAGATCTTCCTCCATCCTTTTATTTTGAGCCTATATGTGTCTCTGCATGTGAGATGGGTTTGCTGAGTACAGCACACTGATGGGTCTTGACTCTTTATCCAATTTGCCAGTCTGTGTCTTTTAATTGGAGCATTTAGTCCATTTACATTTAAAGTTAATATTGTTATGTGTGAATTTGATCCTGTCATTATGATGTTAGCTGGTTATTTTGCTCGTTAGTTGATAAAGTTTCTTCCTAGCCTTGATGGTCTTTACAATTTGGCATGTTTTTGCAGTGGCTGGTACCGGTTGTTCCTTTCCATGTTTAGTGCTTCCTTCAGGAGCTCTTTTAGGGCAGGCCTGGTGGTGACAAAATCTCTCAGCATTTGCTTGTCTGTAAAGGATTTTATTTCTCCTTCACTTATGAAGTTTAGTTTGGCTGGATATGAAATTCTGGGTTGAAAATTCTTTTCTTTAAGAATGTTGAATATTGGCCCCCACTCTCTTCTGGCTTGTGGAGTTTCTGCTGAGAGATCCGCTGTTAGTCTGATGGACTTCCCTTTGTGGGTAACCTGACCCTTCTCTCTGGCTGCCCTTAACATTTTTTCCTTCATTTCAACTTCGGTGAATCTGACAATTATGTGTCTTGGAGTTGCTCTTCTCGAGGAGTATCTTTGTGGCGTTCTCTGTATTTCCTGAATCTGAATGTTGGCCTGCCTTGCTAGATTGGGGAAGTTCTCCTGGATAATGTCCTGCAGAGTGTTTTCCAACTTGGTTCCATTCTCCCCGTCACTTTCAGGTACACCAATCAGATGTAGATTTGGTCTTTTCACATAGTCCCATGTTTCTTGGAGGCTTTGTTCGTTTCTTTTCATTCTTTTTTCTCTAAACTTCCCTTCTTGCTTCATTTCATTCATTTCATCTTCCATCACTGATACCCTTTCTTCCAGTTGATTGCATCGGCTCCTGAGGCTTCTGCATTCTTCACGTAGTTCTTGAGCCTTGGCTTTCAGCTCCATCAGCTCCTTTAAGCACTTCTCTGTATTGGTTATTTTAGTTATACATTCATCTAAATTTTTTTCAAAGTTTTCAACTTCTTTGCCTTTGGTTTGAATTTCCTCCTGTAGCTTGGAGTAGTTTGATCGTCTGAAGCCTTCTTCTCTCAACTCGTCAAAGTTATTCTCTGTGCAGCTTTATTCTGTTGCTGGTGAGGAACTGTGTTCCTCTGGAGGAGGTGAGGCACTTTGCTTTTTAGAGTTTCCAGTTTTTCTGCTCTGTTTTTTCCCCATCTTTGTGGTTTTATCTACTTTTGGTCTTTGATGATGGTGATATACAGATGGGTTTTTGGTGTTAATGTCCTTTCTGTTTGTTAGTTTTCCTTCTAACAGACAGGACCCTCAGCTGCAGGTCTGTTGGAGTTTCCTAGAGGTCCACTCCAGGCCCTGTTTGCCTGCATAACAGCAGCGGTGGCTGCAGATCAGCGGAGTTTCGTTCACCACGAATGCTGCTGTCTGATCATTTCTCCGGAAGTTTTGTCTCAGAGGAGTACCCAGCCGTGTGAGGTGTCAGTCTGCCCCTACTGGGGGGTACCTCCCAGTTAGCCTGGTCGGGGGTCAGTGGTCAGGGACCCACTTGAGGAGGCAGTCTGCCCGTTCTCAGATCTCCAGCTGCATGCTGGGAGAACCACTGCTCTCTTCAAAGCTGTCAGACAGGGACATTTAAGTCTGCAGAGGTTACTGCTGTCTTTTTGTTTGTCTGTGCCCTGCCCCCAGAGGTGGAGCCTACAGAGGCAGGCAGGCCTCCTTGAGCTGTGGTGGGCTCCACCCAGTTGGTGCTTTCTGGCTGCTTTGTTTACCTAAGCAAGCCTGGGCAATGGCAGGTGCCCCTCCCCCAGCCTCGCTGCCGCCTTGCAGTTTGATCTCAGACTGCTGTGCTAGCAATCAGTGAGACTCCGTGGGCGTAGGACCCTCTGAGCCATGTGCGGGATATAATCTCCTGGTGCGCCATTTTTTAAGCCGGTCGGAAAAGTGCAGTAGTAGGGTGGGAGTGACCCGATTTTCCAGGTGCCATCTGTCACCCCTTTCTTTGACTAGGAAAGGGAACTCCCTGACCCCTTATGCTTCCTGAGTGAGACAATGCCTCGCCCTGCTTCGCCTCGTGCACGGTGCTCTGCACCCACTGTCCTGCGCCCACTGTCTGGCACTCCCTTGTGAGATGAACCTGGTATCTCAGATGGAAATGCAGAAATCACCCATCTTCTGCTTCGCTCACGCTGTTTTTGTCTAGTTTTAATGTTTTGATAATGCTGGCTTCATAGTATGAGTTGAGAAGTGCTCCCTTCTCTTCTAATTTTTGGCTAAGTTTGTGAAAGATTAGTGTTACTTCTTTAGGCATTAGAGTATACCAGTAGAGCCACCTGATCCTGTGCTTTCATTTGGGTGAGGCTTTTTGATTACTAATTCACTCTCTTTTCTTGCTAGAGAACTATTCAGAATTTCTGTTCTTTTTGAGTCAGTTTTAGTACTGAGTGATTTTCTTAGAAATTATCCATTTCATCTAGATTATCTAATTTGTTGGCACACAATTATTTATAGTATTCTTTTATAATTCTTTTTATTTCTGCAAGGTCCAAAATAATGACCCCTTCCTTCTTTCATAACTACTAATTTGGTTTTTCTCTCTTTCTTTTCTTTGTCAGCTTAACATTTGTCAATTTTGTTCATCTTTTCAAAGAACTAATTTTTGATTTTGTTGATTTCCTCTATTGTTTTTCTATTTTTTACTTCATTAATTCTCACTGTATTTTTATGATTTCTTCCTTCTTTTTCCCTTGGGGTTAGTTTGCTCTCCTTTTTCTAGTTTCCTAGGGTGGAAACTTAGGTTATTGATTTAAGATCTTTCTTCTTTTTCTATGTAGGCATTTACAGCTACACATTTTTTCACAGCACTATTTTCATAGTATGCCATTTGTTTTAGTATATTGTATTTTGTTTTCAGTAATCTCAAAATATTTTCTTGTTTCCCTTGTGATTTCTTCTTTCTTTCATTAATTATTTAGAATTGTGCAGGTTAATTTTTACAGTTTTTGATTTTCAATTTTTTCTAATGATTTCTAATTTTATTCCATTGTCAGAGATTATACTTAGTATGATTTCATTCTATTTAAATTTACAAAGGCTTTCATTATGGCCTATTATATGGTCTATCCTGGAGAATGTTCCTTCTGTATTTGAGAAGAATGTGCATTCTGCTGTTGTTGGGTCGAATGTTCTATACATGTCTGTTATGTTTAGTTGGTTTATTGTGTTGTTCAATTCCTCTATTTGCTTAGTTATCTCTGTTTTTCTAATACATTATACATTATCCAATTATCATTATTTAATTGTTTTTCTCTCTTTAATTGTGTACAAATTTGCTTTATGTATTTTGGGTCTCTGTTGTTGGGAGCATGCATGTTTATAATTATTTTGTCTTCTTTATGAATAGACTTCTTTATAGTTATAAAATGCCCTTCTTTGTCCTTAGTATTTTTTTTTACTTAAAGTCTATTTTGTCTGCTATTAGAATAGTTATTCCCATTCTCCTTTTATTACTGTTTACATTGTATGTTTTTCCCATCCTTTCACTTTTAACTTACTTTTGTCTTTAATCTAAACTGGGTCTCTGGTAGATAGCATATAGTTGAATTATAAATCTCTTTTTTTATGAATCTCTTATTTGAATTTCTGCCTTTTAATTGGCATGTTTAATACATTTGTATATAATATGATTAACATAAGAATTATATCACCCATTTTGCTATATTTTTATATGTGTTATGTGCTTTTTGTTCCATTTCCCCATTATTTTTTTCTTTTACATTAAATTGATATTTTCTACTATACTATTTTAATTCCTACTTTTATTTTTAATTTTTATTATATTTTTCAATTTATTTTCTTAATGGTCACCATGTGGATTACAATTAATGTCCTAACTTATAATTGTCTAGTTTAGATGAATACCAATTTAATAACAATATTATAGAAAAGCGCTGTCTAGCTCTATTCCTTCTTCCTACCTTTACTCTTATTGTTATTCAAATTACATCTTTATACACTGTGACCAAGAACACAGATTTGTAATTATTGCTTTATGTAATTGCTTTTTAAATCAGGAAAGATAAAATAGCATTAAAAATATATTTACACTGTCTTTTATCTTTTACCTGTGTACTTTTAACAGTGCTTTTAATTTCTTCATTAGGTTTGAGTTGTTAACTATAGTCCATTAATTTCAGCCTGAAAGACAACATTTAGAATATCTGGTAGAGAAGATTCGCTAGTGATAAATTCTCTAAATTTTTGTTTATTTGAGAATGACTTAACTTTATTTTTGAAGTTTAGTTTTGTTGAATATATAATTCTTGCTTGACAGTGTTTTTCTTTTGGCACTGTGAATATGTCATTCTTTAGCCTTTATAGTTTCTGATAAGAAATCAGCTGTTATCTTTTTGGCAATCCTTTGTACCTGATGAGTTGTTTTTCTCTTGCTGCTTTCAAGAATTTTTTGCCTTGGCTTTTGATGGTTTGATTTTATATGTCTAGGTATGAATATCTGAATTTATCCTACTTGGAGTTAATAAGCTTCTTGGGTGTGTTATTAATGTTTTTCATTAAATTTGAAATGGTTTCAGCTATTATTTCTTCACATATTCTTTCTTCCCCTTTCTCTCTTCTCTGCTTCTGGAACTCCCATTATATGTTTGTTGGCCCACTTGATACTGGCACAAAGCTCTCTGAGGTCTCATTAGTTTTTTCATTGTCTCCCTCATACTAGATAATTTAAATTGATCCATCTTTATGTTCACTGATTTTTTTCTTCTGCCTGCTCAAATCTGCTCTTGAGCCTGTCTGGTAAAGTATTCATTTCAGGTATTATACTTTTCAACTGCAAAATATGTATTTATCTATGTAAAAAAGTAATTTCTTTTTATTGGTAGTCTCTATTTGCTGAGACATGTTCTAATATTATTCATTAGTGCCTTAGACATGGTTTTCTGTATTTTAAAAAACATATTTAAAATAGCTAATTTAAAGTCTTTCTCAGTTAAGTCTAACATCTCAATTTTCTCAGGGACAATTTCTATTGACTGCTTGGGTTGTGTGTGTGTATGTGTCTGTGTATGGGCCATGCCTCCTTTTCTAAAAAATTATTTTTATTTTTAATTGACAAATAACAATGTATGTATTTATAGGGTACAATGTGATATTTCGATGCATGTATACATTGTAGAATGAGCAAATCAAGCTAAGTAACATATCCAACACCTCACATATTTATCATTTCTTTGGGATTAGAACATTTAAATTCCACTTTTTTAGTGATTTTTGAAATACACAATATATTAATATTAACTGTAGTCATTTTGCTGTGCAATAAAACTCATTTCACCTGCCTAACTGAAACTTTATATCCTTTGACCAAAAATTCCTCTTTCTCTATTCCTCCTCCCCAAATCCCTGTTAATTACAATTCCTCTGTCTACTTCTATGAGTTCAACTTTATTAGATTCAACATATAAGTGAGATAATGTGATATTTGTCTTTCTGTGCCTGGCTTATTTCACTTAGCATAATGTCCTTTAGCTTCATCCAGTTGTCACAAATGACAGAATTTTGTTCTTTTTAAAGGCAGAATAGTATCCCATTTGTATATATCATGTATTTAAAAAAATCCATTAATCTGTTGATGGGAACTTAGGTTATTTCCATATTTTGGCTATTGTGAACAATGCTGCAGTTATCATAGGAATGCAGCTAGCTCCTTGAGAAGTTGATTTTAATTCCCTTTAATACATACCCAGAAGTGTGATTGCTGCATCATTTTTAGTTTTTTGGGGAACCTCCATACTATTTACAAAATAGCTGTACTAATTTGCCTCCTTGCCAACAGTATATAATGGTTGCCTCTTCTCTCCATCTTCACCAACACACATCTTGCATCTTTTTGATAACAGACCTTGTATTAGATGTGAGATGTATTTCATTGTGGTTTTAATTTGCATTTTCATGATGATGAGTTATGTTGAATATTTTTTTCATATATTTGTTGGCTTTTTGTATGTATTCTTTTGAGAAATGTCTATTCAGGTCCTTTGCCCATTTTTAAAATAGGGTTATTTGCTTTCTTGTTATTGAGTAGTTTGAGTTGCCTATGTATTTTGGATATGAGCCCCTTAGCTCATGTATGATTTGCAAATATTTTCTCCTAATTTGAGGGTTGTCTTTTCATTCTGTCAATTGTTTCCTTTGCTATGCAGTAGCTTTTTAGATTGATGCAATCCAGTTTGTCTCTTTGCTTTTGTTGCTTGTGATTTTGGGGTCATATGCAAGAAATCACTGCCCAAGCCAATGTCATGTAACTACCTCCTTATGTTTTCTTCTAGTAGTTTTATAGTTTTAGGTCTTATATTTAAGTCTTTAATCTATAATGAGTTGATTCTTATATAAATGGTGAGATATGGGTCCAATTTCATTCTTCTGAATGTAGATAACCAGTTTTTCTAACACCATTTATTAGAGAGACTGTCCTTTCTCCATTGTGTGTTCTTGGCACTTTTATTAAAAATTCCTTAACCACAGATGTTAATTATGTTAATTTATTTCTGGGTTCTCTATCTGATTCCGTTGACTAATGTGTCTGTTTTTAAATCCCAATATTTTGAAGTTGGGTAGTGTGATGCTTCAAGCTTTGTACTGTTCATTCAAGATTGCTTTGGCAATTGGGTTTTTTTATGGTTTTATATAAACTTTAGAGTTTTTGTTCTATTTATGTGAAGAATAACATTGGAATTTTAACAGGGATTGCATTACATCTGTAGATCACTTGGGGTAGTATGTACATTTTAACATTATTATTTCGATTTATGAACATGGGATGTCTTCCCATTTATTTGTGTCTTCTTGACTATATTTAAAGCCATAAAGCATTGATTGATCAATGCTTTATAGTTTTAGGTATACAACTTTTTTACCTCCTTGGTTAAATTTAGTCTTAAAAAGCATTTTATTTTATTTTTTGGTTATTTTCTTAGGGCCATGGCTTTGTGTTTGTTTGCCTGTCTTATAATTTTTTGTTGAAAATTGAATTTTTAAATAATATAATGTGTTGATTCTGGAAATTATATTTTTACCTCATCTTTTTTTATTGGTTGTTGTTTTTGTTTATTTAGTGACTTTCATAACTAATATTATTTTTTCTGTATTTTTTTGTCCTATATGGTTACTGAACTCTCTGCTTGGTTATGTTAGTGATCAGCTAATAATTGGCTAAATATCTTCCTAAATGACTAGAGCCAGTAAGTCTTCCAGTCTCTGCTGAGGGGTCTCTGTTCTCATGTTGGTGCATGCTTTTAACATTCAAACAGGCAGTTTACAGCTACACCTTAGCCTTTACCTCCTACTTGTGTAGAGTGTTAAGGTTATCCAGAGGTAAGAGTTTAGGTCCTTCTCATGTCTCTTTTGAGCATGTGTACAGCTCTACCTGCAAGCTTAGCCTACCCATACACGTGGCCTTCTGTATTATCAGAAATATGTTAGAGCTGTTCAAATCCCTGCATAGATATCTTACTACCCAGATTTTCCTTTTAAGCTTTTTTGTCAGCCTATTGTTACTCTAACTGTATCTACCACTTCAGGCAACCACAGAGTTAAACAATTGCCTATGATGGTTTCTGAGAAATGACCAAGAAGAAAAGGCTGTTCACAATGAGCAAGGTGCATGACAACCTTGCAACTAGAGCCTTCCAAAGAACCACCAGATAGATTAAATCATTACAATTCTCTGTGAATGGAGCTTTGTAGGAGCCCCAACCTTGCTCTGCCCCTTCCATGGCTGCCATGCTGCTGGCTTGCACCATGATCATGGACTGCTAAAAGTCAAGGCTATACTGAAGCTGGACTGGGAAAGGGAAAGTTAAAATGTCCTAGAGCCCACTGACCTTACCTAGATTTAGCCACTTTTAATTTTTGAATAACAACTCCTTGGATTGATGTAAGCCTTTGGTTAGTTTCCAGTGTTCTGAGAGAGTTGATTCTGATAATTTTTTTTTCAATATTTCTCATTGCTTTTATGAAGGAGAGAATTTTCAGAGGGCCTTAGTTTGCCATTTTCACGAATGTCACCCCTATTATTCTTATTTTTCAGGGAAGAAAATAGAAGCCCAGAATGGTTAAGAATTTAGGTAACTTTCTCAAGCTAACACAGCAGGGCAGGAATTGAGATCAGACAGAATAAATCCAGTGCCTGAACTCTTAATCACTATTATGTACATGAATGCGCATGTTATATGCTCTGTTCAAGACTTCCAAATTTCTCACCAGCTACCCTGTCCAGGCACCCCTGAAATCTTCATTATTAATCCTTTGGATTGAGGCATTTTTAATTCCTGTTAAAGGGCAAAGCAAGATTCTTTTGTGGAAATTACATTCATTAACATGTCATCATCATTTGGTCAGTAACATTGGGTTGCATTACTTACATTTAACATAACAGAAGAACTCTGCTTAGTTAGTAAAACAAAGAAATATGCATTTTAATTAGCAATCACAGTAAAGTGATTTTTGCCCCCGAGATGCAGATTAGAGGCTTTATCAGCATGCCTCACCAACTTGGAAATAACAAAAAAGTGTGTAGAGATTTGCATTGTGAGCTTTTATTCAAGAAGAAACTTGGGAATTCACCAGAAAAGTGAAGGTCACTTTAGATCTTGGGGAAGAGAAAGTCAGCAAGCAGACTTCGTGGTGGTATTTGGCTGAGACCTGTGAGTGAAGCCCTGGTATGTGAGGAGGTGGAGAGTCTCCCTCTGTAATCCAGCTTTGTACTAGGGATTCCTACAACTCAGGCCATGGAAGAGCACCTTGTCCCTCCCACGCTTTGGAGGTAACTTGAGGAGAGGCCAAGAGACTGTGGAGGGAAAGACACTGAGACAAAGGCTGCAGACATTTTTCTAGTCCTGAGACCAATGGGAGGATGTCATTCTAAATCTGGATTTATCCCAAGCTGGGCAGTGTTCAGTGGCCTGGCAGCAAGGGCTGCTGCAGGAATTTGAGTCTCAGGCTAGAGACTGGAGTGCTTGGCCTGGAGTGGGGGAAGGGCTCCCACAGTCAGAATTGAGTGGCCAGTGTGGAATGCACTGCAGCCATAGGTGCTAGAGTTTGACTCTCTCCATTTGCAGGATTGGAATAGGAGATTTGCTGAAGATCTCCATACTGTGATTTTGTCTGCGCAGTGAGATTTGCAAAGAAGAACTACTTTGCGACCTGGGGCCAGTCTGCATGTGACAATGCTGGGTGCCTCAGCTTCCTCCCTTGATCAAATGGAGGAGTGAGCTCCTCTGGTTCTGAGGAGTAACAGGGATGTGGATCCCATACCCATTCATCTGGATTAGGAGCTTGGGCTGCCCTCCCTTCCTGTGCAAGGAACTTGGTGCTGCAGTGGTTTCTCTGCACCTCACCTGGTTATATCTCTAGGCATTTAGTGCACCTGCTCGCTTGAATTAGGGGCTTGGGCTGCCCCTCCCTTCTTGTGTGGAGAACTTGATGCAGTGGCAGTTTCTCTGCTTGTGCCTGGGCATGTCTCTGGTGTTTGGTGGCTGTCCTTCAGACCTTCTCAGAGCTGGTGCTTGTGCCTGCCCTTGGGAGCCCAGCTCTCTGTGCATTCCGCAGACCACATTAGCAAAGATATGGAATCAGCCTAAGTGTCCATCAGTGGATGGTAGAATAAAGAAAATGTGGAAAAATACACTACTCGGCCATAAAAAAAAATAATAAAATCATGTCTTTTGCAGCAACATGAATGGAGCTTTGCTATTGTGAATAGTGCTCTGATAATCATGAGTGCAGGTTATCTTTTTGATAGAATGATGTCTTTTCTTTCGGTTAGATAACCCAGTAGTGGGACTGGTGGATCAAATAGTTCTATTTTTAGTTCTTTGAAAAATCTCCATACTGTTTTCCACGGAGGTTCTTCTTATCATCATCATCTGTGTCTTCCTGTTCCGCTCCTTTGCATCAGCCTCAATAGTGGAGGAAAATCTTTACGGCATCTAGGGATCAATGCAGTTTGTGTTAAAAAAAAAAAAGTGTTCTATTAACAGTTCACCCAAAGAAACCACCAGGAGTATCTTCGCCATTTAAACATATTGTGTCATAAGTTTTATATATATATATATATATATACACATATATATATACGTATATATATACACATATATATATACACATATATATATACATATATATATACACATATATATATACATATATATACACATATATATACATATATACACATATATATATACATATATATATACACATATATATATACATATATATATACACATATATATATACATATATATATACACAAAAATACACAGATGATATATTTATAATAAAATGCATAGAGATAATAAAATACACAGATAAAGCTAGATCTATTTTTATATCTTTCTGTGTTATTGACCCCACAGAGCTCTGCTTAGCTGACAGCTGTTTCTCTGGGAAAATATGCTTACGTTTCCTACTAATAGTGAAAGAGAATTTCCTGTAGCTTCAAGTTGATGATGATAAGCCCATGGTTTAGGGCTGGCGTTTAGCAGGGCAAAGATGGGAAGCAATTTTATTACACCCCCATACCGCCACACACATCCACACATACACATTCATACCCACGTAATAGCTGGGTGTAACTTTGTCATGATTTGGGGGATATATATATATCTCATCTTATATAGTTTTGTATGTCGTCTTTTGAGAAATGCCTATTCAGGCATTTCATCTACCTTTCTGTTAAAATCTTCCTTCTCTTCCTGTCCTTCTCCAATGGAGTCAACTCTGAAACATGCAGGGTCTCACTAGACCCAGGAGAAACAGTAAAAAGTTGTACTCTGCCTTACAAAAATGTATGAGAAAGCCATGCCTGAGTCATATGCATGGTAACCATATGTATGGTGACCATATAATTTGTCACAAAGCTGGCAGAGATCTGAGAGTGAAAGGGGAAATTTTTAATAATTACAAAAAGGCAGCAGATGAAAGCTAGATGAAGAAAACTGAGACATATGGTCATGCTACTTAGAAGAGAAGATAATAAAATATGTTTTCTAATATCCATTTTATAATTAGATTTGAATGCCAAATATCATTGATATTGCAAGTGTTTTATTATACCAACCCCTTTTGTCTGATGAAATGTGAGTCTCGATTTACATTCTAGCTTATATAATTCTGAGGAAGAGGTTCCAGGAGTGTTTCAATGTGCTCCCCCACAAAATAGCCTGAGATGTGTGTTTTTTGAGCAATGTGACACATTGATTTGGAGTTCCAATATGGTACTCAGAGATGCACTTCCTGTTTTTTTTGAGGAAATATCCTGTCTTGGCTTAAGGTTCCTTTGATGCACAGGCCTCTGCTAAAGCAGCTTGATTTTCCAGATCAGCTCACAAGCCAGGATTTTAAACTTTTGAGAATGAGTAATAATTTGGACTCCTGTATATCTGGAGTCTGAAACCAATGGCTCTCATTTAACCATCAACATAGATCATAGGCAGTACTCAATTTACCAATATGAGGAATGTCAAATATTCATTAGAGAGTTGGCTGTTTGGTACTGGAATTTATTTTCTCATGAAGAGATTAGTTATTAGATTCTAAGTCTTGGCAACAGAGTCCTTTAAAACCCTGAATGTGCCATATTTTTGACCCCACAAGGCTCTGCTAGTGCCACTTAGAAGAGACAGTCTTTCTGTAAAATGTGGGCAAGGATTTCCTCCAGCTCCAAGTTCCTGATGTTAGGACTCGTGGTGTGAGGCTGGGGTTTTAGGAAGGTAGGACAGGGCCATGGGCTCTAGACTGCTGCGTTTCTTTTTCATCACTGCTGTAGCAAATTACCACAGACTTAGTGGCTTAAAACAAAAGCCACAAATTAACTATCTTACAGCCCTGGAGATCAGAAATCCTAAATGGGTCTCACGGTGCCTTAATCAAGGTGTTGGCAGGGCTGCATTCTATCTGGACACTCCAGGGAGAATCAGTATCCTTGCCTTTTCTGGCTTTCAGAGACTTCGGGCATTCCTTGGCTCATGACTGTTTTCTTCCATCTTCAAGTCCAGCAGCAGTGGTTTGAGTGCTTCTCATGCGGCCGTCTGTCTGGATCTCTCTCTTCTGCCTTCCTCTTCTATTTATAAGGACCCTTGTGATTACATCGGGCCCGCTGATTAATGCCGGATCAAGGCCAACTGGTTAGCAAACTTAGTTCCATCTGCAACTTCACCTCTCTGTTGCCATATAAGGTACCATATTCACATGTTTCAACAATTAGGACAGAAATGTTTGAGGGGCCATTATTCTGCCAAAGATACCCAGGAGTAAGGGGTCCTGTCTAAGTATCACACCCAATTAGTTGCTAAGTTTTACCGATACTATTTCATAACTTTATGTAGAACCACCTCTACCTTTTACATCTCCCTGACTGACTTATTTAACATAATTGGTTATTTAGCACAATTATTTAGTATAAATGGTTAAAACTTCTTGGTCTAGTAAAGCATGCCGTATCCCGGCATCTTACTGACTCTCACCCAAGGCAATAGTTTTCCAATAAATTAATAACTACACGAGTCATAGAAAAAACAATGATTGAGCTTTTAGCAGTAAAAATTATTGAGTGCTAAAGTGATCTAGGCAGACCTCATTGAAGGGGCTAGCCTTAAGGAAGAATGATGGATGCACAGGAGAATTTTCCAGAGGGTATTTCTCGGGATAAATGCAAAGATATTTGGTTAGTAAAGAGTAAGGTTAGTGTCAGGCAAGTGGTGTAAACTAAGAAGAGGATGCTGGAGGCTTTTGAGTTTCAACCTAATTATTTTAAACTAGATGTGTAAACTTACCGGCACTTGATTGAAATGTACATATTGGCCTTCCGAAGAGCGTGAGATGAGGCTGTGTTCTGGCTAGCCTAATCCTGCCTGTGAAGAGGAACTGTAAGGCACTGATATTGCTCTGCTCCACTTCTGCCATGTGGAATGCAAATGCACGGTGACTGCAATTTCACCAAGAGCCTGCTAGGTAAGCCACCCTATTTGCAGCATCTCATTCAAGGAAACTCCAGTTCAGCATCTAATAATACCTGAAAAGTAATCTAAATTTTTTGACTTTGGTCTTAAGCTAATGCCAAAGAGGGATTACCTTCATCCTACAGAGCCAAATTTTCAAAGTCACCATCTCTCTTAGACTCCCATACACAGCCAGGTTTCTGCCCCCTCTTTCTCCCACTCAAAAGACCTTTCCAGCTACATAGATTTCCTGGTTTCTGCGTCTTTCTCACTCTCTTTCCTTTAATTTGTTTCTCTTCAATTTGGTGAAAATGCAGCTAGACCCTTGTTCTCGATTTATAAAAGCAAAGCCAGTTTCTTCTTAGCGGGTAGCAAGGGGACAGGCTGTTGATGCTCACACATTAATATGTTCTTCCTGCCGCATTTAAATAGAGAGAGAGAGAGAGCAGAAAGGCCAGGACTGGCGAGTACTGCAGAGCTACCAGCAGGGCAGTCCCCAGGCAGCTGTGGCCTTCGCTGGGCTAATGGAATCAGTGTTGTGGTGCAGTGAGACTCCGCAGGAGCCAAACCAAAGCCATCACTGAGGGGGCTGCAGGAAGAGGAGAACCTTGCTGGGGTTTCACTTTAATGGATGCATTTTACAAATATTGGATTTTAGCTCACTTGAGAAATAATTCAACTCCAACTCTGGTTGTACATATTAAATTATAGCAGTGGTGAGGCAAATGAAGAGGTGCTTAGCAGATTTAAGTGAAGAATTAATAGAGCAGATATTGGTAGCGTGAAACGAGTGCCGCGTCGATCTCATCTAATGGCGCATTACACACAGCACCAAAATAGATACTGTGGTCACAGCACTTATCTTTCCTGTAGCACCTGATGGCTGAAGGTCTTAAAGAACTTTGCAAATTACCTTCTAAAGTAATTAAATCTCTGCCTGGAAATAGGGGTGGAGAAAGGAGAAACCATCTGTAAAATAAAATGCAAAGACTCACTTTCTCTGGCCGTCTTTAATGCTGGCTGGCAGGATGGGTTTCTCTCTTTGCCTCCACGCGCATTTTTATGGAGCTGATAGTTGATGAGCAACATTGGACTCATCAGCATTGGTCTTCCTTGGGACTACCATAAATCCCACCTTATTGGTAGATTCATTCCCATCAACCCTCCTAGAAATGATGACCTCTTCTGACCTAATGAAACACTTAAAACAAGGAAGCAAATACGAAGCACCTTGTTTTATTAGTGGCCTTACCTCCCCAGTCAAGTTCTTGTCTTTTTGGGAATATGGGCCGCTTTTATTCCTCTCTCTTTCTTTTGTTTTAGAAGCACCCAGCATGGTAGTTCACACATAAGTGGTTCTATGGGCAATATTCAAAATATTTAACAACTTGTACAAATGGGGTACCAACCAGTCAGAAAAGATGCTGGAAGCTGACACCCAGTGCTGCCATGCCACTGTGAACTCACCCAATTTCAGCCCTGTGGGACTCAGAATTACTCATTAAACTCATAAGATGGACCCAGGCTATGAACAATTTCTTCTTCTGGAGCAGAGGATGTTGCCAATGTGAGTAATGCTATTGGAAAGTTATAACATCATTATTTTAGAAGTGGACAAACATTTGTAAGTAACTTCCTGAAAAGATAAGGAAGGCTGCAAATTGCATTGAGGTTTTATACATAATAACAATATGATGACACTAATAATGACATGTCACCAATTTTTATGGTCCTTTATAAGTAATTAAAAAATGTTCACATTCATATTCTCATTTCAATTTCTTAGCAACTCTGAGCTGATAAGGTGTCTCCATATTACAGATAAGGAAATTGATCCTCAGGAAGATTGTGCTCTGTGCATGCTGGCATGAAAATACACCTCCTCACACATGTATGCATGCACAGGGCTAGGAAAGATGAGATGCTTGTGCCTAAGAAGAAGAGAGTCCAGAGAGCTGAACAATTATGGGATTGCTTAAGACTATATATAATGCACACAATGAAATTTCAGAAAATGTACAGAAATGATGGCTAGCCTCTCAAGGGCCTGAAGCTTCCTAGCAGAGGAGTTATTCAGAACAGGACTTTTGAGACACTCAGAAGATGAAGCAACAACAGGACTTTGAGTGTATATGTTTATACTTAAATAATTGGTTAAAACTTCTTGGTCTAGTAAAGCCTGTCATATCCTGGCATCCAATGGTGGACTTTCAGAAGGATCTCTGAATGGCCTGAAATTGTATCCAGCACTTTACGTATATGCAGAGGTGTGAACTTATCTGGGGAGTGAATCCACAACTTTTCACCAAATGTTCAAAAAATTTTCATCCAGAATAGTTTAATAATCACTCCTTCAAGGAGTCTCAATTATTTACCTGAAATGAGAAATAGAGTAATATTGGTTTAGGATTACCTTCAATAATTTGCAGACTCATAATGATGTATAAGTCTAAACATTTTATTAACCCATACAATCCTCATGACTTAAGAATAGATTATCTTTTATTCCCAATCTACTTTTCCATGTTGGTTTTCTATTTATTGATTTTTTTGAGACAGGATCCCACTCTGTCACCCAGGCTGGAAGACATTGGCATGATCACAGCTCACTGCAGCTTCAACCTTCCAAGCTCAAGCAATTCTCCTACCTCAGCCTCCCAAGTAGGTGGGACTACAGGCATGCACCATCATGCCTGGGATTTTTTTATTTTTTTGTAGGGACGGGGTCTTGCCAAGTTGCCCAGGATGGTCTCAAACTCCTGGGCTCAAGCGATCCTCCCATCTTGGTCACCCAAAGTGCTGGGATTACAGGTGTGAACCACCACTCATAGCTTGCTTTTCTATTTCTGCAATTTCCTGCTTCCTCAATCTGCTTTTCTCATAGCCTCAACTTTACAATTTTCTGCACCTCTGGGTAACTTTCCTCTTACTACTTCAGACTATCCAAAGAGCTTCAATAATCCCACTGGAGAACAACATGTTTCTACCACAAGCCTCCACCTGGTAATGCCATCACCCAGACCCTCTGCTTCACACATAAATCTTCCTGTCCATATTATGCCCAAGAGTAAAATTTTTTAAAAAAAGCTATTTCTATAATATTTTTGCCATTACTTTCAATGGCAAAACCGCAATTGCTTTTGCACCTAATACATAAATCATTATTTCCCAATTTATCAACTTGTTGATGACAGTAACGTATTGATTGGCTTGGCTTTCAAATGGAAAGTAATAGAAGTTAATAACCCACATTTGTTATACCTTGTTAATAGTTCAGGCTATAGGGGATCATAGAAAAGACTGGAAATTGGGACATTTGGGATTCATTCCAGCTCTACCATCGCATGCTCTTAGCACAATGTTTAACCTTTTCTCACCTCTGAAATGGCCTCAATTGTAAAAGGTCCTTTCTGACAAACCATTATGTGTTCTTTAATCGGCCACTTAGGCAGACAGACCATCATTTTAGAAAGACGTCCAACAAATCAAAGCTATCTCAGAGTTTCCAAAATGCTTTCCTCATCTATTGCTTAATCAGTGGTTTGTAAGAAATAACTGTGATTATCAAAGAACAGGGCACCACTTTTACAGCTTTCTTTAAGGAGGGAAGCCAGGCTGTGGCTGGGCAAGCTCAATAAATCATTGGTATTGGGAATATATTTGTGAGTTTCCCTGCAGATTGTGTAATTATTGCATCCTTTTATTTCCAACACTCATAAGTGGGGATTAGAGCTGACATTTGGTAATTGAAAGAGTGTTCTCCCTTTCACAGCATAGTTAGTGGTAATTATTAAGAACTGTGTTTCTCTCTGGAGGGTTTTCTTTTGCTAGCTGCCTCAGAGCTCCTAGCCTTTCACATGATCTGCACTGGGTGGGCTCTTCAGGACATCTAAGACCACCACCAACAGCTGCTAAAACCCTTTCAGAAGAAGGAACAGGTTGCAGTTTGCTCCTGAGAGTTTGTTTAGTCAATTTCCGAGACGTTAAGAGACAAAGCGTGTTTAAGATTTTTATGTTTTAAGTTAGTAGGTGTCTTCCTTCTTCTGGTTTAAAGATAGAGAGGATGATGTGCTCTTTTCCTTCATTGTTCCTAATTGCTTACCTTGCCCAAAAGCATATTTAGGGTCCACATTCATTGGGCCCTCACTGCATGCCGGACTCAGTGCAGACTCACACACGCATCACGATGACCCTAAATAGGACACAATGTTAGAGAACAGACACACAGACAATAATATTGTTATTATTATTAATATTATTATTATATATACAGGAGTGTGACCCTATCAGCTCAAAAGGAGTCTGCGTTTTCCCCTGGCACCCACCCTATGGCTTCACACTTTCACACCCTTTAGAGGAATTTCTTTTCTCATGATTGTTAACGCTTTTCTACCTATAATGGCATTAGGGTTGATTGGCAGTTTTTCCCAATGTCACTTAGGCTCACCCTCATCAGACACACATAAATGGGCACATACACGATGTCCTCCCCCTCCCAAACACACAAACACAAGCACAAACACATATGCATGTATATATATCATGGAGCTCCAATGCATGCGCACATGCATACACATACTTATGGCGTGCAAAAGCCCCAGAATCTTAAACAGTACATATTTCAAGACCTCTGTTTTCTCTGGCCTTGGACTATGACTCCTGCTGTGCTTTGAACCACCCCCTCCTTTCTCTGCCTTCCTCTTCTTGGGCAGCACATCCTATTTCCTGCATCTTCTGCCTCCCGCTAATTAAGGATGGAGGCATATAGGGCTGAGGGATTTAGAAGAAAGGCTATGCCTGCATGTGTGCAAGACGTTTTAGGCCAATAGAGGACTGAGATTAGGCATGAGGTTGGGCCTGGGACCTAATAATGGGGCCCTGGGGATACTTCTGGGTTCACACTGGGACATAAAATCATCCACTCAGAAACTCTAAGTAAGAGGGCTGGTCTGGCAGCCTGAGGTGAGGTGCAGGCCTAGGGATTTGTGAAGAACAACCTTGGCTCTTCCCTCCACTCCTGCCCCACTCCTGCTCTTTACAGATGCTCCATGTTGACTCAGCAATAAAGACACGAGATTCACAATAGCGTGATTGTAGAGGCACACACTTCCCACACTAATGGCTGGTGCCAGAAACTCCCTTTAAAATGAACCAAGTCTGATTTATCCTTATCCTTATCCCAAGTTTAAAGATACAGGGGAGGATGTGGATGTCCTGGGAGAGTGGACAAAGTGGCTTTCACATCCTCCTAAGAAAGCAAAGGTGTGACCTCAGCACAAGGGGTTAGAGCTGGGAAGAATGGCCTTGTCTCTTAGCTTTGTCACTGATCCACTTGGTGGCCTCAGCCAAGCCACCTCCTCTCTCTTGTCTCTTATCTATTTCCCTTATTTAAAATGGAAGGAGTTGCTTTAGAAAACCTTGAAAGCCTTTCCAGTGCTAACTTTCAGATATGTGTATTATGATGAATTGACAGTGAAACATTTTTATGTTTTGATGGTGGGGCGGGGATGGAAGGAGAAGATCAGATAACCAGTACCTGAATGGGACACAAATGAAGTAGGGACGTTGGTCCTAAAGTCTGTCCTGCTTACTTTAAACTGGTGCATAAAATCTCTGCTAGAGGCATATTAGGTTGTGTGTGGCTGGACATGTTTGCACCTCCTTGGGGATATGGCTACCAAAGTTTGATGGGGGCAGCAATCTTCAAAGGTAAGAAAGGGAAAAGAAAAACAGCCTATTTCATAATTTCATCAGGAGTCTCCTGGGTACATGAGGTTAGGTGCTGTAAGAATTGCAGACATGTATGGCTCCTGGCTAGTGGTATCTCACAGGTTGTGTGACCCTAGGAAAGCTACTTAACCTCTCTGAGCTTCAGAAGATTCATTTACACAGTGAGGATGATAGTTCCTACCTGGGAGATTGCATGAGCTAGGGCATGGAAAAGAAGCAACTAGAAAGCAGGGCGTAGAAGCAGCCCTTTGTGAATGGTCTCACAGAGATACATCCATTGCCTGGACACTTGACCCAGGATTGTAACAAATTCCATAGAGCAGAGGACAAGAAGGGGTAACATTTGGCCTGGTTGTTGCTTGGAAAGCATTTGCTTTTAAATATTCCTGCTTCCAGGAGGCTTTCTAAAGGTCAGCTCTTCATAGCTTATTAAGGAAGATGATTAAATCATCTGGCAGTTTAAGAAGAAGAAGCAGATGGATATAAGCAGCACTTTCCCCCACGATTAACATTTTCTTTTAAAAATCAAGCTGAGAGTAGGGGAGGGAAAGGGGAAGATGGTGAGAGGTTGATCAATAGGTCCAAAGTGACAGTTAGATAGGAAGAATACATTCTGGTGTTTATGGCACAGCAGGGTGACTAGGGCTAACAGTAAAATACTGTATATTACAAAATAGCTAGAAAGAGACTTTTAAATGTTCTCACCACAAAGAAATGATAAATGCATGAGGTAATGGATACACTAACTATCTTGACTGGATCATTATACAATGTGCATACAAATCAAAACATCAAATTGTACCCCATAAATATGTACCACTACAATGTGGTCATTAAAAATAAATAAATAACTAAATAAACTTGAAGAATGAAGGTGAGATTGTTGGAGTCACTGTGTTATTCTCCGGAGGAGACCGTGGCAGTGGGCCGCAGCTCCAGTGGCTTGTTGCTTGTTTATACTCAGCTATTATCCTTGTTCCTGTCGCTACCAGTTACTGAAGAATCCATCATGCTGGTGACTCATGAGGGGGCTTCATTTCTGCTTCCCAAGGAGGAGTGGCAGGGGGCAGATAACTTCAGGAGGTGAGCAAATTGGATTGATTACCATCTGTATCCGGGGTGGCAGTTTTGGTCCTAATCCTGCTGGCAGGACTGCCTGGCTGTCTGATTCACTCAGCAGAGGCCTAGAGAGGACACTCCGGGTTAGGATTTCATGTGCTCACCCTGCGGTCTAGCAGCATTTCTGCATTGAATCAGCCTTCAGAAACCTGGGAGCATATTCATAGCTAATAAAAACTCCACAGCCAAGGCTCTGGATTATGTGCTCTTCTCTATAATATGAGAGATAGGCAGGAATCCGTCTCTGTGTATCTATATGTGTGGTTTATGATATATGTTGAGATGTTAATTGACGCATTTTTTATTTTTTGTCCTCCCCTTCATGCAGATACCTGGCTGGGCACTTCCTTGATTCAGGAGAGCTACGTGATAGGGTAGAAGGTAGAAGTAGCCTGTTGGTCCTTTTGTCTCTGGTTTTTCAAAAGCTTAATTGCTCAGGAGAACCTATAGAGTTTGTTGAGGAGGTAGAAGAAAAGGAGATTTGATTTTGGAGGTAGGGCCAAGAGTCTCAGAGAAGCCAGAGAGATCAAAGGACTCTTTTTACTGATCCCTACCCCCATAGGCTGGGGAATGAGGGCAGAGAGAATAGTTGGAAGAGCAGAAAACTTACATACTCATCCTGATTTGTTCTGTGCATTTATTTATTTATTACTCCTGGGTTCCCACTTCCAGGTCTGTACTCATTCCTTCCCAAGGCCAATGACATTGGCTATTCTCAAGAATGTACATATTGGCTGGGTGTGGTGGTTCACGCCTGTATTCCCAGCACTTTGGGAGGCCAAGGTGGGCGGATCACTTGGGCCCAGGAGTTCAACACCAGCCTGGGCAACATGGTGAAACCCTGTCTCTACAAAAAATACAAAAATTAGCTGGGTGTGGTGGCACGTGCCTGTGGTCCCAACTACCAGGGAGGCTGAGGTGGGGAGGATCGCTTGAGCCTGGGAGGTCAAGGTTGCAAGCCTTGCAGGCTGTAGCAGCTAAGCACGCCAGCCTGAGCAACAGAGTAAGACCCCCCATCTCAAAAAAAAAAAAAAAGTATATATTACCTAGTTCTCCTGTTTCTGGTAGATAACAGTTTTGTGAAATATAGAAAGTCTCATATTGCCAAGGAAGAATACTCATTTTTTTTTTTTTTTAGAGGAACCAGGGGGTCTGTATATAGCACTGAGCACTGCTGGGAATAGAACTAAAGACATGCTTTTAAAATAGAATTTTACTTTGAAGTAGAAGAAATAACAAGGTGTACAATGTTTCCTATGGACTCTGGCATTTCATTTTTATTACACTTTTATTGAATATTCAATAAAATAATATGACACCCATTCAAACAGTGTTCTTGTAACCTACTGCTATGAAGCTAATGAAGACAGATAGCAGATCTGTGCTATCAGCGCAAGTGGCATTAAACTAATTCTAGAACTTATATTTTTCCTGTATTGAGCATGTCCTAAATGTACAGCATTAATCACCTTGGTTCCCGATAATAACTTAGTAATTTCACTTGCATATTTCACTGTGTTACATAGTTCAGCACTTCTATTTGAGAATGTTTGTGAACTTGCATTGGTGCTATTGCTGACTAGCAATGATAGTATTATACCCTTCATTCATTCCACAAACATGTATTGAGTAATTATTCATTGCAAGACACTGCATTAGGCCCTGGGGAGAGAGATGAGTAAAACCCACCACGTTCACTGTCCATGACAGTCTACCAGGCAAGACAGACTCAGTTCACTCCGCAAACATGATCCTTTTTCAGTTCTAGGGCCATGTTAGGCAGAAGTTGATAGTCATTCAATTCAGGCTTGGGAGGTGGGGCAGGGAAGACTTACTAAAGAAGAGGAGTGGAGGTTATCTAGGGGAAAGGGAACAGGGGGAACAGCATTTGAACAAAAAATGTTCAAAGACAGGTACATGCCAATTGGACATGACTATTTGACTCAGGGACATTTTCAGATTTCAAAGCACAAACTTAACTTTTGACTGATAAATGTGTGCGATAGGCAACTCCATTTTGGTATTAGCCTCACCCATGTTTGTAGACCAGATCCTTTCAATTAAATCATGCCCCTTCTACATAGAAGGAGTGAAAGTACTCTGAAAGAAAATAGAGGTGTATGCAAAAATGCAGAATTTAACATTTTTGCATGATAATTATTTTGTTCTGTCTCTCTGGAAAATTACAGTACTTGCCTCACCAACCGGTGCCTCTGGGGAAATCTAGCTTTAGAAGTCTGCACTCAGCCCTCCTCCCCTCTTGGTGGGTGTCCTGTTGGGCTGCTGGGGCTGGAAATCATTCTTGCTCTGTTGCCCTTGGTCCTCCACAAGCCTGAAGTACATTTTGACTTCCTGATATAACTTGTCCTTAGACTCTCAAGGTCCTAGGAGCAAGAATCATGTTAATAGAATATTTTAAATGTAACCAAGATGCCAAGTAGGACTAACACGTGCATTGGATTTGGCATTTAGGAGGCTGGTGGTGAGCTTGACCCCAGCAGATTCAGAGAAGCCAGACAGGTGGGCTGAGGAATGAATGAGAGCTGAGGAGATGAAAATCATGAGTCGGGTCTTCTTGGTCAGGACTCGCCTTGATGTAGGGGAGTTGAAAGAAGGTGGATACAGAGTCCAGTGAAAGTATAGGGAAAACAATTATAGATATTTTCATGCTACCTTTTGTACTTTTTTATGATCTTAAACCTGAAACTCAGTTAAAGAAATACAGTGTTACAGTTCAATTTACCCCCAAATATTCACTGCTTCTCAAACAGCAAAACTTTAACACACTCTACCTATCACTGACAACCAAAAAGAAAATGCAGTTTATTTTTTTTCTCCCAATCATTAACAGTAATACTTTGGAAAAATTGTCACTGTCAGCTTGCTGAAACAGGCTGTTGTTCTGCAAATGAGCACCATGTTATTACATGCATTCATACTTTTTGCTCACCGGCAGAGACCCTCCGATGCCTGTTTCCGCAGCGTGTCTGTCATCTCTCACGAGACCTTCACACATCAGTGGCACCGATTATCTCATGTCACAGCCCGTCGGTTGGCTTAGCTCCAGAAGAATGTGAAATTGCCTACCAAGCCTCCAAATGTGAATAGCTCCACATTGGCCTAATTGCACATGAGGTTCGCTTGCCTCATCTGTTCCCATTCAGCGGTTGCAACTCTCAACTGTTAGACAAAAACAGCTTCTAGAGCCTTGGCTTGAATATCCCAGTTGAGAGGGGTTTTTATCCTCCTCTCTCAATTCCGGGATTGAGTTTCATGCAGGAAGTGCACCCTTTCTACTGCATCTGACCCTGCCTTTTCTTCCATTCTGTAATCTTTCCATCATCTCATGCTCTAAAATTGATCTAGACAATCTGGCAACTTGGCAAAATTATTTTGAGCACAGGTTTTTAACTGGGGTTTGGAGTAACAGGGTTTTTGAAAACTTTGGAAGTGCAGGCAGGAATAATGCACAAACCCATGTCTATATCAGGCACTCCCTTGATGCTCACCCTGCTCTGCAGCATGCTTGTACCAGGATCCTTGATAATCCACTGGCTGTCAGTAGAGACAGTTGTGGGCAAAACTACCCCCTTTGAAGTGTTCATATTCTGTGAAGCATCTACTGTGTCAGGCACTGTGGTCAATGCAAAGATGAACCAAATGATGGTTCTGTCCTCAATCCAGTGGGGAAAGTAGTAAGGCAGAGGGCTATATATTGTATCAGAGTTACATATCTTATAAAAAAGATTGGAGAACTGGGGACACAGTGGCATGAAAGAAGCTAATGAACTTAGAAGACGAGGGTAAGCATGGCCAGGGTAGGACAATGCTTTGTTTGGTCCAGAGGCTTTGGGAGCAGCTGCTTCTTCATAGAACTTCAATTACCCACATATATTTTTAAAATTTCTGTATTCTTGGTGCTCTAGCATTTGTGCCCTTGCTGGGTGAAAGGACACTGCCCCTCTCAGGGCTAGACAATTCTTGGAGCTAGCAAAGGGCTCACCTTGCAGCATGTCTTTCATACACAAACTAACCCATCGAGAGCTCACACTCTGAACTACCTCCTTTATGTGGCTCTTAACACTGTAGCAGGCAATGTCTTCTGCCCTAAGCAGCCAGGGCCTTGCCTTTCCCACGGAAATAGCAGTAAGAGACCCTGGGTTTTGCTTTCTTCTCACCCTTTTGTCTTCCTTTTTATCTTTTTTATTTTTATTTTTATTTTTTCTGAGACGGAGTCTCACTCTCTCACCCAGGCTGGAGGTGCAGTGGTGCTATCTCGGCTCACTTCAATCTCCCACTCCCCGGTTCAAGCGATTCTCCCACCTCAGCCTCCCCAGTAGCTGGGATTACAGCTGTGCGCAACAATACCTGACTCATTTTGTATTTTTAGTAGGGATGGGGTTTCACCACGTTGGCCAGTCTGGTCTCGAACTCCTGACCTTAAGTCATCTGCCTGCCTCAGCCTCCCAAAGTGCTGTGATTACAGGTGTGAGCCACCGCACCTGGCCCCCTTTGGCTTTCTGAGTAAACCTGGTGCTTCCCTGCTGGGCCTTGTGTGGAGGGGCATGCCCCCTCCTTCTGGAAAATGTAAGTAATAAACATCTTTCAATGCCATTAACTTCTTAGTGTCATCACTCAGCCACAGCCATAAGTCAAAATCCCACAGATACTTTTTGAGACAAAAGTGGGCTCTGAGGAAGAGGGTGACTCACCTGATGGAAAGATGCTTGGGTCTTGAGCTATCTGCTTCTTAGGGATCATGGGGGCTCGGGAGAGCCTTTCCCCTTGTCATTAAATTCTTTATAAAAACATTATTTTTATACCATTTGACTCAGCAATCCCATTACTGGGTATATATCCAAAGGAATATAAATCATTTTATTATAAAGACACATGCATGCACATGTTCATTGCAGCACTATTCACAATAGCAAAGACACAGAATCAACCCAAATGCTCATCAGTGACAGACTGGACACAGAAAATGTGGTACATATGCACCATGGAATGCTATGCAGCCATAAAAAGAATGAGATCATGTCCTTTGCAGGGACATGAATGGGGCTGGAGGCCATTATTTTCAGCAAACTAAAGCAAGAACAGAAAACCAAATACCACATGTTCTCACTTATAAGTGGGAGCTAAATGATGAGACCACACGGACACATAGAGGTGAACAACACACACTGGGGCCTATCAGAGAGTGAAAGGCGGGAGGAGGGAGAGGATCAGGAAAAATAACTAATGGGTACTAGGTTTAATACCTGGGTGATGAAATAATCTGTACAACAAACCCCCATGACACAAATCTATTTATGTAACGAACATGTTGCACATGTACCCCTGAACTTAAAAGTTTTTTTTAACATGATTTTTAGAGGTGGCACAATATTGTACCTACATACGTATAGAGTAATTTATTTGTTGTGTTATATCCTCATCTGGATTATTATTTTCATTTTCTCACTCTCATAAATATTTTTATGGTAAGCGTACTTTTAGATAAAGTGTGAACATCCTTGCCTATTTACTTTAAAATTCTTAAATGTAAAATGATGGGACACAGAGATTTATTTTTGGCTGAGATGGGGTAAGCCAAGAAGAGGTGTGGTTCCCAAACAATTCTGAAGGTATAGTCTATTTCTGTTTTTTTTTATGTTTTTTATTTTTAGAATAAGACTGAAAATCAAAGTTTCTTGGTTAAGATAAACAATTTCTGTGCTCTTCCTCCTGCCCCAACACTGGCCTAATTGCCCATGGACAACTTTAAATGTCACATGTGTTTTAATCTTTATACTTAAATCAACTGATGTAATACACAGCCATTTCCCACATGTTTATGAACACAGACATTAAAATTGTTAGACAGGGATTTCATCATTGGTTTCACAGTTCTTTAGGTTTTTCCTCATGCCTGTCACCATGCTTTGTCATGATCAACTAAGTCATCTTTCCCCACCTTGCCATTTGGTACAGACATTGCTGAGTGAGCAGAGAAGAAAGATGTCAATGTGGCTGGAACCCTGCAAATATGCAGAAATAAAGTGAGATTCAAAGAGTGACTAATGGCCTGGCACGGTGGCTCACGCCTGTAATCCCAGCACTTTGGGAGGCCGAAGTGGGTAGATCAACTGAGGTCAGGAGTTCAAGACCAGCCTAGCCAAGATGGTGAAACCTTGTTTCTACTAAAAAATACGAAATTAGCTGGGCATCATGGCGTGCACCTGTAATCCCAGCTACTCGGGAGGCTGAGGCAGGAGACTCGCTTCAAGCTGGGAGGTGGAGGTTGCAGTGAGCCGAGATTGCGCCCCTGTACTCCAGCCTGCCTGGTGACAGAGCGAGACTCTGACTCAAAAAAAAAAAAAAAAAAAAGAAAGAAAGAAAACAAAGAGTGACTAATATGACAGCAGACCTTTTATTTTTTTTTTGGAAGTAGAAACACTAGCACTTCCACGTCCAGGTAAATCTGGTATCTTCAGGGAGGTTCTTCAGTGGCTCCAGACACAGGAGAGTGAAGCTGCTGTGACATTTTGGGAGGGCCTCGATGGCCTTTCATACCTGTAGCCACATTTTCTTGATACTCTTCACTGGCAGCAGATCTTTATTCTTTGAGGATGTATTTGCTTATTGACAAATGCCATTTGTCGTTATGATGCCAGTTTGAAGTTGTTCCAGGTCAAAACAAACCATGACTTCTTTAAGGCAAAGACACCACTTTTTTCCTACAGCCTTCTGGAAAAGGTAAGTAATAAACATCTATTCAACGGCATTAGCTTCCCAGTGTCATCACTCGGACACATCCATCAGTTAAAACCCCACAGCTACTTTTTGAGACAAAAGTGGGCTCCAATTTCTTCCAAAGTGGACGTTCAATTTCTTTTTCTTTTTTTTTTTTTTGAGATGGAGTCTTGCTCTGTCACCCAGGCTGGAGTGCAGTGGTGCGATCTCAGCTCACTGCAAGCTCCACCTCCTGGGTTCATGCCATTCTCCTGCCTCAGCCTCCCGAGTAGCTTGGACTACAGACACCCGCCTCCATGCCCAGCTAAATTTTTTGCATTTTTAGTAGAGACGGGGTTTCATCGTGTTGGCCAGGATGGTCTTGATCTCCTGACCTCGAGATCCACCTGCCTTGGCCTCCCAAAGTGCTGGGATTACAGGCGTGAGCCACTGTGCCCAGCTTTCAATTTCTTTAAAATTCAAAGTAGATAGAAAAATCCAGAGGAAATGATGTCTGGACATTGGGAGAATCTGGGTATGCTTAACAAAAGCTTTGAATGTTATTTCCAGTTTCAGAGCATTGTCTAAGTAAAATGCCTAAAGTTAAACTTTCTCAAGTATCACAGGAACCAAGGCACCCTTGAGAGGAAGAATTCGTGAGGAAAGAAGGATGCTCTCCAAGGGTGAGAAACCTAAGCTTGGGTTGAGCAAGGCTCTTCATGAGGGCACATTCCATCTTCCTGACGAGTCAGACAAGCAACTGCTTCATTGCACTGTTGCTTAAAAGAGTTGGTTGCATTCTTAAGCCAATTCTGGGGCATTAGTCCCAGTCTTGATGACCTCATGGTTTACATTTTTTTTTTTTTTCTGATACAGGGTCTCACTCTGTGGCCCAGGCTGGAGGGCAGTGGTGTGGTCTTAGCTCATTGCAGCCTTGACTACCCCAGGCTCAGGTGAGTCTCCTAACTCAGCCTCCCTAGTAGCTGGGACTATAGGCATGTGCCATCACGCCCGGCTAATTTTTCTATTTTTTGTAGAGATGGGGTTTTGCCATGTTGCCCAGGCTGGTCTTGAACTCCTGGTTTCAGGCGATCCACCTGCCTCAGCCTCCCAAAGTGCTGGGATTATAGGCGTAAGCCAACACATAGGGTTATTTTAAGGGTCAAAAATGGTAATGCAGTGGCATGTTTTCAGTAGAAAACAAGTTTTAAAAGGTATTCTATCTGCATTATTATTAGAAAGGTACGAGTTATCTCACATCATGAAGGGTGTCATATAGTCTGGGAAACAGACTACTAGACTGTGAAAAGTCCACTTGAGTCCTAGAAAAGGTGCTAACAACTTATGGAGATCATATCAAATGTGGTTTAAGAGATGGAAGTTGATGGAACAGCAGCAGATGTTATGCAGAAAACTTTTCTCAGAGACCTGAAATCCATTCCCCAAGCCTCAGCCTTCTCTGGACCGCTCATTCCAGCCTGGCTGTCCTTGGCACCTGGATTTAAGGTTGAGGCTTGGGGATGGGGTGAGGGAGACTATTCTGTTTTGCTTTTGGGGCCCTGGGCCTGTTTTGTGACCTCTCGGTGTGTTTGCCTACATGGCACACTCTAGGACAGATTAAACTGCAGGAGATTTATGGTGCAGGGAAGAGCATAATAAAAGTGGGAACTACTCATTCATAACGCAAACGTACAATGAGTCCTTATTATAAAGCATAGCACTAAAAGCTGGTACTGCAGATGGGAGCAGTAAGCAGGCAAGAAAATCAATGTAGATAAAAGAGCAGCTATTTAGAATAGAGGGTGCAGGTTGGGCCAAAAACAAAAATAGAATAGGAGAAATTCTCTCAAATCTTCTATCTCCCCACTATTGCCACCCCCTAGTCTAAGCCATTGTCATCTTCTGCTTGGAGTGTGAGCCCTCCACTGATCTGCTAACAGACGCTTTGGCCCCCTTCCAATCTGTTCTCCTCCTTGCACTCATCTTTAAAAAACCCAGGCTGATCATAACACCTCTCTGCGTGAAACCCTTTCATGGCTTCCCATTGTGAGATACAGACAAAACTCTTAAGCTCATGTTCAAGTCCTGCTGAGCCAGGTTCTTGTCCCCTTTCCACCTCATTTGCACCATGTTCTTCCTCCTGAGTTGTGTCTCAGCTACGAGCTTATCCTCCTTTTGTCCCTTGTGGTCACCACGCTCCTTCCAGAGACAGAGAATCCGCAACTGTAATTACTTCTGCCTGGATCACTCATCACATATTCGGTTTCTACACTTCCAGAGTAAATGACCACTTCCTCTCAAGGTGCCTCCTTGCCTCCTTGTTTAGATCCATTCCCCAGTGATGGGTCTGCCATACCTCACCTTTGAGGCAGTTTGACATGTTGGACTGTGATATTTGCTTATGATTCTCTCTCTCACTAAAATGTAAATTCCCTGATGGGAGGGGACCTCATCTGATTTGAGTCTCTGTGGTGTTCTCAGCACCTGAAACACAGTAGCCTCTCAAAAACATATGTAGAAAAACAAATAAAGCAAATAATGAGAAATAAGGAAATGCCACTCTAAGACTGCCCAGAGAAATCTTCTCAAAGGCACTGTACTGACAGGACATTGGGAGAGTTTACAAAATAACTTACCTGTGTCTGCTTTTCTGTTCTAGGTGAGCAGAAATTCTATTTTTTTAACTACAACTCTCTAAAAGATATCAGAAGTCACTGCTAATCTGGGGCTTTCTAAATCTCTTTTATTAAAACAGCTTGAAATTCTGGGCAGAAAAACAGTATTTTTTTCTATGAAAGCAAATAATCTTATTTAGATGTTATTCAATTTGGTCTGTAAACCAAGGAATATGCCCATAGTCTATTACACTAACTCAGGAAATCGTTGGTGGTCTTTTGTCTCCCAAGCTGTTTTTTTTTTATTTTTATTTGGCCTTATAGATGTGACTGTGGAAGACAATATGGCAATACAGCATAAAATCTATGTACTGCAAGCAGATTTAGCTGTTTTCTCACCAAATGTTGTTATGTTCATTAAGACACAGCTATCATCAAAACAAAACAAAATAGTTATTCAAGAAGCAGGTTTGAAATACAATCTAGTATTACATTTCTGATAACAAGAATAAATCACAGCTCTGATGAGTTCCATAAATAGATTTTGACTTCCTTTGTGATTTTTGAATGACATCCTTAATTTATTGCTTACATGTGATTTATTTAAAGAGATTGCTACTAATGTATTAAAGACTCCAAGTTTGAGAATGTTTAATCATCTCCCATATCATCCATCACCAAGACAGAATGTTGTGGGAGGGCACATACTGGCTTCCAATCGACCTTCTGAAGGGCTGGAGAAGATGGTGTTTGCTCAGTTCCGTAAGCATCAGCTGTTACCATCAAATGGCAAGCATCGTGCTAGACAAAAAGAGGTATAAGCAAGAATGGTAGAAAGATCATGACTTGAAGTCACTTCTTAAGAATTATCTCACAGACCTGAACTTTGCTTTATTCTCAACGTTGCAGATTAGATTACACCAAGTTGGTACCCGAGGACTGATGGCCTAAAGCGTGTGAAAGCGTCCAGCACAGTCCCTGGCACCTCACAGTAATACAAGTGGACCATAAGTGTTGAGAACGTGAATTTGTGCCAATTTCCCCAAAGTTTATTTTAGGGAGTTTTCTACTTAGAAAATCATATTAAAGGCCGTTTCTCTTATAAGTCAATTTCTCTAAAAATGAAAACTTGCAAATTCATATCTTTTTCAGGGCTTTACTTCCAAAGAATTATGATTTGCTCTGATGAGGGAGATCTTAAACATACAAAACTAATTGCAGACCGGATTTCGCAGTATTCACTGAGGTCCAAAGTTTTAAATCATTTTCATAAATTATAGTGGAATGAAGGAAGGGAAATGATGTGATAGCAGAGATGGTTATTTTTGTGACTTCTTATAAGAAAAGTGTTTTATTCTTCACAATTACTCATCTTTTGGGAGCAGGACCAATCCTTTATATGGGAAAGACAACCAATTATGGTGTCTGATTGGAAGGGCACAGAAAGGTCTCTTTTCTACCCCAATCAAGAAATAGCCTTCTGATTGGTCTGCCACTGTCTCTGACATTACAATTATGATGGCTTGGTCTAAAGACAAAAATCCACTCTAAAAATGCAAGTACACTCTCCAGCAAAGGTAATATTTTATGTATGTACTAGATATTAATGTTTTTAAAAACACTCAAAACTCTAAATTTGCTGATCCATTAACTTGTCCTTGAGGAAATGGGTACCAGAGAAGGTTCCAGTCCCTATAATATATTCAGTCACAACTGGATGACCACATGTTAGTGATATTACAAAGATGGCTGTCGCGCTGACCAAAGCATCACCTGGGATTCCATCAACACTGGTCTGGGCACTCCCTGAGGGCAGGGGCTGTGTTTTCCTCCTGGAGTGTCCCAGAATGTGGGACTCTGTAGTCTTTTCTTTTTTTTTTCTTTCTGTTTTTGCTTTTTCATAAAGACACTAATCCCTTTGTCCTTTTTACTGAAGTGAGAATACACCTAATAGATTTAGTTGGCTTGTGCTATTATTTTTCTTTTTAAAAACATCTACTGCTTTTATTCAAACTTGTCTGTATGAGTACATACGATCTCCTATTCTTTGCCATGCTACACTTCTATGCGTCAGACAAATTATAAAAAAATCGAAGTCACAAAATGAGATATGGTTAGAAAAGCTTGACAATGCTGTTATATTATTTGATACATACTTTGAAGTATAGAGTATGAACAGTGTGCCATCTATGCTGTTAGTTAACACCTGAAGAAATCTTATTGGAAACTCACTCTCCAAAGTTGACTCCTGCACATGCTTCAAAATATTGTTTTTCTACCTTCCCCAGAGAGTTTCATTTGCCTGGGGAGGGCCAGAAGTAATTTTTCACTGGGGAAATGATTTGTGTTCCAGGAATGAGATTAGACAGTAACTATAAGAATCAGCCAAACCCAAGAAGACATTTATGCAGCCAACAAACATATGAAAAAAAGCTCATCATCACTGGTCATTAGAGAAATGCAAACCAAAACCACAATGAGATACTATCTCACGCCAATCAGAATGGCGATTATTAAAAAGTCAGGAAACAACAGATACTGGAGAGAATGTGGAGAAATAGGAACGCTTTTACACTGTTGGTAGGAGTGTAAATTAGTTCAACAATTGTGGAAGACAGTGTGGCAATTCCTCAAGGATCTAGAACCAGAAATACCATTTGACCCAGCAATCCCATTACTGGGTATATATCCAAAGCATTATAAATCATTGTACTGTAAAGACATATGCACACGTATGTTTATTGCAAAGACTTGGAACCAACCCAAACGCACATCAGTGATAGACTGGATAAAGAAAATGTGGCACATATACACCATGGAATACTATGCAGCCACAAAAAAGGATGAGTTCATGTCTTTCGCAGGGACACGGATGAAGCTGGAAACCATCATTCTCAGCAAACTAACACAGGAACAGAAAACCAAACACCACATGTTCTCACTCATAAGTGGGAGTTGAACAATGAGAACACATGGACACAGGGAGGGGAACATCGTACACCGGGGCCCGTTGGGTGTGGGGGATAAGGAAAGGGAGAGCATTAGGACAAATACCTAATGCATGTGGGGCTTAAAACCTAGATGATGGGTTGATAGGTGCAGCAAACCACAATGGCACGTGTATACCTATGTAAAAAACCTGTGCATTCTACACATGTATCCCAGAACTTAAAAAAAAAAAAAAAAAAAAAAGAATCAGCCAAACCCTGTAACACATCTCTTGTCAGAGTCCTGAATTAAAAGACCACCTAAATGGAAGGAAAAAAAGCAAGGCTTTACTCCCTGATAGCAGGGGGTGTCTGAAAGGGAAACTGCCCTGTTTTCAGGCAGGTAGCAGAGGCTTTATACATTATAGGCTCAAAAGTTAATCAGGAAAAAAAAAAAAGAAGACAACAAGAATGTGATGTATGGGGCAAGGTAAATTCTCAGTTCTTAGAAGTTGATTGTCTACAAATAAGAAAATTTGGGAAATTACACTCTGTGGGTTCAAGGTTAGCAAGAAAATTGGGCATTTAAGGGAGTCCGGGAGAGCGCATTTTGTGATTTTGGGTTTAGCAAGAAACACTTAGGTTAGGGTCTTACAAATCTTGGTAGTGGTAGTGGTTGTAGTAGGAACTGCAAATTTAGGTCTTATCCCTTTGCATACCTGTGCCATGGTGTTTCAGGTCTGGATTCAGCTTGGTCTTGTGCCCTCTTCCTCCCCTAAATCTGTTACCTGATCTGACAAAAGGACTAGCAGATACTGCTTTCGGAGCATTGTTGAGCTGGCCTGGGAGTTTCACTTTTCATTCCAGGGGCTTGATGGTTTGTGTTAGGAGAGAAGCTGGGGCACCTTAGACTTATCAAAACAAGTGGTGGGACTGATCTTGTGTTTGCCGTATTTGTACGAGTGGCAGAATTCTATCTGAAACTTATAAAAATTATAGCAAAGCATCTGGTGGCAATACATCTGCAGGAGCAGATCTATTGCTAATCACTGGAGGCTCCCTGTGTTTAACAAACAACTTACACATGGGCTTAGGTCAGTTCACAACCAGTCTGGACAGAGAAAGGAAGCGAAGAGATACAGGGTATAGCTGGGGCTGACACCATACTTGGACTATTGGGGTCTTCATAATAACCCTACAAGATAAGAATTACAACCCCATTTTGTAGGTGAGGAAATCCGGACAAAGAGGTTAAGTGATTTTCCGAGGGTCAGAACCAAAGTTAAAATCTGAAATGAGTTCTGTTTAACAGTCTTTTATTCCAAAGCCTAAACACTTTCCACCAGGAACATGTTCCCTCTCATTTTACAGAAGAAGGGATGTTTGTGATTTCATCTTATAGAATAATAGTATATGGAGAAGAGCATTTTAATTTAGCATTCATCCTTATTTTTCTAATATTTGCTCACAATGTAAATGACGCTATGAAAAATAAAGTTATAGTTAATTTCATGTTTGTCAGCTTGTGGAGATTTCCAGATGTGGTTAAAAAGAAAATGTATTATTTGGCTATTTATGGTTTAAAATTTAAGCTCTTGGGGCAATCTGAATTGTTTGGGGTTTACAAAGCCCTTGCTTCTTTCTTGCTCATTTCCACTGGGTTTGAAATTGAGATTATCCAGAGCAGCAATAGCCTTGAAGTATATTTTGTATTCCATCAAGAAACACAACATGTCCTTTCAAAACTTAATTGAGCAGCACAAAGCTAATTAGCTGTCCGAAGACACGCCATTTAATTCACAATCCAGCATTAATTTGTTCAACACAATGAGCTTATCTTCCATATAAATGCCTTTGCCCTATGGCTTCTCAAGCAGCTGCAATATACAAGAATGACTGATAACTTTTTCATTTAATGTGGTTGTTGCTTTTTATTCCCTCTTTCTTCATTTGGCCCAAAGAAGGATGAATAGCATGTCAGTGGTAATGAAAGTTGTTTTTTTTGTGTGTGTGGCAAATTGACAGAAAATAGATGGCTATAAGATCATAGCATATAGTTGTCAGAGAACTGCCAAACTGTTAGGGAATGCAGAGATTGTCTAATCCCAGTCCTACATTTCATAAGCTAAAAAACCGATGCTCAAGAAGTTCTGAGTGTTGTCCAAAGTCACTTAATAGGGTGTGACATAGATACAGTCCATACGTTTTTTCAGGAACAGAGAATTGATGTATTCTAAAATAAAGGTCTAGTTTGTTGCTTATCTTTTGGTAACTAGATAGGAGAGAATACTGAGAAACTAAGAAGACAGGTCCAAAAATGTTCACAGGCAGCATAGTGATGTCTATCAAACGCTGTGAGTTCAAACCTTACCCATCCTTCAAGCCTCAGTTCAAGCCCTCCCTAGTCTCTGGATCACAATTAATCTCATTTTCATAATGTTTTAACCACCCCTTTAGAACTTAATCCCAAATCCTTTAATAATTCAGTGTGTGTGTGTGTCTGATTTTAGGTGATATTTTGACGTTGCAATGCACATCATTGTAACTAATCTAGCTCAGTTTAGAGGAATAAGCTTTTGGCAAAATTTTTATGTTATGCCCAAAACTCTTCATGAGTTTAGCATTTCACATCCAACCATAAGCAGAGGTAAGACGGAGTCAAAGAACAGGTGCTTTCTCCTTATGCACCAGCAGTGCTGTGCTTGGCAGCGAAGGGAACATAAGCCTGTGTATGGCATTACCTATACAACCTTCCTACCCAGAGGTCACTTGCTTATTATTATTGAAGTCAACAATTACCTGCTGGTGGCCATATTCAGTGGAAATCTGTGATTCCTTAATTTACTTTTCACAAGTTGTGACTTTGTAATTAAGACTCCTGTAACAATATCATGGGATCTATAGTCCTCATAAACTCAGCATTCGGCACACAGTCAATGCTCTGACAGTATTTGTGGAATTCAGCAAACTTTGAAGAAAAGGATACCTTAGAGTTTTTCCTCCATGGCCCATGGGACTGATGGAATGTAACAACATTTTATCAATGCGGCCTCTTCAAAGCTCAGTATAGGCAGGGCAGACAGATATTTGGATCATGCTAGAGAACTGAATTGTAGACCTATTAGACAAAATAGAGGGCTTGGTTTTGTGAAGGAACCACTTTAAAATGCATTGGGGATGACATTGTCATTAAATAACCTATATGTGGCAGATAGGTGACATTATGCTGCAGAAACCTCCTGAATCTCATCCATGCTTCACGTCCACGGCAGGTCAGCTGGTGGTCCTCTCCATGTCCTCACTCCGGAACCCTCCCTCTAGGACAGCCACTGTATTGAGTGTTGCTGCCCTCTCTATCAGAGAAAAATGAGCCCTGGAAGGTGTTTCACTGGCAATTACGTGCTCCAGCCTAGCGGTGACACATACCCCTTCTGGGTAGAACTAACTGGCAGGACTGGTCATGTGATTTTACCCAATATAAGCAACCAGAAAGTGTCAGCCTGCCCTGGGTCCAAGAAACAAAATTGGGCGATCTTTGTTAGCAGCAAAGTGCCTGCTGCCCTGGGTGCGAAGCTGATCGGCCACGGACTATAAGGTCCTCTGTACCTTAATCTCCTTGCCTCTGAGTGAGAGGTAGCCACATCCTGACTATCACAGCTTTGCAGGCTCAGCTTTGACACCAGTGGCACCGTAGTTTTAGGAGAAGGGATGTAGTCTAAGGATGTCAGAACCAATTAAGGCCAAGAGTAGAGCACTGGATGTGTTTGGTAGGACTACCATCCAAGAAAAGAAGCTGGCATTAGAATATAGGCAGAGCGAACAGGCCTGATTTGGGCCAAAGTCCTTATAACAGATTTGTGTTGAGGTCAAATGATATTAGAACGGAGTAGACAAATTATTACTACCCAAAGTTGATGTCTTTATGTTCCCTTATAAAATCATAGCAATATACTTGGTTATTTTTCTTTACATTAAAAATGCAAGTCGAGGGGCTTTATTGAAATTTCAAATAGTGATTGCAATTTATAGAGATTACATTAATATTTCCATAGTGAAGGGGGATAGATTTTGAATGTAGGTGTTTCTGAACCACTTAAATTTGAATGCTGCCAGTTTTCCCAGCACCGTTTATTAAATAGGGAATCCTTTCCCCATTGCTTGTTTTTCTCAGGTTTGTCAAAGATCAGATAGTTGTAGATATGCGGCGTTATTTCTGAGGGCTCTGTTCTGTTCCATTGATCTATATCTCTGTTTTGGTACCAGTACCATGCTGTTTTCGTTACTGTAGCCTTGTAGTATAGTTTGAAGTCAGGTAGCGTGATGCCTCCAGGTTTGTTCTTTTGGCTTAGGATTGACTTGGCGATGCGGGCTCTTTTTTGGTTCCATATGAACTTTAGAGTAGTTTTTTCCAATTCTGTGAAGAAAGTCATTGGTAGCTTGATGGGGTTGGCATTGAATCTGTAAATTACCTTGGGCAGTATGGCCATTTTCACGATATTGATTCTTCCTACCCATGAGCATGGAATGTTCTTCCATTTGTTTGTATCCTCTTTTATTTCCTTGAGCAGTGGTTTGTAATTCTCCTTGAAGAGGTCCTTCACGTCCCTTGTAAGTTGGACTCCTAGGTATTTTATTCTCTTTGAAGCAATTGTGAATGGGAGTTCACTCATGATTTGGCTCTCTGTTTGTCTGTTGTTGGTGTATAAGAATGCTTGTAATTTTTGTACATTGATTTTGTATCCTGAGACTTTGCTGAAGTTGCTTATCAGCTTGAGGAGATTTTGGGCTGAGACAATGGGGTTTTCTAGACATACAATCATGTCATCTGCAAACAGGGACAATTTGACTTCCTCTTTTCCTAATTGAATACCCTTTATTTCCTTCTCCTGCCTAATTGCCCTGGCCAGAACTTCCAACACTATGTTGAATAGGAGTGGTGAGAGAGGGAATCCCTGTCTTGTGCCAGTTTTCAAAGGGAATGCTTCCAGTTTTTGCCCATTCAGTATGAAATTGGCTGTGGGTTTGTCATAGATAGCTCTTATTATTTTGAGATACATCCCATCAATACCTAATTTATTGAGAGTTTTTAGCATGAAGGGTTGTAAGAAAGTTGAAACTGGATCCCTTCCTTACACCTTATACAAAAATTAATTCAAGATGGATTAAAGACTTAAACATTAGACCTAAAACCATAAAAACCCTGGAAGAAAACCTAGGCATTACCATTCAGGACATAGGCATGGGCAAGGACTTCATGTCTAAAACACCAAAAGCAATGGCAACAAAAGCCAAAATTGACAAATGGGATCTAATTAAACTAAAGAGGTTCTGCACAGCAAAAGAAACTACCATCAGAGTGAACAGGCAACGTACAAAATGGGAGAAAATTTTCACAACCTACTCATCTGACAAAGGGCTAATATCCAGAATCTACAATGAACTCAAACAAATTTACAAGAAAAAAACAAACAACCCCATCAAAAAGTGGGCAAAGGACATGAACAGACACTTCTCAAAAGAAGACATTTATGCAGCCAAAAAACACATGAAAAAATGCTCACCATCACTGGCCATCAGAGAAATGCAAATCAAAACCACAATGAGATACCATCTCACTTGCCCTAACCAGATGTGCCACAGACAAATTAATTGTTAGGGTCCTAATGATTTAGTGGCATAATTCTGCAATGTCAAAACTTATTTTTTCTTTGTGTTCAGTTAATCCCGTAATGCTTATTGTAAATGACATTTGGCAATTGTTAAGTTTATTTGATTTTGTAGATCATCCCTTTCATCTTGTTAAACTAAATCCTTTTCACCCCTTAATCTCACTCACATTCTTTTTGATAATGCCTTAACATTCGATTCTCTGGGTTTTCCTTAGTATATGTTCTATTGTAATATATACCCATAAACATATATTATACTATATAAATTTGAACACATTGGTCTGTTGCCAACCCTTCTATCATATTTATAAGTGCTTTGAACTTTTTCTCCAATTAGATGCTGAGCTTTGCAAGCTTATCTTCAGTTAGTCCCTTATCCCTTAGGGAACCATAACATTGCTCAATACACAGTGGAAGCTGGAGTCAGGTTGTTCAGTATTATTTCTAGTTGCAAGCATCAGATACTCTGGCTAACTTTGTCAGGAAAGTAATTTACAGCAAGCATACTTAATAGCTCAAAGAAATGCTAGAAAATGTGGAGGAAAAGGGTTGGAAATGCAGGAACCAGATAGCTTTGGGCTTCCACATGGCAGGAACAAGTCAATTGTCTTTGCAGAATCTCACTGCTGTAATGGATGAGGTTCAAACATTATTTTTTCATCTATCAAGATTTGAAGTCCTGGGAGAGCTCTCCTGATTATTCAAGCTCAGGACAACTACTCACACTTTTTTTTTAGGGGAAGGTGGGTATCTTGATTTATAAAACCCCCAGCATTATACACAGTGGTAGAGGAGAGAGGTGTGTCCCTCAGAAGAAAGTTGGGGTACTATTATCTTTGGAAAAATGGAACGGATCAAAAAACAACAAATGCCTATTATAAAGAATGAGTGATTTAAAAATAAATGGTCTAATTTGACTGTACAATCAAAGTGAAAGGTCTACCCTCCTTCCTTCAGCTACGCAGACTGCACTAGGGAAAATTAGTGAGCTCTGGCCAAAGCCTGGTATTTGATTTTCCAATTAGCGAGAACTTCTATTGGTCTGTGATTTGACTTTACTGACACACTCCTGATAAATTTACATCAGTGACGGTAATATCCAGAAAGCTGAAAAGTTCCTCAGTTATAAATGAACACTTTTCATTAATATTTAGAGATTAAACTAATTTTTTATGAGCAGATGGAAACAAATGGTAATTTGGCCTTTACTGTGCAAAATTAATAGCGATTAATCAACGTTTAGGCAAATTTGAAGCAGGTTCTAAGTGCTCAGATTTGTGGATTACCATTGTTTTTTTTTCTTAATTGACTTTTTAGACAACAGTAATCTATTTAAATGAATGTTTTCTGAGGATGTCCCTGCATCAGGGTCTCCGTTGTTTCCTGGAAACCACAGCTGTGTTGGCCCTGAGATTAATGAGTGGAGAGAAGAGTTTCCAGCAAAAGCCCTGGTGGGTGAGTTGGGAATGTCCTTCCTCTGACAGCAAACTTTAGATTCAAGGCTGGCTGACCATCATGAGTCCCTGAATCAGTGTTCTGGGCTGCTGCTTTTTATACTCAATGACAGTTTGGTGGCATTACTATATGCCATGTGATTTTTGGCCTATGCCAATCTACTTTCTCCACAGTCTTATCTGCTAACTCCTTTATTTAAAAAAATGGTTAACAAAAGTATATTTTACTTTGACAGGAAATATCTTTGTAGGAATAGGAGCAACTTCCTGGGCACGTGACCTGCGCGATCACGTGGGGCTTTGTGGCTCAGAAGGTCCTATACTTGGTTTAATATTTTGCAGTTGCCATCTTAAAATTCTTAATAATAATTTTTTAACAAGGGGGCCTGCATTTTCATTTTTCACTGGGCCCCACACATAACGTAGTCAATACTGTTAGGAAGAAGAAAAAAATGAGCTTTGCATCCTTCTCTTGTGTTTTCTAGTTTTGATGTTTCTGCCAAACTTCTGCTTTTAAGTCTTCCCATTTTCACAGAGGAGTGTTCATAGGATTCCTCTCTTGCTGCCATGTCTAAGTTGGGTCTCTCGAATTTCTGAGGGTTCCTAGACTCCTTGGCCTATGGTGGAAATAGTCCTTCCCCTTTGTTTCAATTATGATAAAGCTTTGTTATGACTTTGGTTTTTGTTTGTTGTTTAGGGAACAAAGAAGTTATGGGAAAACAGAAAGATTAAAACAAAAGAAAGAAAAACAAAAGTTAACAAAAGATAAAAGAAACAAAAGATAAGATGGTGACAAACTATATTTTAGTCTGTTTGTACTGCTTTAACAAAATACATAAAACTGGGTAATTTATAAAAAAAGAGGAGTTTACTTTTTTTGCAGTTCTGGAGGCTGGGAAGTCCAAGGTCAAGGCACTGGCCAGTTCAGCACCTGGTGAGGGCCCAGTCTCTCCTTTCGGGACGGCACCTTGTTGCTGTGTTCTTCCATAACAAGAAGTGAAAGAGCAAAAAGGAGTTGAGTGCTCAGCACAGCCACTTTTATTAGAGACTTAATCCCATTCGTAAGAGAGGAGCCCTCGTGACCTAATCACCTGCTAAAGGCCCCACTTCTTAATACTATTGTATTGGAGATTCAGTTTCAACATGGGTGCTGGAGGGGACACAAATGTTCAAACAAGCCATCTATTCAAACATGGATGTAATCATCTAAGCAGATTGATATTAAAGCCTAGCTGCAGATTCTTGGGCTGGCACAAGATTTCCAGAGCATCCAGGCCCTATTCCTTTTCATCACACAACAGTTGTTAGGGCTTCTCAGAGTCTTAGTGTGGGTACAGTGGCATCAGTGCAGTTAAGGTCTTGGGCTCTCATCGTAGACCACCCTGCCATTATATCCAGCTTTTTCCACCAAGACCAAGTAAAGTAACCTACTTACATCCACTTTTCTTACCTGGAAAATGGGCTTTTGTGAAATCACATGAGATAATGCAAGTAGACGGTGAAACACAATGTTATGCAGGTAGTAAGTTATTAAGGAATGGCAGCTTTCTTGTTAATTTTATTATTTTGGCCCTTTCCCTCCATTCATGTTTTTGTCTAAAGAATCATATCTTCCCCCGCTTGGCCTTATGCCCTTACCCTCTTCTTCCTGGGCAGTCTCTGAAGCTTCAGGAAATGACAAAGAAACTGCTTTTGCTGCTATTTTCTTGCTCTTCTCTTGACTTTCTCTGACCCCAGTGCCCCATCCCTCTGTGTCAAGAATCTTGAGAAGTTTGGTATAAAGCTCTCTGGTGTCTCAGCCAGGGTTCCGGCCTACTCAAATGAGGGAACTGGGTTTAAGGAAAGAACTGTTTTGTATAAATGTTCAGGCAATGTTAGGAGGTCCTGCTCAGGGGCAGTGAAGTCATGTTGGGCTAGCACAGTGTGGGGCTGACACTAACCTTTGACCTGGAGGGGTGAGTGGGAAAGGGTGGGAGTGTTTAGTAGGGCAATGACCCTGCAGGTGCCATGGCCATGGGTGGAAGAATGCAGCTGAGTTCCAGGTGTTTATTGCAGCAACTCTTAGAATAAACACCTGGAACTCACCTTCCTGCCTTCCAATCTCCTGTATACATCACCTTACAACAGGAAACTGGAAGGCAAGAGAGCCCATTGAGTCAGTCCATGAAAAGTCATCTTCAGGGCAATGACTATACTGACAGTGAAGGATGGAGACTAGGTCTGCAGGGGCAAGTCCCACATTTGGGAATAGCTTTCTTCTCCTTGGCCACCATCTTGCTTTATTTCAGACTCATAAACATTTTTAAAATATAAATTGTGAGAGGAGAATAAAGTAGCATAATTTTAAATTTAATTGCATTTGAATACATTTTTCTTTTAATTTCTGCCACTTTTTACTATAGGTCAGAAGTTAATTTTTTATTAAGATATATTCTTTTGTGTGTAAGTGTGGCCAATTTCAGGTTACTGGGGTTAAGAAAAATAAAAGCAAGAGAAAAAACCATCATCACAACTTCCCATGAAGCACATATTTTTTCTACACATACTATTCTATTGAGTTGACTTCTGACTGCTTCTTGTTTTTTTGGAGAGGCCATAACTATTGAACTTTAAAGTTCAAAAAGATACCCTCAGCCAGGCGCGGTGGCTCACGCCTGTCATCCCTGCACTTTGGGAGGCCGAGACTGGTGGAACACCTGCGGTCAGGAGTTCGAGACCAGCCTGGCCAAATGATGAAACCCCATCTCTACTAAAAATACAAAAAATTATCTGGGCATGGTGGCACGTGCCCGTAATCCCAGCTACTCAGGAGGCTGAGGCAGGAGAATGGCTTGAACTTGGGGGTCAGAGGTTGTGGTGTGCCTAGATCGTGCCACTGCACTCCAGCCTGGGCAACAAGAGCAAAACTCCATCTCAAAAAATTAATAAATAAATAAATAAAGATACCCTCCTTCTGCATTCCTCCATGGACAGCCTTGTAATCTCTGTGGAATCTCCTAAGTCCATTCAGACTCTCCTGAGATTGGCTTCCTGTCGGCCTCTGAGCCTCCCTCTCTGACAAGACTCCTCAAGTCCCTCCTAAAAGCTCCCTGGATCTCAGCCCTGAAAGCCGAACTTTGATCCCTGATCAGTTTCTAGAGGTTCAGTGAAGATGAAGAGTATCAGTAGGTCTATGGTTAAAACGGATTCTCTCCTTTTGTGAAGCTCCAATTCTGGCCTTGTTCTCTCAGGCTGGGTCTGGAACTGGTTTCTATGATGGTTAGGTAGTTGACACTTCCTCTTTAGTAAATTCCTATTCAAACCTTCATCTTAGTTTAAATATTACTTCCTAGGCAAGTCTTCCTTGATCCCCCCAAACTAAGCTAAGGCCTTTATATATGCTACAATAGTCCCTTGTATTTTCCTGTATTCACTGTACTTGTAGCTACACTTTCAATGTTTAACTGTTAAATATTTTAAGTCCATAAGGGTAACACCTGCATCTGTTTTGGTCTCAGTTGTATTCCAGCTGTCTTGGCATACTCCCGTAATTCAGCAAGTAATTGTGCTTTCTTGACTGATTGTTGTCTTCCGGATTAGAATTGAATTGTATCAGCTGTGCTCCTTGCCACAAGCAGAATCTTTATTTTCGCCTGTTTCAAAGTTCCTGCCCTGGCTAGACCCCCTCCTTCATTTTCTGTGTCTTGTTTGAGGGGCATTTCTACCTCAGCTCAAATACGGAGAAGACACACTGGATAAGTTAGAACTTCACTCCCAAGTGCCCTAGCCATGCTGAGCTTTAGTGACTGGTCCTCGGGTCTCATCAGGTCCCATGCTGGGTTGGGATATGGAGGTCTAGTATTCCAGAGCTATCTTAACCATAGCAGATGCTTTCTACCAGAGTTAAGCAGAGGTATTATTTTACATGATTGCTGGGATGTGGAAAGAAAGTGGTTTTCTCTCATGCCAGGTGCAGTGACAAAAATGCCAAGCTGTCTCTCTTCCTTGTTTGACTGCTCCTAGCAACAGCTCCAAGCTTGAATGCTCAGGGCTCATTAGCTCCCAGTTCCTCAGGATGGCATTTTACTGGAGTAGCCTATTGTCTAATAAGATATTCTTAATTAAGATTACTTGTGACATAGATTTTCTGTAGGCCTTTCCAGACTGTCTCTAACAAGGATTAAGAAAGATGAAAGATTTATGAAGAATAAATAGGAAGCTACATTTTGGGGGAAGATTGTTCTGAAAGGGCACACTGTTCCATGGTTCCACTGCAGCACTCAACTGGTATTTCACTAATTCAGATGTTTGCATTCTCTATAGGACTGTGAGCTTCTTCAAGGCAGGGACCATCATGTATTCATCTTTGTTTATTCTAGTGCTCAGAATGTTCCTGGTATACAGCATGTGTTCAGCAAGTGCATGTTGACTTGACCTGAATTGAATTTTCAAAAATCAGACATGCTCATTGATGAAATGCCATTAAGAACAAAAGGCTCTCTAACTGTGTAATGATGGTTGCTTTTTTCAGGAGGTCTTTTTACCATTCTAGTACTGGGAGGAGAAAAGAGTAAGAGGGCAGATAAATTCAACCTTTTATAGTTGTGTATGCCTTTGAAATTTGAGTATGTTAAAAGAGTTACACACAGGAAAGCCTAGTTTTCTCCAGAGGCAAGATAAACAAGGCTCTTTGTCTTATGAGCTCCACCTCCCACGTCCCTACGTGGTCTCTCTACTCAAGGCAGTGTTGGAGAATGGCTGACATCATCAGTGCAGGTGGGATCGTGTGTTTTCTTCCCCTTGGAGTGCTCTGCTATTTTATCTCCACCAATCCATGTCCAAGGTCAACCCAACTCAAAATCTCAATACTCCCAGGAAACCTTTAAATCACCTCGCTTTATTTCATTCATCATTTCTTTTGACCCTGCCTCCCAGCATTTAGGTACTGTATTTATTCATAAGTGCTAAAATCAGTATGCATATAAACACATCCTCATATGCATCTTTGTAAGGTTATTTGCCTTTTTAATGCATACATTTCTAATTGATTCTATTGGTTATGCTGAATATTGAGCCTGTTCTCAAGTTGCCAAAACTCCTCTGCTTATTGGCTTTTATCTCTTCCAGGATGTCTCTCCATCCATCTATTTATTTTTCCATGTATCCATTTATTTACCCATCCATTCAGCCATCTGTCTGTCTATTCATCACCAAACAAACAGATATCAGGAAGCTACTGTGTGCCGGGCACTGTGTTAGAAGCTAGGGATATATTCATCTGCAATGAAACAATGTGTCCCACCCAGAATCTTTGGAAGAAACTGCAGAAGTTAAGCTCTGATCTTCTGATGCCTTTTATGCCTATGGAAATTTTAAGTCTGCTTTCAACTTTCCCCTTTCATTCATATTTATATAAGAGGCTTTGGGAATTTCCCCCTTACTGTGGAAACGTCCCCCATTCCTACCCCTGTGCTGCATGCCATCTCCCCCATGAGCCGACTTTGCCTAGGAACTGAAGGTTCCTAGCATAGTTGTGTTGAATGGAAGGGGGACACATCTCTGGAGTAGAGCAGGAGAAGCTTTTTCTTCTGGTATTTTCAGAGGAGCTTAATATTGTTTCTCTAGGGCAGTGGCTCTCAAATGTTTTAATCTCAAGAACTCTTTATGCTTTTATTAGATTAAAAATTAATTTTTTAATTGACAAAATAAAAATTTATGGTGCACAACATGATGTTTTGAAGTATGCATACATTGTAAAATTTCAAAATCTAGCTAATTATCATACGTTGTGTTACCTTTCATATTTATCATCTTTTTTGATGAGAACATTTAAAATCTACTCTCTTAGCAATTTTCAAATATACAATATATACCCCACACCACTCTCCCACTCCACCTAGCCCTGGTAGCCACCATTCTATTCTCTGCTTTTATGAATTTGACTTTTTAAGATTTCACAGTGGGCTGGGCATGATGGCTTATGTCTGTAATCCCAGCATTTGGGAGGCCGAGGTGGGAGGATCGCTTGAGCTCAGGAGTTCAAGACCAGCCTAAATGACTGTTCAAGACCAGCAACACAGTGAAAACTCATCTCTACTAAAAATAGAAAAAGTAGCCCAGCATGGTGGCACAAGCCTGTAGTCCCAACTACTTGAGAAGCTGAGGTGGGAGGACCGCTTGAGCCCCAGCAGTTCAAGGGTGCAGTAATTGCGCCATTGCATTCCAGCCTGGGAGACAGAGTGAGACCCTGTCTCGAAAATAAAATAAAATAAAATAAAATAAGATAAAATAAAATAAAATAAAATAAAATATTAGCATAATGTCCTCTAGGTTTATCCATGTTGCTGCCAATGACAGGATTTCCTTATTTCTTAAGTCTGAACAGAATTCCATTGTGTACGTATACTGTATTTTCTGTATCCATTTATCCACTGATGAGCACTTAGGTTCATTCCATGTCTTGGCTATAGTGCTGGAATAAACATGGGAAGGAACTCTTTATACTCTTAAAAACTATTAAGGACACTAAAGGCTATACGAAATATACTGTATTAGAAGCTAAAATGCAATAAAACATATTTATTAATTCACTTAAAATAACAGTAAACTCATTACATGCAACATTATATTTTAAAATAAAGTAACTATATTAAGTGACTGTTAATATCTTTTCTAAAACAAAAAAAGTAGCAAAAAGAATGGCATTAATTTGCTTTTGTGTAAATCTCTTTAATGTCTGGTTTAATAGAAGACAGTTGTATTCTCATTTCTGCTTCTGCATTTGATCTGTTCAAGTATGTCAATTTGGTTGAATTATATAAATAAATCTGACCTTGCACAGATATGTAGTTGGAAAAGGAGAAATATTTTAATAGTCTCTTCAGATAATTATGAATATTCTTCTTTGATATTATACTAAAATTCTATAAGTGATCATTCTTAAAGTTTAGTTGCCATGTGAATTCTGAAACCATATCAGTGTTTAAATGTCAGGAAGCCATCAAACTTATGGTGGTAGATATAAATTCTTCAAAATTCTAATTTTTATTTTAAAGATGAAATTTAATTATTGGCAGCAAAGATATCAATTTTTTTGGAAGTATAAGGATCGCTTAATTCATTTTTTGAGAAAATGTCTACTACATATCCACATCTGGCTAATCACAGTTTTCCACTCTTCTTTCAAAAAACAGGTATTCCATGAAAAAAGGGGCTAGTTTAGCTTGCAACTGGAACAATACACATGAGTGTTTTTTTTTCTGTAGACAACTATTGTCATTTGGCATATAGTATGTATATTTCCCATTTTATTATACAGAATATTTAAAAGATGTGTATTCAAAGTTGTGGTTTAATGAAATGTTTACTGCTTCATCATGGATGTTCTTAAGTGAAACTGGCATTTTTCTTTAATGTGAGTGAGTGCTGGGGAAGAATCTGAAGATTATCAGTACAGCATTGTCATATTGATTTGGGCTAAGGAATCAGAAGTTTTTAATCTACCATTGCTGTTGGACCATCAGTGCAATGTCGGTGTAATGAAAAAGTAAATAGAATCACAGGATGATTGTGAAAATAGTATTGACCTTGAGGACCCCTTGAAAGTGTCTCAGTGGTTTCCTGGGGTCTTTGGACCATACTTTGAGAACAATTTCTTTAAGAAAATAATTTTATCAATGTTAACAAGGTAGAGAAATTTTCGCTGAATCTAGAAAACTTATCATTCTATGTAACATATCTTTATGTGAAAAAATGCACAGAATTCTCAACATCTGACTTATTAAGATACTCAGAAAATACACTCCATTTATAAGTTAAGTATGGCTTGCATATTTCAATGGTATGTATAGTGCACCTGTCTCCTAATTTACATGATGCTTAGTTTCTTGAAAAGAAGTAGTAATTAAAAAGCACTTAAAACAAAATGAACTTTTTTATAAGAATTAAAGGAAAGGAAAGAGATGCATTTCAGTGAATTAGACAAAAGGAAGGAGGAGATGCATTTCAGTGAGTTAGATAAAATAAAGTCTCATCCTTTTGCTATAATGCACTATTCCCAGTAAATATTTCTAGACAAAGTAAATATAGTAAACAAGGATTTATTTATAAAGTAAACAACCACAAACATCACTGACAGTGTTCATTCTAGCCACTCAGGGCATTAACCTGCAGGTGTTGTTAATTCTATTCTCCGTCTTTTTCATAATAGAAATTCTTGCAAGCCACATTTTTTCTGATTCTCAGTGATGGCCAAGATTTAGTATAGTCTTCAATCTTGACTGTATTATCTCATAGTATTCCCATTCCCCCATATTTAAGAGACACCTGCTGGGTATGTGCCACTTTTCATTTGAAAGTTTGATTGCATATGTGATGATAAATCCTATTTAAGTAGCTTGTAGTGTAATTGGCAGCTGGACTAACATCATATATGGGCCAAAGAATATACAGGTTGTCAGGCTCATGCCTGCAATCACAACACTTTGGGAGGCTGAGGCAGGTGGATCACTGGAGCCCAGGAGTTCGAGACCAGCCTGGGTAACATAGTGAGACCCCGTCTACAAAAATTACAAAAATTAGCTGGGCTTGGTGGCTCAAATACTTGAGGCTTCAGTAAGCTGTGATCACACCACTGCACTGCAGCCTGAGTGACAGTTTGAGACCCTGTCTCGAAGAACAAACAAACAAGAAGAAAAACATTTAATCTAAGTGTCATAAAACAAATTGAACTGTATATTTTCTATAGAATTTGGAAAAAATAGTGCTGAATATATTTTTATCATCGCTATTAATGAGAAAAATATATTAAAATAATGCTTCAGTCACTGAGATCTATTTTCCTATGCCAAACTGCTGCATGTCTTACGTATTTGTTGCCATTTCTTTGCAATTTCATTCACAGAAATGGAACATATGTTTCTCAGTAATTGATAAGTTTAAGAAATAATAATCTCATCCATAACAATTCAGTCTGATATTTTCAGAACAGAATGTATTTATAATAAATGCACATAAATAAAATGTGTATTTTTCAAGACCACATACAAGGACTTCACATGAACAAGTGAGAAGGGTTTTGTATTTAGAGGAATCAGAGGGAATAAGTACATAAACAGACCATGAGAGAAGCCTCTCGTAGACTGTTGATAATGTGCCATCAACCAGGGACCACGGTTAACTCACCCCTCTGCATCTGAATTCAAAACACAAATTTAACATGTTAAATAATTAGATATGGGCCGGGCACCGTGGCTCATGCCTGTAATCCCAGCACTTTGGGAGACTGAGGTGGGCAGATTACCTGGGTTCAGAAGTGCAAGACCAGCCTGGCCAACATGGTGAAAGCCCGTCTCTACTAAAAAATAGAAAAATTAGCCGGGCGTGGTGGCAGACGCCTGTAATCCCAGCTACTCAGGAGGCTGAGGAAGGAGAATTGCTTGAACCCAGAGGCTGAGGTTGCAGTGAGCTGAGATCGTGCTTCTGCACTCCAACCTGGGAGATGGAGCAAGACTCCATCTGAAAATAATAATAATACTAATACTAATACTAATAATAATAATAATAATTAGATATGATATTTGTGAAGCTACTGGATTTCAGCCATCGATAACTAATCCCATACTGTTCTGGCTAGCTTTCGTGCCTGTGAAGTATGCAGACAATACTGGAAATCCAATTGCCTCTACTTTTTTTCACATTGTTTTAACAAATATTTTGTTATGTAAATTTTCAAATATTTGCAAAAGTATAATGAACTCCTCTACACTCCTCACCTCTGAGATTCAACAACAGTCAACATTTTGTCAAACTTGTTTCATTTTTTTCTTTCTTCCTCCAATCTTAATATAATTCCCATCTTACCATTCCATCCCTAAATCCTTCTGCATCCCTAAAAGTAGTATTTGCCTTTCTCAACGCATTGGATTAACACCACTTAAACATAAATAGTAAGTGTCTTTCACTGATTCTTTGTCTGGGACTCCTTGTGATGCTAATTGGTGTTTCCCAGGCATGTTTTTATTTAAAAGTAAAATACACACCCACACTTGATAAACAAATGTGTTCATGTCATCTTGAAGAACCTGAATAGAACAGCGGATGTAGCCCCTGGTTAGGTGGATGGTGGCTAAGGGATCAGCCTGCATCATGCATGTGGAAAATGAATTGTCCCACAGCATTCTGGGTACATGTCCCTCCACTTCTCTTTTATTTCCTTAAATTAAATTAAAACCAGGTAGAATCCTGACAGCCCAGATTAGTAAATGGGGGTGTTTACAGTTTGGCATGCCATGTTTCCCTTGATTTTCTTCTAGGACCCTGGATGAGTGGAGCTAACACTGTCCCAGGTGACACGTACATCTGCCTCTCACCTCCAAGTGTAGAGACACTACTGTCTGAGCAGCCCACACTTCCAGCTGCCCACATGTTTGTGGGTGTGATTCTCTGTGGCTCCACCTGGCCAGTCAGTCTGTTGTGCCTGCTCCTCAGTTCAGCGGTAGAGAAAGGATGATCCCACGCTAGAGGTGCCAGCTGTGATCAGGGTCCTCATTCTTCATATTACACCACAAGAACAGTCATCATTCCTAAGGCACGAACATGGACTAGAGACTTGATATGATTTGGCTTTTTGTCCCCACCCAAATCTCATCTCAAATTGTAATTTCCATGTGTCAAGAGAGAGAACTGGTGGGAGATGATTGGATCATGGGAGTGGTTTCCCCCATGCTGTTCTCATGATAGTGAATGAGTTCTTATGAGATCTGATGGTTTTATAAGGGGCTCTTCCCCTTTTGCTTCTTTTTCTGTCTCTCCTACCCCTTTGTGAAGAAGGTACCAGCTTCCCCTTCCACCATAATTGTAAGTTTCCTGAGGCCTTCCCAGCCATGTGGAACTGTGAGACTATTAAACCTCTTTCCTTAATAAATTACCTAGTCTTGGGTAGTATAGCAGTGTGAAACAGACTAATACAAGACTCTCATAGCATTATTCCTGTGCTCTATTTTGAAACCAACTCAATATACAGACTCTATCTCTTTGAATCTAGCCTGGAGTTCCCTTTATTTAGATGTCATTTTATTTCTAGAGTCTCAAGGGCCTTCCTTGTCACTAAGGCTTGGTTGGAGAGCATATACTTCAGATTGCCTTGATTCCCCATGTTGGGATGTCAGCGGCCTGGCATATCAGCTTTTCTCTTCCAAATGCTACATATTTACACTGAAATGAACCCTCTTTCTATAATGAACATCTGCATAGCAGTGATCTTAGGGTATAATAGCCTGATTGGGTCACAGAATATTTTGTTACACTCTAACCCCAGGATGCTGGTTAACTACCTTTGCCTTGGATGTTCCTTTGCAGGACAAAAGAAATTGAGTTTCTTTACATTAAAATGGGACATGATCACAGATATACTTACAAACAAAAGATTGAGATAATCCAGTACATTTAAAGAATACATAATTTAAAATACCCTGAGAGGAATATATCCCTTAGTGTATTTATACTGAGAGATATATACCTCTCAGTGTATTTTAAATTATTTGTTCACATGAACAAATCATGTGTTCATTTTAAATTATGTGTACATACACACACACATATATAGATGTAAAATATCTTCACTTGTACACATAGTATGTGTTGCCTGGATGGTTAACTCTTCAGGGATTGCTTGGAGCTGAGTCCTATTCCTTTTGAACTCCCTGTGGGGCAGCTCATGGTCCAACCCTAATAAACCTTGGTGACTGACTGCCTTTGGTGGTCAGCTTGTTACCTTTGAAAGCCAGAGTAGCTCTTTGGTAACTCAGATACAATCTTGTTACTTACAACAAATAGCTCTGAAAGACCCACTGCTTAATCTGTAGGCAGTGGTTGCTAAGCAGCTGAAAAGCTGTGCACTGAGGGTTAGGCCCCTTGCCCCCATCTTCTCCAAGTGCTTCCTTGCAGCCCTCATGACTTTCCTGCCGTCTCCTAAACCCACATCTCAGTACTCATGGTCGTTTCAAAACCCAGATGGAAACCTCCACTCCCCTTGCTAGAATGAGGATTTCCACTCCCCTTTCTAAAGTACAGGGCAGATCTGTCTCGCTATATGTCCTTCAGGTTAATATATGTCATCTAATTATATTACCAATTTATTTTTTTACTGAAATTGTGTAATCTAAAGAATACAGTGTGATTTTTGATATACCTTGACTCAGTGAACTGGTTATGACAGTCAAGCTAATAACATATCTATCTCTTCACATAGTTACCTCTTTTTGTGTGTGTGGGGAGAACACTTAAGATCCACTCTCCTAGAAAAGTTCAAGTCCATGTTACAGTATTATTACCTATAGTCTCCATGCTGTACATTAGATCTCAAGAACTTATTCATATTGCACAAATACAGATTTATACCCATTGAGCAATGTCTCCCGATTTGCCCCACCTCCTTAGCCCTGGTAGCCACCATGCTACTCTCTGATTCTATGAATTTCACTTGTTTTTAAACACCACATATAAGCGAAATAGTGCAGAATTTTTCTTTCTGTGTCTGGCTTATTTCACTTAGCACAATGTCCTCTGGGTTCACTTATGTTGTTGAAAATGGCAAGATCTCCTTCTTTTTAAAGACTGAATGATGTTACATTGTATGTATATTAACAATTTCTTGTTTCTATTTTTCTAAATTTTCATTGGAGCTAGACTACATGATTCTTTCAGGTTTCTCCAAATTAGGGCTATATTAGAATTGTCAACTGAACAATGATGAGGTTTCTAAATTTGGAAAGGACAGCTTTCTTTCTTTTTCTTTTTTTTTTTTTTTTCTGAGATAGAGTCTCACTCTTATTGCCCAGGCTAAAGTGCAGTGGTGTGATCTTGGCTCACTGCAACCTCTGTGTCCTGAATTCAAGTGATTCTCCTGCCTCAGCCTCCCGAGTAGCTGGGATTACAGGTGCCCGCCACCCTGCCTGGCTAATTTTTGTATTTTTAGTAGAGACAGGGTTTTACCATCTTGGCCAGGCTGGTCTTGAACTCCTGACCTCGTGATCCACCCACCTCAGCCTCCCAAAGTGTTGGGATTACAGGTGTGAGCCACCGCACCTGGCCTAGCTTTATTTCTTATAAAGGGTTGCAGCCTGCAGATGGACATTCTGACAGGCTGGGAAGTGTAGCCTTTGGTCAGAAACCAGAAACAGACACTTTGAGGGAGAGACAAAGGGAAACTGGTGGTCAAATATACATATTAATAAGTTATAGGAGGATTCATGAATATTTATGAGACGAGAAATACGCACATGTGCAATTGAGCTTCATGCCCCTTCCTGAGCCTCAGGTAAAAAAAACAGCAGAGTTAGCATAATGAGAGGGTAGAGTTTTCTGATGTCAAAAGGTGAAGGAGAGGAAATGAAAACCCTCACTGCATGTTCTACATAGACTGGCCAGAGCCACTCTGTGGTAAGTGGTCTCTTATCAGGCAGAAAAGGAGGGGTAGCATCAGGCAGTTGGTTGATATCAGTGGTGGAGTCCTTTGAAAGGACTGGTTTTAGTTTAATCCTTAGGGAAGAAAACCTAATCATGGTTAGCGAAGTAGTGGGTACAATGACATGCACCTGACCCCTGATCCTGTCATGACTGAGAACTCCTTTTTGAGGTTACTCTGGGGTTGCCTTGGCCAAGCAATGGTCTGTTTAGTCAGTTGGGGTGCTTAGAACTTTATTTTTAGTTTACAGGATCATGAAAATAGAACAAAACAGCATTTCTCTGCCCCACTAGAATTGCTGCAAATATACTCCTCTTCAAATCTTACAGGTAGTTCAAGAAGTCCTCAAAGGGTGTTGTCTATGTGTTTGGAAAAGTGTTCTCTGTGGCCTTTTATCTTCTGTCATTTTCTCCTTTCTTGCTTCGGATGTTGGGCTTGGAGATTGCTTACTTGCAGAAGGATTCCACAAGGACCCTTCTGTCCTTTGCTGGGTGGGTGGCCTCTGCTATGATTGAAACTGCCTTTGTGAAAATTATAACTGAGAAAATTACGACAGTGAAAAAGATCTGATCTAACCAACTCCATCTTGCCTCTAACCTCCAAGCTCTCCTTGTTCATTCCTGAGCATAGGCTGAACTAACTTTTGGAGGAACTTCGTTTACAGTTTGAAACAAAGACGATAACAGCCATTTCCCAAAAAGAACTCCTTCCTGCCTGGGGACTACACTGCCTTTGTAGGACTAGCCAATTAGCCACAAGTTTTTAAATTATGGTTTAGTCATCATTCTGCTGGAAGCTGCAAGATTATCACCTTCCCCCTATTGCTTCTGGGGATAACATCACTATTGTAAAACCTAAGCTCAGTGCTTGAGATAATTTGCAAACCCTGTACTTGATGGATCAGCTGGCACCACCCAGATTGATAAACTGGCTCATCTGATCTTGTGGCCCCCACCCAGGAACTGACTCAGCATAAGAGGACAGCTTCCGCTCCCCAAGATTCCATCTCCAACCTAACTAATCAGCATTCCCTATACACTGGCCCCCTACCCATCAAATTTTCCTTAAAAACCCCAATCCTTGAGTCTTTGGAGAGGCTGATTTGAGTAATAGTAAGACTTCAGTCTCCCATACAGTGGACTCTGTGTGAATTAACTCTCTATTGAAATTTCCTTGTCTTGATAAATCAGCTCTGTCTAGGCAGCAGGTGAGGAGAACCCACTGGGTGGTTCCATGAGACCTGCTGGGACTATGGAAACTTTTCCTAACCCCAGTATATGTATAACAAGTTTACACACGGGATGCTTTCTGTTCCCTGTTTCTTCACAGATATGAACCTATTGAAACTGTATACTTTGGTCTCATAATTGTGGGACATTCGAGTTGTTATTAGCTCTGGAATGGTGTCACATTTCCTGAAGTACAATTTCATAACCACACAGTAATATGAAAGCAACTCCATTTGTTATTTTTATCTACTGAAGAACATTAATCCCCAGCAGCATTTCTCATATCCACTTTCCTTTCCTCAGTTCTCTTGCATCTCACACTGCCTGGAGCTTTTCATTAGCTGTTTACTTCGATCCATCTGCCTTTATTGCTCTCATTCCTCCCCTTTCTTTGCTGTGGAGATTGACATAACATTCTTTGCTAAGACTTGGTCTTTCCTTTCATTCCTCCTCTAGGTCTTACCGGACTCTGTCTGGTCTCAAATTCTAAGAGATAAGATAATCTCCCTCTGAGGGTAAAGGGTGGAGCAAAGGAATGGTTTTGGCAATGATAGAATACTCTCGGGTGGGCTGGAGGGAGAAGAATATTTGTGGCCATGTTTACATGAATACATTTCACTCTGTTAGCACAGAGATTGCTTTGGTGGTAAAGCGACTTGCAATAGAGGTTATGCGCAGGAGCCCTGGAGTAAAAAGTTCACCTTCAAGCCCTATCTCCACCATATATATACATCAAGACTCTGAGCAAGCTCCTTAACATCTTCAAGTTTCAGTTTCCTCATCTGTAAGATGGGCTTTGGTGAGGTTGAAGGAGATAATTCATGTAAAGTGTTGATATAGGAGTTAAAAAGAAGTTATTTAGGCAGATAGCGAGGGTAAGAAAGTCCTCGGTAAGGTTTCTCTTTTAATAAAAAGCATCCCCAAAATCATTTCTTTTCCAATAAAGAGCAGCCTGTAAAATTGAGCTGCAGACATAGAAAGGCAAGCTAGAAGCTTGCACAGGAGAATGCTAACAGCTGTGTGAATAGGAAAGGGACTACCTGGGGACTAGGCATGTTTAAAATGGCAGCTCTGTCTTCCCTTTTCTTTGCCAACCACGTGTACAGTAAGGAGCAAGCAACATGGCGCAGGCCAAATAGATACCCCATTTGCATAATAAAAGAGTAGGGTGGGGCAGCCAGCTTCCTCCTGTGCTATGTAAATGTCACACCTGGTCCAACCAATCTTTGGGCCCTACGTAAATCAGGCACTGCCTTCTCAAACCAGTCTACAAACCCCCCTGCACTTCACCACGGGACCAGAAGTCCCACTCAGGTGTCCCTCTCTCTCAGGAGAGAGAGCTATCCTTCTTTCTCTTTCTTTTGCCTATTAAACCTCCGCTCCTAAACCCACTTGTGTCTCTGCATACTTGATTTCCTTGGCATGAGATGATAAACCCTGGGTATTTACCCCAGACAAATGACACCACTTCAGTATTCAATATGGTGTAAAGATACATGCATGAGTATGTTCATTGCAGCACTATTCACAATAGCAAAGACATGGAATCAGCCCAAATGCCCATCAATGATAGACTGGATAAAGAAAATGTGGTACATATATACCATAGAACACTATGCAGCCATAAATAGGAATGAGATCATATCCTTTGCAGGGACATGGATGGAGCTGGAAGCCATTATCCTCAGCAAACTAACATAGAAACAGAAAACGAAGAGGGCTCCAGCCTTTTCCCTCAGAGGGAAAGGTTATCTTATCTCTCGGAATCTGAGACTGGACAGAGTCTGGCAAGACCTAGAGGAGGAGTGAAAGGAAAGACCAAGTCTTAGCAAGGAATGTTATGTTGATCTCCACAGCAAACCAAGGGGAGAAATGAGAGCAATAAAGGCAGATGGATTGAGTCATAGAAGTGAACAGTGAATGGAAACTTGTACACCACCTGTTTTCACTTATAAGGGGGAGCTGAACAATGAGAACACTGGACACAGGAAGGGGAACAAGACACACTGGGGCCTGTCAGTGGGGCGGCGGGAGGGAGAGAATCAGGATAAATAGCTAATGCTTGTGGGGCTTAATTCCTAGGTGGTAGGTTGATAGGTGCAGCAAACCACCACAGCACACGTTTATCTATATAACAAATCGACATGTCCT